>NC_000003.12:120372240-120675270 GCF_000001405.40 Homo sapiens | reverse complement strand
AAGAATGCAAGGAAAAATACCAACATGTGAACGCTTGGTTATTTCTGGTTGTGAGATAATGGGTGTTATCATATAGTTTATACATTTTCTACAATAAATATATATTACTTTTATAATCGGGGGGCAAGTCACATCAAAAGTTGTTACAAGAAACATATCGGGTTGCAGATGGTCATGTGCAGTCGCCCAGAGCATCCCCATCCCCCTACTGAGTTGGTTGGTGGGAAGGTGGGATGCTTTTCGGATGGGAGTAATATTGTTTATTGCATCCTTTGTTTCAGAATAATCCTCAGGTCTGCCCCTACAATCTCTATGCTGAGCAGCTCTCAGGATCGGCTTTCACTTGTCCACGGAGCACCAATAAGAGAAGGTACAAGGATTAGATGAATTCTGACCTGCAGACTGTGGGTACTATGACAGGGACTTTGTGCTGCCTCCTTCCCCTGGGCCACAGCCTCCCAGAGCTGCCCAAGATCCTGCTTCTTATAGGCTATGGTCTGGGTCATGGTCAGAAGAGAATGAACTTCCTGCCAGCTAGCACCAAGTGACTGGTGGAAGAAGGTGAAGGAAAGCTGCACAGAGCTGGGAAAATACACATGTCCAGTTCCATTTACAAATTACCTCCTATATTCAGAAGGAAATATTCCTAATAGTTTGGTCTTCTTCTAAAGACTGTCCTGTTGAGTTTTGGCTTGGGGTTTACCTGTTTTGTTTTGTTTTATAATGACTAAGTCACAATTATGGAAGATTCAGAGCAATATCTTTCTCAGCTGACTAGAGGTATGTTCTTTGCAAGAAAATGTTGGGTAAACGAAGTTTGGATAGTTAAAAAGTCACATATTATGGCCCACTGTGGTTTGAATTAATAAGGTTTTTACTCTGGTATTCGCCTTTGCTAGAAACCAGCATATTCATTTACATACTGTGCCATGTTCCATGTTTGCTCTAATCCTACATCCAGGTCAATGAACGTAATCCCTTGATTAACTCATATCAGGCAGGTTGGATGCAGTATGTGTTATAGTTTTGGGAGGCAGTAAGTGTTATGATTTAAACAAATAGTGTCTAATTATAAAAATTTTAGGCTGAGGTATTTGTGAAGAGGAATGCTGCTGGTATTAGAGACTCGGGGAGAAGGGCATGTGGTCTTGTACTGCTTAGTAGGGCAGCCTGGGTTTATCTCCACAGGTCCTTCTGAGAAGCAAATGAGATAGTAAGTAAAAAACTATAATGGACCACACAAATGATAAAGATTGCAAGGTTTAATCATGGCCACCCTGGAGGCAGGCCCCCTAAGTATAAATCCTGGCTCCTTTTCCAGCTGTGTGGCCTTGGGTAAATCATCTGCCCTCTTGGATCCTCTAGTTCTTCATTCGTAAAACAAAGATAATTATGGTACCTATTTCATAGCTGTGGTGAGGATTAAAAGAAAGGATGTGTGTAAAGCACATTAGCTTAGCTTAGCACATTGGCACAGGCACATGGTTAGTGCTCAGTTAATGCTAGTTATTGTCATGATAACTATCATTAAGTATTGCCATCATAGCAGAGTTTCTGCCTCATTTCCAGGGTATCTCTAGGAGGCTGTCAAGAGAACTGGGCATGATATGTGGCAAGTGCTATGTTACAATGTCAGTATCAACAGTACTTTTCTCTCAATAGATATATGCGTGGGAAGAGGAAGAGATAGAGAAAGATTTCTATACATGTCAAAAATCAGGGGATAATTCCTTCACTATTTAATCATCTCTCTCTCTCTCTCTGTAAGCCCAAATAGGGTAAGATAAGCACGCAGATAATTCTGTCCATTCTAATTTATGACAACCTGTCCTCTATGACTATGTTCTTGACTTTATGGCCCATTCCCTAACAGGCCACCTGGTCTCCGGATTCTGCAGCCTGTCCCCATTATTCAGCAATATCTTCAGCCAGCAGGAGCTGAGCTTTGTTCCAGCAGGCTGAAAAGGAGCTGTTGGCATTTCATTAAGAAGCTGGCACTGTTCCCTGAATCAGAATTAAATCTCTGTTCAGGGCAATGTAGTACTGCCTGGGGAGTTTTATAAACTCAGCTAAAAAATAAGGGACACTAGGTATGGCTCA
The DNA here is from genome assembly GCF_000001405.40 of Homo sapiens. NCBI lineage: Eukaryota > Metazoa > Chordata > Mammalia > Primates > Hominidae > Homo > Homo sapiens. Next base: position 120,673,170 of record NC_000003.12, on the reverse strand, counting down.
CCCATCTATTTAGAAGAACTCTCCAAAGATATCCACAAGAATTTTGTGGAAATGCTTCCCACCCAAAATCTCCAGTGGGAAAATGGGACCAGTCTTATCCATAAGTAGGCCAGCCTGAAATTCTTAGTTACTACTCATCTGAACCATAGCATACAGGGCCACCACAAAACTATTAAAGAGTCTATCTACCTACCTACGTACCTACCTACCTACCTATCAGGGATTAATTTTTATCAGATTAGCTAGCTGATTGATCCCTTGGGTCTTGAAAAGGCAAAAGTCTGGAGAGATAATTTGGAAAATGTGGACTGTGATAAAAATTCAGAAGATTAAGAGAAGAAAGGCAATTTAACAAACACATGATAAGCCAGCAGCTACTGTATGCCAGGCATTTTTGGTACACAAACTCTCTGAGTTCTCACAACAATCTTAGGTGACAAGGATGAAGAACATAAGGTTCAGGAAGTCTAGTAACTCTCCCAGGATCACACAGGTGGTTCCAAGACATACACACATGCTCTGAACTTCATATACTGGGAGCTGGAGAGGCTTAGTAAGACCAAGGTCTGAGGTCACGTCATCAAGAGATGGAGAAATCAAATGGAAACTAAACAGATCTAGCCCTTTTTCCCCCAGATGGCTCAATGTTGGGCCAGGCCAACTCAACTCACTGAGGTAGACTGTCCTTGGTCTTGAAAGGGCCAGAGCCTGTTGATTCAGGTCTGGTCTTCCGTTGTCCTTCTGTATTTTGTCAGGGCAGTACCCTCTGAAAGGACTTGGGTCCCTCTTAGTGAGCTTCAATGTCCCTTCCAGCTTCTGGAAGGTCTTATCCTGGTGTCCTTTCAGATTCCTTTATCAGAGTCTTCTTCCCTTCCTGAAGCCTGAGATCTGGTCCTGGTAGAGAGGACACACTTTAAAAAGAAAAGAAAGAAAGACAAATAAAGGCATAAATGTACTACAATAAAACATGGACATACACTCTTATAATTTTAGAGTACAGAAGTGTTAATTTATTTTTATTTTATTTTAAGTTCCAGGGTATAGGTGCAGGATGCACAGGTTTGTTACATAGGTAAATGTGTGCCATGGTGGTTTGCTGCACTTATCAACCTATCACCTAAGTATTAAGCCCAGCATACATTAGCCATTTTTTTAATGCTCTCCCTCCCCCAACTCCCACCCCCCAACAGGCCCCAGTGTGTGTTATTCCCCTCACTGTGTCCATGTGTTCTCATTGTTCAGCTCCCACTTATGAGTGAGAACATGCAGTGTTTGGTTTTCTGTTCCTGCTTTAGTTCGCTGAGAATATTGGCTTCCAGTTCCATCCATGTCCCTGCAAAGGTCATGATCTCATTCCTTTTTATGGCTGCATAGTATTCCATGGTGTATATGTACCACATTTTCTTTATCCAGTCTATCATTGATGGGCATTTGGGTTGATTCTATGTCTTTGCATTGTGAATAGTGCTGCAATAAACATACGTGTGCATGTATCTTCATAACAGATTGATTTATATTCCTTTGGGTATACACCCAGTAATGGGATTGCTGGGTCAAATGGTATTTCTCATTGTAGGTCTTTGAGGAATCACCACACTGCCTTCCACAATGGTTGAACTAATTTACATTCCCACCAACAGTGTAAAAGCATTCTTATCTCTCCACAGCCTTTCCAGAATCTTTTTCTCTTATAAATTAATATCAAAAAGACAAACCCAATAGAAAATGATAAAGGACTTCTACAAGTAATTCACAGAAAAACTATAAAGAGCCAATAAACAAATAGACTTGTTTTTTGGAAATATTTTGTATTTTCTAATTCATAATAAAGGAAATACAAAATAAAATGAGATACTATTTTTCACCTAAAACACTAAAATTTTTAATAATACTCCAGATTTGTGAAGATGTGGGTGACCAGGCACTCTCACACGTTGTTAGTATGATAATAAAGAGTTAAAATGATCTGATAATTTTGTTTAGAAATGCACTGGACGTATCTGAAAGAATATATAAGAAATATATAAGAAAATCACTAAGCTCTGATGCCTCTGAGGAATAGCCCTGAAGAAACTGGAGGACGAAGGTGCCATTTACCTTTCAGGACTTTTTAATTACTTGAATTATTTTTACCTTTGGCATGTATTACTTTTGTAATTTTAAAGGAGAAAATTGATTTACTATTTCAAAAATAACAAAGATACCACCCATATTCTCTCAAGCTGCGTAGAACTCATTGTTCTTGCCTTCCAGAGCAAGGACTAGCATCCTATGATACACACATAAGCTAATGTTTTTCTATGGATTTTCCTACACAGATATCCCTCAAGGTACTTCCCCTTCCCTTATAGTTTTTAGAAAAGACAATTCTTCATTTTTTGGCAGCATGGAAATAACCATGAGTCAGAGTCCATTTGAAGCATGATGGGTGGAATGAAAAAGTGAGAAGAGGCCAGGGCTGTGGGCAGCAGATGGCCATGAAAAGTGATGCTGTATCATTGCTTCACTGCTTCACACATTAGAGCCTACAGGTCGTTGTTGACTTGAGTGTCTTCCTGATGGTACTGCCTGAGCCATTCTGTGTATCACTCAGAACATTACTCTAAGGCTTGTATATCTTGTATGTTTTTCCCTCTAGCTGGCTGTATAGGATTCTACCTTCAGTTTCTCACAAGCCCTTTGAATCCATTGACGAAGGCCAAGTCACTCACAACTGGGATGAAGTTGATCCTGATCCTAACCAGGTAACCTGGTCCTGTGAATTGAAGCTTATCATATACCCAAAGCCTTGACTAGAAATACCTAAATAGAATACCATGGTCATTGGAAAAAATAGATAGTTTTTTAAAGTATTATTTTAATAAATGCTAAAGTGTGTCTGTTTTCTGCTCAAACTTGGGTGGTGTATTAGTCCATTCTCATGCTGCTATGAAAAAATAACCAAGACTGGGTAATTTATAAAGGACATATTTTTAATTGACTCACAGTTCTGCATGGCTGAGGAGGCCTCAAGAAACTTACAATCATGGCGGAAAGGGAAGCAAACACATCCTTCTTCATATGGCGGCAGGAGAGAGAAGTGTTAAGTGAAAGGGGGAAAATCCCCTTATAAAACTATCATATCTTGTGAGAACTCACTATCATGAGGGTAACCATCCCCATGATTCAATTACCTCCCACCATGAATGTCCCTCCCACAAAACGTGAGGATTATGGGAACTATAATTCAAGATGAGATTTGGGTGAGACACAGACAAATGATATGAGGTGGGAATTTTGGAAATGATGGATTGATTATGTATATACATATTGTTAAAAGAAAAACCTTTGACAAATCTAATTTAACAGAGTTTAATTGGGCAAAGGACAATTCACAAATTATTCTACCTGAGCCAGGATAGGTTCTGAGAGATTCCAGTGCAGACACTAGTAGAAGACGATTTATGGACAGAAAAAGGAAAGTGATGTACAGAAAACAGAAATGAGGTACAGAAATAGCCAGATTGGTTGCAGCTCGGCATATGACTTACTTGAACACAGTTTTAATAGTGTGTCACCATGATTGGCACAAGAGTAGGTTACACATCCAATTAGGTTATGGTTCACTATGTATGGAGAAACCTTTAGGCAGAACTTAAAATATGTAAGGAGGCAACTTTAGGACAAACTTGATTAACAGTCTGCGTGTGTGTGTGTGTGTGTGTGTGTGTGTGTGTGTGTGTGCACATGCGCACATAAGCTTGTATTTTTCTAGCCTAATGGCATATAGATGGACACAGGAGTAGTTCGGACTTACTAGAACTGCTCAGGTGAATTGGATGAGCGGAAATTTTATAGGTTGGTCAAAATATTTTATATTTTATAGGTTGGTCAAAATATCTACATGCTCATGGTTTTTTTTTTGTTTTTAATCTAAACTTACCACAAAATATAGAAAATACATTCAATACAGACATCTTTGAAGAGAGGCCTTTGAAATCTGGCATAGGGGTGAGAGTCTTGCTATCTGGGCTGAATTATGCAAGTCTATTGTGGTCACAGATCACTATCACAGTCTCTTCAGACCTAGGACTTCCATTCTTTTTCTAGGAGTTTCCTCCTTTTGGTCTAGTAATAGTGGGCGTTTTCTCTAATTATCGTTATTACTTACGTACTCTGCTTGCAGAGTATATAAGATAAAATGAGACAGAACCAGTACTATAGCAATGAGATAGACCCAGTGCTATAAACGACTGAGCTCTTTTTTTAACCTTCTGAGAACCCCAGTGTATTGCCTTTGTCCCTGAGTTTAGGTACATGTTGCTGATAATAGGTATGTAGGGCAGGAAGAAAAACAGACCTGGGTTTGCATCCCTGCCCATCTACTTACTAGCTGTGTCTTAAGCTATGATGTTTCAATTGTAAAATGGGATGATAACATTTGCCTCACAGTGCTATTGTGAAGATTATGAGAGAATAGGTGTGAACCTGCTTCATACAATGCCTGGCATGTGATAGGCAAGAACCATGATTCTGATACAGCTATTTATATTTACCTGAATTTACATTATTCAGGTAACTTTATTTCTTCATTTTATATTATTTTTTACTCTGAAGGCTTCTTCTGCCCTCTTTCCCTCCCTCCTACTCTCTCTCTCCTCCCTCTCTCCCCACCCCGCCACTTTCCACAACCCAAGGAAATCTCCTGCTTCCCCTTTGTTTACCATGACATTTTGTCTATACCTGCCAATCTCCCTCCCCTAAGTGCTTAGACTTTTTATAAGACAAAAGTCAAAATAATTTATAGACACCTTTGGTTTCCTGCCCAGTTCTCTCTCTTGTCTTAATTATGGAAATCTCAGCGAAATAAGCATCTGCTTGAATGTTACCACCCCTCTCTACCAGGGACAGGAAGGGAGGGAGGCATTTAGGGTGGAAAAATGTGAATTGGTATTTAAAATACTATCTACCTCATAGCCACTTTGAAACTAAGATATTTTGTCTAAATAATTGACCCTTAAACTCGTATGAAGTTTAATGCATAAAGCAGACATCCTCCCTGGTCCCCAGCTGGCCTATATATTGCCTTTAAGCACATTGCAAAATGCAGCCCCTATTCTAACCCCCAACCCCTTAGACTCAGTCCCCCACACAAAGGGACACAGACGAGGCATTCAGCTCCTCCCTTTCCCCTTCAGTGGGACAAGGCCCTTGCACAGGGCACAGCTTGCACAACCAACCTGGGGACCCTGACTTCACCTCATTCCTGAGTCTCATGTGGATTCAAGTAATATGGGTATAGTAATTATGTATATGAAGTTAACTAAATGAGGGATTATAAGAAAAGTCCATGGGCAGATTTGGATAATTTAAATTATTGTTTATTTATAATGAAAAATAATTATTTATTATTATTTTGCTTCAAGATAGCAATCAAATCAGTAGTGGTTAACAGGGTAGGCTGGGGAGTTCCAGGGCTCCTGCCTGCTCATGTCGATCACAACAATTTTCTAAGCCTCTCAACCTTAATAAATCTTCATAGATCTGTTTATAGTTGTGTGGACAACAGTGGAGCCATACTTCTTTTACATAGTTTTATTCGGGGTGGGAGGTTAGGTTTTAAACCTAACCTTTAAAGAAAATATGTGATGTGACTCTACTTTGAGTGTGATGTGTAATATGCTCAGTAATATACCTTTATTATATATTATTATTTCCTTGACTATCATTGCTACATTTTATTTAACATGAATACACCCTTTCATAGGAACTATTTTGGAGTTCGTGTGACATATCCATGGAAGACAATCTTGTTCTAATAGAATTTTTCTAGCTTTGTCTTTTTTTTTTTTTTTTTTTTTTTTTGAGACAAGAGTCTCACCCTGTTGCTCAGGCGGGAGTACAGTGGTGTGATCACAGCTCACTGCAGCCTTGACTTCCCAGGCTCAGATGATCCTCCTACCTCAGTCCCCTGAGTAGCTGGGAATACAGGTGTGCACCACAATGGCCAGCTAATTTTTTGTATTTTTGGTAGAGAAAGGGTTTTACCATATTGCTCAGGCTGGTCTCGAACTCCTGGGCTCAAGCAATCTGCCTGCCTGAGCCTCCCAAAGTGCTGGAATTACAGGCATGCACCACTGCACCCAGCTTAGCTTTGTCTGATTGTATGAGTAAAATATACTTATAAAAACCCAAAAGTATTGTAGAAATTAATAAAATATTACTGGACGTCTCCCATCATTAAGTGAGAGTCAAGTATATAAGTTGTACATGTTAATTCATTATTTCATAAATAGTTGACATACATTTTGACCAGGAAGTTTGAAGCAACTGGATTAAAAAGCTTGAGTTAATACAGAGGCATCAAAATAGCTGTATCAGGGTGGGCATGGTGGCTCATGCCTGTAATCCCAGCACTTTGGGAGGCCAAGGCAGGCAGATGACCTGAGACTGGGAGTTTGAGACCAGCCTTACCTGAGGTCAGGAGATCGAGAACAGCTTGACCAACATGGAGAAACACCATCTCTACTAAAAATACAAAATTAGCCAGGTGTGGTGGTGCATGCCTGAATTCCCAACTACTCGGGAGGCTGAGGCAGGAAAATTGCTTGAACCCAGGAGGCGGAGGTTGTGGTGAGCCAAGATTGCACCATTGGACTACAGCCTGGGCAACAAGAGCAAAACTCCATCTCAAAATAATAATGACAATAATAATAATAGCTGCATTGGAAGTTTCTGCTTGTTTTCTAGCAGACCCTCAGCCCATATTTGTTCCCCTTCTCCCCGCTTCCCATGTCTCCCATTCTAACCTATGGTTAGAATGGCTTTGCTTTTGTCCTTGAACTTGTTGCCTTTCTTCTGTTTTGAATTCCCTGAACACTTTCTATATGGTAGCCACCAAATGAATTTCTTCTCCAATATCTTCCCTGCTCCTTTGAGACCTTGTCTTCACACACACTGGGAGAGATGTGCCTCAGAATTCAATAGCGTCTCAGTGTCTCTGTGAACACCGGCTCCAACCAGGTAGCAGTTTATTATCTTTCTGACTTGTGACCTCTGTCACCTGCCAACTACTTCTCTCTCCATGATAAACCCTGGCTGATCTTGCAAAATCTACCCTTTTGTCTTTTCTTTTACACCTTCTTTACAAGTTAATATCTCTTTCCAATTTTATACTTCATTATTTAACCACAGCATTTTGCATTCATCACTTTCTCCCTCATAACCTCCTCCAAATATGTACTCCAGACTCTCAGCAAGAAAGGCTGAGAAAATTATATTTAGGCACCCTCTGACAGTCCTTCCCAGCTGAAGCCTGTGTGATAGGTATGTCTTCACCTGTCATAGACCAAATCCAATACTTCATCAGCTTCACCAACTATCCACATTAGTCATCTCTGGGAATTTGAAGACCTGAGGACTGCCTGATGATTCCTCCAGTGTAACATTTAGTCCCAAAGGCAGCATCTTGCAATATGTGATCATCACTGTCATCCTTGATACCCTCTCAGGAAGACTGGGGGCTGCTCCCCCTAAAGCCTTCATTTTCTTTAGTGTATATTTAATCAGTTATCCAAGAATTAATGCAACCTCTTTTTGAGTGTATTTAAATTCAGCCTGAGGACATAAATTCAATTAATTAATACCTCACATAAGAAGTATACCTAATTTTATGTGTCTGCCTCTAATTTCTGAAGTCTCAGAATTTAATGAACTAATCTACATCCAATTTAACCATGATTTTACAGATTTCAGCTAGAATTCCTGAATTAGCACTTCTCTTTAAGAGTCCTTTAAAATTTATTTTTCTTATTATTTCATTCTAACCTCTTGATTGTTGAAAAATCAGATTCTTGACTCAGTTAAGACTCAGCTGAGAAAATTACCTCTTGGTTCTTAACCAGTATAATTTGGATCAAGTGAGAAATACCTCAAAGCTAATTAAAGAACATATCATAAAATGCCTTCTGTCTCTAGTACATGCAAATTATAAAAAAAAGTTTCAAAACAATATACCCTTACAGGGTATTTGCTGTCTAATTTGTCAAACTTTCCAGGTTTTGCCATCCTGAAATCCCCTTCCCTCCACAAATGTCTTGGATTTTCCTGCCTCTCTTGCCCAAGTCTGTCCTAGTCACAGCCAGACTCCTTGAGAAATAATCTAAACCCACTTTATCACCCTCATTCACTCTTTAACCCTATGCAATTCAGCCTGCCCAGATGACTCTATTGAAAATATTTATACCCTCTTTACACAATAGTGCATCACTCTCTAATTAATACATATTTTTATTTAAAACTTACATTAAAGTGTCAATGCCCAGTAATTCCACTAACACAGAGTTAACAACTTCTAATGTTTTGGGTTCTTTCCAGTCCTTTCTTTTTGTACATATATGTAAATAAATAATTCCTAGGGTCCCATGTAGCCAGTAACCAAGAGTAATTTAAAATAATATCTGGCCAGGCACAGTGGCTCATGCCTGTAATCCCAGCACTTTGGGAGGCCAAGATGAGAGGTTCACTTGAGTCCAGGAGTTTGAGACCAGCCCTGGCAACATAGCAAGACCCTGGCTCTACACAAATGTGAAAAAAAATTAGCTGAGCATGGTGGCAAGCACCGGTAGTCCCAGGCACTCAGGAGGCTGAGGTGGGAAGACTGCTCGAGCCTGGGAGGTCAGGGCTGTGGTGAGCCCTGTTCATGCCACTGCACTCCAGCCTGGGCAACAGTGTGAAACCCTATCTCAGAAAAAAAAAAAAAAAAAGGAAGAAAAAAGAAAGAAGGAAAGAAAGAAAGAAAAGAAAGAGAAAAGAAAAGTTAATCTTTACTTGTTTTTCCTGAAGACATTAAACAGTATCCAATATATGACCCACAGCAACACTTTTTAAAATCCCCTTTTTCCAGTTTTTCCCAGACTCCAACCCTCTCACATCTGTCTTCTCTCACCTCACCTCTCACCTTCCCCAAGCTCTTCATGCCTTGTCACCATTGATTGTTGGCTTCTCTCTTCCTCCCTGTACATTCTGCCTCTAGAAAATGATACCTGCACTGTAGATCCCCTACCCCATTTGGCTGGGATCACACATGGTGTTATGTGGGATAACACACACATAACAGTGACCTCCATGGCAATACTGGAGTTCAAAGGACTCCAGTGAGAATAGGCAAATCTGAATTTTCCGCAGAGATCAGGGAAGGGAAGAGGAAGAGGCTATGAATACACTTATAATAGTGCTTTTAAAAAAAAAATCAGTTACATATATATTTACTATAATTAAGCTGATGGTGTAATGCAGTCTTAGATTATTTTTATTTAAATATCATATTTTGCGCCTTTTTCCATGTCTTTTTAAACTTCTTGAGTGTAGATATTTTTGATATTATATTATAATCCAATAAATGTTTATAAAAATTCCTAATATTGTGAGATATTTGAATTTTTTCCATTTTTGCTATTATGTAGTAAATCCACGCTAAATATAATCCTTTTCTCCTCTACATCCCAGCCTGGAACAACAGACCTCCTTCTTTTCTTCCTGAATCCCCTTTTTTCCCTGGGTTCCATGACATTGCATGATTCCCAAACCTGCAAAATAAGTATTCTTCAAGGTCCTGAACTAGAATCTTGATATAGTTTGACTGTGTCCCCACCCAAATCTCATCTTGAATTCCCACGTGTTACGGGAGGGACCTGGTGGGAGGTAGTCTATCTGCACAAGCTCTTTCTTTGCCTGCTGCCACCCAAATGAGATGTGACTTTCTCCTCCTTGCCTTCTGCTATCATTGTGAGGCTTTCCTAGCCACGTGGAACTGTAAGTCCAATTAAACCTTTTTCCTTTATAAATTACTCCTTCTCGGGAATGTCTTTATCAGCAGCATAAAAATGGACTAACACAACTCTCACCTCCCCCTTGTCATCATCTCCCCTCTGAGAGAAGGGGAAGTACTTACTCTCTCTCTTCCCCTCCTCTTCCTTACTGTCTTTCTTATCCTCCTCTTTTCTTCTCCTTCTCTTCACCCCAACCTTCCCCTTCCCCTCTGTATTGTTCTGCTAGAGCTATCATAACAAAAAGATACTGGGTGGCTTAAGCAAAAGAGATTTACTTTCTAACAGTTCTGGATTCCAAGATTGAGGTATCGGCAGGGTTGCTTTCTTCTGAGGCCTCTCTCATTGACTTGTATCTTCTCCTTGGCTCCTCACATCATCTTCCCTCTGTGTCTATAGCCAAATTTCCTCTTCTTATAAGGACAACAATCATATCAGATTAGGGTCCACTCTAGTAACCTCATTTAAGTTTAATTATTCCTGTAAAGACTCCATCTCCAAATATAGTCACATTCTGAAATACAGGGGGTTAGGAGTTCAACATATGAATTTGGAGGAGGAACACAATCTAGCCCATAATTCTCTCCTTCTGCTTGTTTTTCCCTCTAAATATCTACTAAGGATTCCCACTCTTTTGGATTCTCTTTGCCTTAGAGATGAAGGGATAGTTGTTGATAAGAAATAATCAAGTGGGACAAACTAACAGGAGGAACTCCTTGAGCAATAGAGGATTTTCCTAGCTCACTACACTGAATCAGGTGCCAAGTCCATAGAATGGTGATGCCTGAGTATACATAAGAGTTACCAGGGGACTTGTTGAAAATGTAGATTCCTCAGTCTTGCTCCCCAGAGATCCCAGTTCAGTAGGTCTGAGGTGGTACTCAGGAGTCTCCCCAGATGACTCCCATGCAGGTTGGTGCTGGACTGCACTTTATGAAATTCTGCTGTAGAGTGTGCTTTCAGGATCTCTCTGGTTCCTTTTTTCCTTTTCCTACCTCCACCTGGTTCAGACCTCATTTCTTCTTACCTAGACTATTTTAATGACCTTCTACCTGATTCCTATGTCTTCCCCTCCCTATCCCACACCGTGCTGCCAGAATCAGCGTGCTAAATTATCATCTCAAAAATCTTTAAATCTAACCATCACCCGCCCCCTCCACTGCCCAGCCAATCCAGTGCAGGCTTCCAGATAAGAGATCAAGAGCTCTGATTCACTATCACAGCCTTTCAGACTCTCCACTCACTTCCATGTCCCCTACCTATCAGTCACACTAGAACCATCGTCATTTTATCTACCTGGGATTTCCTGTTCTTCCATCACAAATACTCACCCATCTAAATCTCACTCACGATTTATGATTCATTTTAAATAATACTTTCTTCATTATGCCCTTTCAATATTTCTCAGAGTATTTAAGGTTCTATGTCTCTATCATCTTCATCTGATCTGCAGTATCCAGTACATGCCTTCTTCCAAATAGAATCGCAAGTATTTGTTGAATTTACTCCCTGATAGTTCAGATCCTATCATTCTATAAATAAATTAGATTGCATTTCTCTAAATGCATTCAGTGGTGTGTGCCAACATTACAGTGCACATTCCCCTGCTCAGCCCTTTTGGACAGCTTGCTAGCTCTTTTTACATTTCATCTCCATCAACTTACATTTCACTTCTTGCAAAGATATTGGCGCTGTCTGCAAACCAGATGATTTCATTGCTTATATCTCTTATTTTCCATATATAAGAATGTTAAATAGGCCCTGTGCCAGGACTTATTCCTGAGAGAACATTTCTATTTACATTTCTCTTCCAAAGTTATTTGCACTGATCCACTTCCTTGTTTTTCTATCATGAGGTTTTCACATTTCCAGGATCTTCTGTAATGGATTACCTGAGGGAAGAGACAATGTCATGTTCACCTCCAGCATCTAGCATAAAATCTGGCACACAGAGAGGTTCAATAAATACTGTTTGAAATAATTAATATAAGGGGATTAGACAAGAAACATTAACCCTGAAGGACCTAAGCAGGGTTAGTGTCCCAGGAATCAGACTGGCCAGGGTGATTCAGCACTGGAGGAACAGTAAACAAAGGTCAATTTGGAAGACCAGGTACAAGACCATTAAAAGGAGGGAAAGCTTGGGTTTAGGAGCCAAGGAGATCAGGAATAATTTGGGAAACAGGTCAAGACAGGCTAAGATCAAAGGGCTCAGGGTGTAGGTTAGTAAGAGGGTCTGAGAAAGTGTTGGCATCAGTTCTTAGTAGAGAAAATTTAACTGTTCTAAACCATCAGTTTTTTCACTTCTAAAATAGAGATGATAATAATAATCATAGGGAGCCTCAGAGAGTTGTTGTGAGAATTAAATGTCATCCAACAAATATTTATTGAGTGACTATTATGTTCTATACTTCGTGCTAGGTGCTAGGTAATGGATTTAAAGCTCTTAGCTTTACATTCAAGGACAAGGTCAAATGAGAATCCAAGTTTTCATCCTTGATGGCTCATCTTCATTTGTAGCCTCATGAAAGACTTTTGTTATGTTTTGTTTTGTTTTTTGAGTACAGGCTGGAGTACAGTGTTGTGATATCAGCTCACTGCAATCTCCTCCTCTTGGGTTCAAGCGATTCTCCTGCCTCAGCCTCCCAAGTAGCTGGGATTACAGGTGCCCACCACCATGCCCGGCTAATTTTTGTATTTTTAGTAGAGACATGGTTTCACCATGTTGGCCAGGCTGGTCTCGAACTCCTCATCTCAGGTGATCTGGCCGCCTCGGCCTCCCAAAGTGCTGGGATTACAGGCGTGAACCACCTCGCTTGGCCTGAAAGACTTTTAGAAATCTAAATTACAGTGACTTGGATCCTCATTATCTATATTCTTGCCTATCACCTCAAAGAACTCCAACGGATCAACCAAAGCCTGATTTCTCTCCACATAATTCATGCTACCTTTTTTTCCTCAAACTTCCAAAGTTTCTGAAGAATTCAAGTGAGCCACTGTTTTATTTTAATCCTTCCTATCTTTCTTAGTCTGGACTGAAACTCACCACCACAAATTACCCTGGATCTCTCTGCTAACAACTATTTATACATTGTATTAGTCCATTCTTGCACTGCTATAAAGAAATTCCTGAGACTGGGTAACTTACAAAGAAAGGAGGCTCATAGTTCCACAGGGTGTACAGGAAGCATAGTGGCTTCTGCTTCTGGGAGGGGCCTCAGGATGCTTCCAATCATGGTGGAAGGCAAAGGGGGAGCAAGGTATCTCAGATGGCAGGAGCAGGAGCAAGAGAGAGAGGAGGGAGGTGCTACACGCTTTTAAAGACCAGATCTCATGAGAACTCACTGTCATGAGAACAGCACCAAGAGGGTAGTGCTAAGCCATTCGTGAGAAATCCACCCCCATTATGCAACCACCCCCCACTCTCTCTTGCTCCTGCTCCCATCATATGAGATGCTCCCATCATATCTTTGCCTTCTGCCATGATTGAAAACTTTCTGAGCCTCTCCAGAAGCAGAAGCTGCTATGTTTCCTGTGCAGCCTGCAGAACTGTGAGCCAATCAAACCTCTTTTCTTTATAAATTACTCAATCTTAGGTCTTTGTTTATAGCAGTGCAAGAACGAACTAACAAAGAAAATTGGTACCAAGGAGTGGGACATTGCTATAAAGATAACCTGAAAATGTGGAAGTGACTTTGGAACTGGATAACTGGCAGAGGTTGGAAGAGTGTGGAGGGCTCAGAAGACAGGAAGATGAGGGTTAGTTTCAAACTTCCTAGAGACTTGTTAAATTGTTGTGACAAAAATGCCAATAGTGACATGAACAATAAAGTCCAGGCTGAGGAGATCTCAAATGAAAATGAGGAACTTACTGGGAACTAGATCAAAGGTCAAACTTGTTATGCCTTAGCAAAGAACTTGACTGCATTGTGCTCCTGCCCTAGGGATCTGTGGAACTCTGAACTTGAGAATGATGATTTAAGGTGTCTGGTACAAGAAATTTCTAAGCAGCAAAGCATTCAACATGTGACCAGGCTGCTTCTAACCGCCTATGCCCACATGCATGAGCAAATAAATGACCTGAAGTTGGAACTTAAATTTAAAAATAAGTTTAGATTTAAACCTATATTTAAATTTTAACTTGTATTTAAAGGGAAGTAGAGTGTAAAAGTTAGGAAATTTTGCAGCCTGGCCATGTGGTAGAAAAGAAAAGCCCATTTTCAGGAGAAGAATTCAAACTGGCTGCAGAAATTTGCATAAATAAAAAGGAGCCAAATGCTGATAGCCAAGACAATGTGGGAAAGGCCTCAAAGGCATTTCACAGACCTTTGGGGCAGTTCATCCCATCACAGGCCCAGAGGCCTAGGAGGGAAGAATGATTTTGTGGGCCAGGCCCAGGGCCTTGCTACCCTGCACAGCCTCAGGACACTGTTTTCTGCATCCCAGCTGCTCCAGCTCCTCCTGTGGCTCAAAGGGATCCAAGCACCGCTTCAAAGGGTGCAAGCCATAAGCCTTGGTAGCTTCCATGTGGTGTTAAGACTGCAGGTGCACAGGATACAAGAGTTAAGGCCTGGGAGCCCCCACCTAGATTTTAGAGGATGTATAGAAAACTTAAATGTTCAGGCAGAAGCCAGCTGCAGGGGCGGAGTGCTCACAGAGAACCTCTACTAGGGCAGTATGGAGGGGAAATGTGGGGTTGGAGCTCCCACACAGAGTCCCCGCTGGGGCATTGCCTAGTGGAGCTATGAGAAGAGGGCTACCATTCTCTAGACTCCAGAAAGGTAGATCCATCCACAGATTGCACCGTGCACCTGAAAAAGCCACAGGCACTCAATGGCAGCCCATGAGAGCAGCCGCAGGTGCTGAATCCTGCAAAGCCACCTGAGTGGGGCTGACCAAGACCTTGGTAGCCCACCCCTCACACCAGTGTACCCTGGATGTGGGACATTAGGTCAAAGGAGATTTTTTTGGAGCTTTAAAATTTAATGACTTCCCTGCTGTGTTTCAGACATGCACGGGGCCTATAGACCCTTTGTTCTGGCCAATTTCTCCCTTTTGAAATGGAAGTATTTACCTAATGTCTATACCCCCATTGTATCTTGGAAGTAACTAACTTATTTTATATTTTACAGGCTCATAGGTGGAAGGGACTTAACTTGTCTCAGATGAGACTTTGGACATTTGAGTTAATACTAGAATGAGTTAAGACTTTTGGGCACTGCTGGGAAGGCATGGTTATATTTTGACATGTGAGAAGGACAGGAGATTTGGAAGGAGCCAAGGGCAGAATAATATGGTTTGGATCTGTGTCCCTACCCAAATTTCATATCAAATTATAATCCCTAATGTTGGAGGTGGGGCCTGGCAGGAGGTGATTGGATCTTGGGGACAGTTTCTCATGAATGGTTTAGCACCATCCCTGTTGGTACTGTCCTCATGATAGTGAGTGAGTTCTCATGAGATCTGGTCATTGAAAAGTGTGTGGCACCTCCCACCTCTCTCTCTCTCTTTCTTTCTCTCTCTCTTTCTCTCTCTCTCTCTCTCTCACTCCTGTTCCTGCAATGTAAGCCATGCCTTCTCCTGCTTCACCTTCTGTCATGATTGTACATTTCTTGACGCCTCCTCAGAAACTGAGCAGATGCCAGCATCATGCTTCCTGTACAGTCTGAAGAACTGTGAGCCAGTTAAACCTCTTTTCTTTATAAATTACCCAGTATCAGGTAATTCTTTATAGCAATGTGAGAACAGACTAATATGTACACTATGATGACTATTTCACCGAGAAATTACTTCAAAATTCTTGGATAGGTGGTACTCACTTCTAATGATATGTCTGTCTATCCTCAGCCAGTGTTGTTGAGAGTACTCAAGTCATCCAATCTAGTTGAGTCCATGGGAAATTTGGAGGGAATCTCAGTAAATTAAAGAATTTCAGTTTTGAAAGGGATACTTGGATCATCTAGTTCAACTCCCAGTATTCTAACTGGAAATATTTAGGCCAATTATCTAATATTTTCTTTTCATCTCTGAGCATGAATTTTGAATCTTGATAATCAAATGTTGATACCAATTCTGTCTTCCTCCTTTGGTAATCTTAAGTAATTTTTAATTCTAACTTTGGACACCCTTAAAGATGCTTTCAAATTATTTTTGACCACCTCATTTCTAGCAAGTAAAAGTTTATCTTCCAATAGAACTCATAGAATACAGTTGTAAAATATGTGAAGCAATAATACAACTAAAAGGATAAATAGACAAATCCACAATTTTAGTTGGAGACTTCAACACCCCTCTCTCAACAGTTGATAGAACAACTGAACAGAAAGTCAGAAAAGATACAGAAGTGATCTACAGAAGGAGCAGGATTGGAAAAAAAGTTTTTTAAAAAAGAAAGGATATGGAAGTGACGATTTTACACGTGTGAAGAACTGACATTTTACCTTTGGACTTTTAGAAATATTTGATTTTCTAGACATCGCCTGAATGTTATTTTGACTTCCAAAAGATCTCACGGTCCAGGCACAGTGGCTCATGCCTGTAATCCCAGCACTTTGGGAGGGCGAGGCAAGTGGATCACCTGAGGTCAGAAGTTCGAGACCAGCCTGGCCAACATGGTGAAACCTCATCTCTACTAAAAATACAAAAACTACCCGGGCATGGGGGCATGCACCTGCAGTCCCAGCTACTCAGGAGGCTGAGGCAGTAGAATCGCTTGAACCCAGGAGGTGGAGGTTGCAGTGAGCCAATATCGCGCCACTGCACTCCAGCCTGGGTAACAGAGCGCGACTCCAACCCCCCCCCAAAAAAAAGATCTCAAAAATTTACTTTATTCTTGTTCTTAGCAATGTTGTTAGTGCCTTAGATTTATTCATCTATTCAGTCATTCAACAAATATTAATGCCTACTATAGTCAAGCCATTGCATTGGGCATTACAATTGATTTTATTATTTTTGAAATGTTTAATAAGTAAATTCTATAGAGAAGAAGCTATTTAACAATAGCATATAGTATAAATAAAATAAACTATTTTTAAAAGTTGTAGGACTATATTAGTCTGATCAAGCTGCCATAACAAAATACCACAGACTGGGTAGTTTAAACAACAGAAATGTATCTTCTTACAGTTCTGAAAACTGAGAGTCCAAGTCCGAGGTGTTAGCAGGGTTGATGTCTTGTGAGGCTCCTCTTTGGTTTAAAGACAGTCCTTCTTACTGTATCCTCACATAGCCTATCCTCTGAGTGCAAGCAGAGAGAGAGATCTCTTCTTCTTATAAGGCCATCAATCCTATCAGATTAGGGCCCCACATTTATGATCTCTTTTAACTTTAAAACCCATCTCTAAACATAGTCACATTGAAGGTTAGGGCTTCAACACACAAATTTGGAAGAGGACACAATTTAGTGCATATCAAGGACTAAATCAGTCAGCAAGCATCCTTTACTTCTTTCAGAGTTTCTCCTCTGGAGAGAATTATGGAATTATAGTTCTCACCAGCACCTGTTGTTATATGTAAGAAAAAAACAAAATTTGGGAGAGAAAATGGCTTTCCTGAAGATCACAGAGAAAACGGGAACAGAGACAGTAGCAAAAACCAAGTCTTCAGTGCACTCTCCTTTTGGTCTGGCCTTGGCTCAGAGAGTTACTGCTCCACAGCATACAATAAAGCTGCAGCTGGCTTTAGTAGATGTTTGTACCATGCACTCCATGGACTCTTCCTATTAATCCTCTGCTCAAATCTCCCTCCTCACACTTATCAAAATATCACATCAGCGCTCCTGACCAAAATCTCTGCTTTCTCTTGTGAGTACTGAGTTTATCAGAACCACCTTGGGGATTTTCTTATCCTTCATGATACAGGCCCAGTATGATCTGAATATAGATTCTGTATAATCTTCTGCCATCAGGGCCAACAGATAAATGACTCCTCTCCCTATACTATCTCTGTCATTTGGTGGGGATCATTTTTTGCATTAGAGAAGGTTCGTCAAGGTCGTTGCTTCTTCCGGATTGTGGGCCCTATTGAAGGTATGTTCTCTTCACTATGAAATGTAGTTGCATTTTCTTCCACCACCTCAGGCTCTCTGTTCTCATGACTTGAGGGCTAATGTGCTACAGAAGACCTTGAAAAATGACCAGCTGACCTGGTCAACCCATCAGTCTCTCTGGCTCAACCTTTTCCACTCAAAGAAGACAAACCCCTTCTCTGAGGGCCAGGACTTTATTACCACTCACAGCAAGGTTTTTGTTTGTTTGTTTGTTTTGTTGTTGTTGTTTTTGTTGTTTTTTGTTTTTTAGACAGAGTCTCACTCTGTCACCCAAGCTGGAGTGCAATGGTGAGGTCTTGGCTCACTGCAACCTCCACCTCCCAGGTTCAGAAGATTCTTCTGCCTCAGCTTCCTGAGTAGCTGGGACTACAGGTGCATGCCACCACACCCAGCTAATTTTTGTATTTTTAGTAGAGATGGGGTTTCACTATGTTGGCCAGGCTTGTCTCGAACTCCTGACCTCATGATCCACCCACCTTGGCCTCCAAAGGTGCTGGAATTACAGGCGTGAGCCACCGCCCCTGGCCTTACCACAGGTATTTTAACATCAGGCAGATGTACAAAGATATTGTCCCAGTACAACAAACCAGGCAGAAAATCCCCTGCTACTGGGATTTCTCCCTCTCTCTCTTCTTTCTTTCCCCTTGCTCTTTCTTCTTTTTTCTTGATCACTTTTTTCCTTAGATTTGTAAATCCTTAGACTTGTACTAATTAATCACTCCTGCTATTTAGTAACTGGCATTGTCACTGCCACGTATGGCCCAAGATGCCAGAATTTAGTTGATTGATCAGTTGGTGGGTTGGTTGGTTTGTTGACTGGATGGACTTTTCTGAGTATGATGCTTGGTTCATCAATACAAGAATCACAGAACCTCTGGATTGGGTTCTTAAACCCTAGCTGCACATTAGAAGAACTTTTATAAAATACCGATGTCTGGGCCCTACCTTCACAGATTCTGATTTAATTTGGTCTTGGTCTCAAAGGCTCTCCATGTGATTCTCATGAGTGGCCAGGATTGAGAATCTCTGGATAGAGCTAAAAGATTACGCAGGCAACCATTGATCTGATACTTAAATCCCTTCTACTGGGAAATCCAGAAAGATGACTCTTTCTGGATTTTCTTTCTGAAACTAAGATTCTAGGTAGTATTGTCTTCCTAACAATCTTCCTGGGTATAAATACTCTGCTCTGTTACTATAGAAGGAAGCAGCAGGTAATGTTTAGTGGTAGACCAGAACTTCCCCTAAAAAATCCAGCAGTGCTTAGCTGTGGCACTTCCTGATGTTAGGGAAATATCCTCCCAGGTCAGTGGTTCTCAACTGGGAGAAAATTTCCCCCAAGTGATGTTTGGCAATTTCTGGAGACATTTTTGGTTGTTACAGCTTGGTGGAATGTCACTGGAACCTGGTGGAGGCAGGCCATGGATGATGCTAAGCATCCCACAATGCACAGAACACCTCCCCACAACAAAGAATTATTTCGTGTAAACTGTCAATAGTGCCAAGATTGAGAAACCATTTCCTAGATCCTTGCCCTCAGGTCCCCCTATTATACCCCTAAGAGATACCATCCTTAATGAAATTAGTCCTAAAGCATTTCCTTCTTTCTGAAGCATGATTTCAGCACTGTTTCCCAAATCAACATTTTACATCCTTTTTAAGTATCTTTTAATGTGACCATCCTGCTTTGCTTTTAAGAAATGAAGGCTGCTGCCTGACTGTGTGTGTCAGAGAGGCAGAATAATCCCAAGGCTGCCTTTTCCACTTGCTGCTTCCTTTCCCATCTGGCTGCCTCCCTGAAATACAGAATGAGCTGAGCCCTATGACCTGATGGAGGCCCTGCCAAGCCCACCTTGACCAGGTGCTGCAGCCAGTGGAGCTAGTCTTCAGGGTGCGGGTCGCTCCATGAAACGTGGCAGCTGGGCTTATCAGCTGCCAGCCTGGATAAGTCAGGCCTGCTGCCAAGTTGATTAATAAGCGCTGGGCTGACACTTCAAGAAGGGCCTAAACCTGCTGATTTTCCTCCCCTCTTCCTTAGATCATTTCATTATTAAATTAAAGATTGTTGTGATTTAAACTGAACTGTCAGGCAGCCTAGGGACAAACGTGGGGTTTGGTGAAGCAGCTGAACCTGGTACTGCATTTACCAAATCAGATCTCAGCTGGGTGCTCTTTCTTTCTCTTAAAAAAACAATTTAGAACTCTAAGGGCTTGAAGTAGAAGTAGAACCTTCCCCTGCAGTGTCAGGAGCCCACACAGGGAGGCTGGCATGCCAGGAAAGGGACCTGATTATAAATAGCATGAAAAGCAGCATCAGTCAAAACTCACTGATGTGCCTGGGCAAAATGTTAAAAGAAACAAATAGCTTCTAAAAAAGGAAGCAATGGTTTTATTTTTATAATCTAAAGTGCTAAGGAACAAAAGCAGTTTATATTCACATAGTTTTAAACACACAAACATGTGTGTGCACGTGCACAAATAACACACACTAACAGAGTCCCTTTAAGGAAATGATGGATAATCATTTTAATATAACAAAATCACAAGTAGAGCCTCACAGAGGGGGTAGCTGTCCTTTCTTTTCTATGTAATTGATGCTATTTATTTAGAAGGTCTATGGTTTACCCTTGTGAAGTAATTTTTCTGTATGTGTATTTTTTTTCCAGCTTAGATGGAAACCATTTGAGATTCCAAAAGCATCTCAGAAGAAAGTAGACTTTGTGAGTGTAAGTCAGTCCCATCCACACCCTCCCTACTGCTCTCCTCTCTTCTGTGGTGAGTGAGCCAACCATTTGCAGCCTGAATGCCAAGCAGAAGCAGCCCTATCAGGAGGCAGCAGAGACAAAACCACCTGCGTATGCTTTGGGGGCTGGCGGAGGGATGTCTTACTTACAGAAACCATATGGCCCCTGACACCAGAGGGTATTCATGAACTATTTATATCTCAGAAAGGCCAATGACAATTGAACATTTTCTTACTTAAGTTCCTTTCTTTTGGCTAGAACGGGGGCTTTTAACCTTTTTCTCACTTTGATGTCTGATGTCTGATGATGTCTTTGTTTATAAATATATAAAATAAATTATATAAAATTACAAAGAAGCTAATGATATTGAAATATAACGATAAAAATACTATTAAAAACAAATTTGATTTGGTTTATAGTCATTCATGTGCTTTCTTGTTAATGTGCTAAATCATAATATCTATGGAAAACATCTAATAATTCTGGTATGAGCATAAATATACTTTGAGGTATCTATAACAACTATAATGTGATATCCATGATTTTTATCATTGATAAAGTTACAGGCACCTCTAATACTGCTGTGGTTTTTTGCCTACATTCATATTAGTTGAAAGAAATGATAAATTTCACTCAGAGATTAGCAAAAGTAAATATAAAATATTTCCCATCCAAGTTCATAAATCTCCCTGAAGTAGATGCTTGGGCTAGAATGGCGTCAATTCAACATGGCAACTCTAGTTAGTACAATGCTGATTGGAAGCTCTGTTTGGTAGTTATAGGTCCCAGGAGTACTGGAATAACTGCACAGAGCAAGGAGTATCTGGGGGAGAGGAGAAAGGAGCTCTAAGGAAGTGGGGCTCAAAGAGACCAGTGGAGGGTTCTGCAGACCAGCCTCAGCTCATGGCTTACGTAGGGACACTCCAAGTGCCGAGCCATAGGATAAATTGTTGGAAACATCTTGAAGTTCTCATCTTTATTAAGTGCTCCAAACTCTTTGTAGACTCACTTAAATATACCCTAAACTTACAAATTGAGTTAAAATACAAAATGATATCCCCATCTCCTTTCTTGTGTGAATTGTAGATATCTGGAGGCGCAGAGCTCTCTCCTTTTGGCTCTCCATCTGCAGGTTTGGGGCTGAGGGCTATTTTGAGAAGACCCATGTGTTAAGGTTTCTTGCACTATGGATCATCTGGTCACACAGCAGAGAGAATTACAGTCCATCTGAATACAGTCCTCTGCCCTGTTCCAGAGAGATTAGGCTGACCCTATCCATAAGCAGAGGGCTGCCCATAGTGGAGTGTACTTGAGAGGCATTAACTGGTCCCTGATGCTGCAACCTTCCTCCCCAAGCCTCCTAGATGCCTGATGGTACCTCCAACAGAATCTCTTCTTCCAGTTGATGTCAAGCATCAAATTGATAAAATACCAAGTAATGAACTGATACTCTGTAAGTTCTTCTGATATAGCCACTAAGACAACCCAGATTTAGGCCATGGCTGGAGACTAGGGTAAACCACAAACTACCAAACATGAGTCAGTAAATTCAGGCTCCTTAGAGGCTGCCTGGATTCCAAACGTCCCACCGGTCCCAAAGGGAAGACCCTAGTAGAAATGTGCCTCATGACCCTCAGGGACCAGTGGAAGGGCTGCCTCTTGGGCACCGTTCACATTAACCTTTCCCTCTTCTGTGGGTCTCTCCCAGGGCCTGCATACCTTGTGTGGAGCTGGAGACATAAAGTCTAACAATGGGCTTGCTATCCACATTTTCCTCTGCAATACCTCCATGGAGAACAGGTAAGTGGCTCAGTTCTAGGGAAGGACATGCCCATCTTCTAAGGGATTTTGGCCAGAAGTCAAACTCCAGGTTTCACTCTTGTGAAGTCACATATGCACATACATAGTTGTTTTTGTTATTGGTTTTCTCCTCAAGGCAATATTCATATATATTTATTGACAATGATAATGAATGAGACAAAAGGCATTTATCTTGACTGAACATCAGTGATATAAACAAGCACATCACATAACAATGTAAACAGAAAAGGGAGGATGGAGCCCTGGAATGCAGGAGTAGATCGAAAGGCATTTTGACTTTAAGTCTGAGTCCAAATATGCTTTTGTTGTTGTTTGATATTTCAAGGATTTTTCTGAGCCAAATATGAGTGACCAATGGCCTGCGACACAGCCATCAGGAGATCCTGAGAACATGTGCCCAAGGTGATTGGGCTACAGCTTGGTTTTATACATTTTAGGGAGGCATAAGACATCAGTCAACACATATAAGGTGTACATTAGATCCAAACTGTGGTTTTTATCTCAGTAGAAAAGTAACAGCAGATTTAAAGCAGGCAGAAAAGAAAACAGAGAAATAGAGAACTTAGAAACTCTGTAGTTGCAGGTTGACCTTTGGGCTCTGAATGATACAATTTTCCCATTGGTTTAAAATGTGCACAACAGACTGTAATATGTAACCAGCTGGAGTACTAGAAACTCTGGCATACCCTTGAACTTTTCCATTTTACACAAACACTTGCAAGTAGAGGCACCTTTCTCCTTGTCTTTCCTCATTCTTAGATTATTTGTTTCCCACGTTTTTTTTCTTAAAAGGAGGAACTGAGCTGTGACCTAGGGGTTTTGTGGGTGGTGGATTGGTGTACTGAATGTAGGCAGGACTCCACAGTGTTTCACCACCGAGTCGTTTCCACCCTCTTACCTGTCTCAGTTTCTCTCTCCAGAGATCTAGCACCTCTGAGAGGCCTCAAAATGCCAAGTGATCAGCTCTTATATGTATTTCCGGGACAAAACTATTTTTGGGGGGGTTCCCTGTAGCGCCACTGCACATCACAGGGGATGAATCCCTCAGACACTGCAACTCAGCCCCTAGTCACCCAGGGTGCCTTTCAGTTGGGAAGAACAAAATGCCCTTTCTCTTCAGAGCTGAGGAGCTCAGTCTCTCATTTATGCACAAAAATGACAGTCACACGAATGCGCAGGCAAGCCAACTGAGCTAAATTTGGGGAGAAAAAACAATGGAGTAGACCATTTAGAATACACCTCCAAACTGGAAACCAAACAGGGTACCCAAAAGGGAGTCATTCTTGTTGTCTTTAGAAAAAGACAACGGAGGCCGGGCACAGTGGATCACGCCTGTAATCCCAGTACTTTGAGAGGCCGAGGTGGGCGGATCACGAGGTCAGGAGCTCGAGACCAGCCTAGCCAACATAGTGAAACCCCATCTCTACTAAAAAATACAAAAAATTAGCCGGGCGTGGTGGTGGGCGCCTGTAATCCCAGCTACTCAGGAGGCTGAAAAAGGAGAATTGCTTGAACCCGGGAGGCGGAGGTTGCAGTGAACCGAGATCATGCCATTGCACTCCAGCCCGGACAACCGTGTGAGACTCCATCTCAAAAAAAAAAAAAAAAAAAAAGAAAAAGAAGAAAAAGACAATGGAGAAATCCTTTAGAATGGACCTGTGAACTAGAATTAGGAACCTAAACAAGAGCTTCCTAGGAGGGAAAAATCAAGAACTGTCAACCAAACAGGGCTCAGGAGGACTTAACAGTTCCATCAGAGGAGAAGCCCAAAGTTGAAGGCGCTTTCAATAGGTCCCTGCTGATACCTTAGCTCTGAGTTCAGGCAACTCCTTCAGGGTTCTGAGTCTTCTCTGAGGCCCAATGTGTCCAGGTGCCAAATTATTGTTGACAAAAATAGTCAAACTATTAATATGTAAAATATTTGAATTGATGTATTCTGAGCCAAATATGAGTGACCAGTGACCCATGACCCAGCCCTCAGGAGATCCTGAGAACATGTGCCTTTGAATATCCTTAATTTCTAAGGTTCCCCAGGGCTGTTCTTGAGTCCCAGGTCACAGTGTGTGAGTTTCCATTAGGACCACCCATTAGTAGCAGGCTACCCGACTTTGGCTTCAGCTAACAGCTCTGTGTAAGCTTAAAATTCTTAAGTAGAGGAGCTTATATACTGGCTTTGCAAAACAAAGTATGCAAATGGCATTCCTGCCTTATTATACACTACCTCTGGAACTGGACCATTTGTGTCCAAAGCCCAACTCTACATTTCCTGGCTGAGCGACCTTGTGAGCCATGAATCAGGGACAAGATCACAGCCCTATGACAAGGCTCTGGAGGCCTCTCTTTGGGTCAAATCTCATATCAGGCCACCTCCCCTCTCTCCACTTGAGCCGCATTGGCCTTCATTCACTTCTTTCAAGCTGCCGCGTGCCCTCCTTCTAAGCACTTGCACTTGCTGTTCCTTCTGCCTGGAACATTCTTTCCTTTCTCCAAACCCTCACCTAGATAACACCTTCAGATATCCGGTCAAATGTGTCCCTTCTTTGAAGAAGCCTTTGCTGATTCTTCAAACTAACCAAGTCGCTATTCTTTCATTCCCTCAAACTTGATTTTCACAGGGTCATTACAGTCTGCAAAGATATTGTTCTGTAATTATTTGATTGCTCTCTGACTCCCCACTAGACTCTAAGTTCCACAAGGGCAGAGCCTGGGTCATTTTGCTCCCCATTTTATACCCAGCTCTGAGCTTGCTACATAGGCACTAAACAATGATTTGTGTTATGACGTAATTTGTCTAGACAATGTTAAAACTGAAAATCACAAGAATTACTCTATATGTTTCAGATGCTTTTACAATTCAGATGGGGACTTCTTGATTGGTGAGTTCTGAAGACTTCAGACCCCCTCACTGTTAATTGACCCCTAACCGCAAGCTGCTTTCTAATTTTATACACATTATTTTCCTTCATTCTCCAATCTGTCTTATTTCATTTAGTGCAATCCAGAGACTGAGGTCTAGAGGCCACAGGTGGTCTGGAAAAGATTTCTAGTGTACCTCAAAGCCCCTACTCTATTTCCTTGTCTCTCTGTCTTTGCCCATCTCTTCTGGACCTTTCTGATGTGGGAGACCTGGGCAGCTGAAAAGAAATGAAGACTAATACTAATGGGATTAACTTATTACGGTAACTGTATTTGCCTTGAAACTCTCTCAGTAAAAGCCCATTTATCATTAGTAACTGCAATTTAAATTCAAATTTTCATGAGACCATCTAAAATGTAAAGTCTATCAGAGATTGTTCTGGTCTGCCTATTATACTTGATGGTTTTTTAGTATCAATATTTTGGAATCAACATTTTCGTGTATATGTCACACAAGCAAATGTCAGCCTTTCACTGGAACTATCAGAAATGGGTGATTTTCCATCCTATTTCTGCTACCCCTTTTTGACCATGTCACAAAATTGTGCATATACAAGTTCCTTGCCTGGTGACCAAAAAAGCAGAGTCATTGTTTTATTCACATTCTTCTAGATAGGAAAATAGCTAATCTAAGTTGTCAGAATTTATCTTTTTCCCCAAGAGACTCAATAAAGCTCTTTGCATTTGGAATGGAAAAGCAAATGCAGCCTTAAGCCTTTCCTGTTCATGAAATGGTTATCACACCAAAAGAATTGCTCACCACTGCCCTGTCTTTTTTTGTCAGTTCCGCAGAAAGGGAACCTTCTCATTTACACCGAGTTTGGCAAGATGCTTGTACAGCCCAATGAGATCTGCGTCATTCAGGTTGGTGATGTGTCCCCTTCTCTTCCCTGCCTCTCACTAATTTGGGAGCAGTCAGATGTTTCAGCTGCTGCTATTTCCAACTCTAAAATTTCTCTGTCATGTCTGGGCAACGAGGAGGGAATCTGAGTTATGCAGAAGGTTCCATGTGCTGAAGAGTAAGCAAGCTTGGGTGCCTGCTTTCTTTTAATATAGCACATAATTCTAAAGGAAAGACCACTTGTCATTGCACTTTCCTAAATATTTACATATACTCTGGATAAGGCCCTGTTCCCACTAATGGCAGTAGAGGCAGTGAAGGTGGACTTTTTTTTTTTTTAGTGTGGCTAAATCAGGCTTACCATTATCTCTGGACCCAATGAGAGGGTAGACTAGAATTGGCTTGGGTCACATGTGTGATTAGGAATTCAGTTTTTCTTTTTAAACTGAATTTTAAAAATTTCTTTTTAAAAAAATTCAGTTTTTCATGTTTGCTCTGGTCACCTCCCAAGCAGCTCAACAAACAAGAGCTTTACTTTTGCATGTGGGATGGGCTATGGCTCTGGGCAGCTTCTTTATAACTACAGCTGTGATTTCAGAGGGCACACCAGTGTCTGCTTTCCATTCCAGAGAGGAATGCGGTTCAGCATAGATGTCTTTGAGGAGACCAGGGGCTACATCTTGGAGGTCTATGGTGTCCACTTTGAGTTACCTGACCTTGGACCAATTGGTAAATCTTCATTACAAGCCTCTAAGCCTCGCTTGAGATGTAGGACTCAGATAATTGCATGAAAGTTAAACATCCTTCTCCCTTCGCTGTCTCACTCAAACTTCCACTTTTCTCTCTAGACAAATTCTTCTCTAGACCAAGTGTCTTCCCAGAAAATATATGCAAAACAGAAAGCAACCCAAACCAATCCATTATAAATCTCTCTAGAATAGTATACAGACATTGGAGATAAAGACGGCATGTAATAGATTTCTGGTTGCATAGTGTGTACAGGAAAGAATATAGAAGTTTGGGTTACTGTGGGCTTGGGTCACCAGAAACAGCTCCACAGAAGAGATGAGAATTTGACTAATTCTTTATGAAAAGTTGAGGAGAGTAAAGAGGAAAGGGAACAGCTTTGCAAAAGCATATAAGTGAGAATAAGCTTTGTGATTAGGAGGAAGATATTTTTGTTAAGTCAGTGAGATTTATAATGGATTGGTTTGGATTGCTTTTTGTTTTGCATATTGTATAAAATGGGAAGGCCATAAAAATGCCCTGGGCTGTATTCCTATGGAAAGGAGGGATGGACTGGGTGACACATAGTCTATGAACCTCTGTGTACACCCCACCAAATCCACACACTTAGCAGTCAAAAAAACACATCACTCAGTGCTATGAGAGATCTAGAAACCACACCCCAGGAGGCAGATTAAAACATTCCAAAGTGAACCAAGGTCTCCACAGCCCCCATTCTTCTGGCAAGCTGGAGGAAGTGAAAATGTTAGGAGGGGTTGTTCTCAAACTGTCTCTTGGATTGAAAGAAATGGCTGGGAAAATTGGCCCTTGGTTTACTCTTTGGTCACATCTCCCAATTCTTCCCTTCCTTGTCAACAGCTTTTTAGAGCAAACAGGGACAGGCCAGTGTGTGCCTTCTGGTCAGCTCCTCTGAGGAATCCAAATATGCAGAGGAAGGTGGGAGGCAGCAAGAGGCAGCTGGAGCCGTGGTGGGCCGTCTGTCATCCTGTTCACCTCCCACTCTTCCCACTCTGCTCTGGCTTCCTGCTGCTCTATAGTCAGCATAGCCTCCAGGTTCCGTGGAACATGTACCCTCTGGAAAATATCTATAATTTGCTAACCAGCCGGGGACTTATTTTTTTAAGTCCAGGAGCTGGAAATGATAAAACACTCCTCAGCTCGCTCCTCTCAGAGTTAAACTGTTTTTGCACTTAAGTTTTTCATGTTTGGTCTTTTGATTTATTTCCTTTCTCTGGAGGAAACACTCACTCCTAAGCAAAGGTAAGCAGGCAGGTCCTAAATACTTCTTCCTGAGTGGCAGACAGGGTTTTTCAGGCTGGAGAACCGTTTTCAGACTGGAATCTGAGTTCTGTCTAGGGAGCAGAGGCATGCCTTAGGCAACAGCGTGTAACCCTTTCTATCTGAGATCAAGGACTGTCAATGACTTCTAGAATATTCAAGGGTTCCTTCAAAAGAAAAAGTTCTGGAGTTCTATCAGATCTTCCCTTTTCCTCTTTTCAGTTCTCTTTCTCTCTTCCCTTCCCCTCACCTGTAGTGATAAGATAATGCATATAAGATTGTTTTGTTAACCATAGTCACTCCACAACCTTAGAAAGTAATGCTGGTTTTTGTGAATTTTTTTCTGACCAGATTCCTTGGGTCTTCCTAAAAGGTACCAGACTGGAAATGCAGTGAATCTTTGAGCAATGAAAGCAATTTGTGGAGTAGCTCTTGACATGAAAGAAAGCCTTTCTCTTCATGCAACCATGGGCATCTTTCCTATGTTTTGGAAGTTTCTAAAAGACTTTTGGGTTACTGTTTTCTAGGGGCCAATGGCTTGGCCAATCCTCGTGATTTCTTGATACCCATTGCCTGGTATGAGGATCGCCAAGTACCAGGTGGTTACACGGTCATTAATAAATACCAGGGCAAGCTGTTTGCTGCCAAACAGGTAAAGTAAAAGGGTTGGCAGGCAAGGGAGGAAATGAAGAGTGATTGAGCACTTACTGATTGCCAAGGCGAGTGTTACAAACTTTACATATATCCTTTCGTTGTTATCATACCACTACGGCACTACAAATAAAGCAAATAGTTCTAGTAGTCAATTATACTTTCATAGTCATGGAAAAGGCCAGTAATGATAAATAATTTACCAATTTCACAGTAAGTGGCAGAACCAGAATTTGAACCCATATCTGTCTGACTCCAAAGGTTGTGCCCTTTCTACTCACCAAGCAATGAAAATATTAGCAATATGTAGGTTTCTATAAGTGGTATGGAAAACATAATATATGGGCAGCATAATATGTTCTGAAAAGTAAATGAGTTAACAGATCAGCCAAGATTTATAGTCTCCAATACCACCCTATTTCAAATACAAGCAATTCTACAAAACAAGTAGAATTCAGTTAATTAGCTTGGCTTGGTTTGTACCACCAGGCTGGCAATTCAGGACACAAGCAAAGGCACAGATATTAATAAATAATAATAACAACAATGTAATATGGACTCTATAACATAATATATTACTAAATGTACTGAATATATATTAGAATAAAATAATCATATAATAAGAAGAACCCAAAGATCTCTTCTGTTTAGCATTATTTGTTTGCTTCATTTTGTCTATTTGACTTATTCCTTATATTTTCCAAGGTATGTTATTCTTCTTAGGCAGCATCTAGAGATAATGCCAACCAGCCGAGGCCAACCAGTTTGGCACTTAAAATTAACCCCTGAAGCAGACATATTGTTATTCTCTTATTCTCTGGGTCAAGGTCTCTCAAAATTCGGGGGCTATTTGCATCAGAAATCCTCAAGGAGGCTTGTTTAAAATTCAGATCCTAGGCTGGGCATGGTGGCTCATGCCTGTAATCCCAGCAGTTTGGGAGGCCAAGGCAGGCGGATCACCTGAGGTCAGGAATTCAACACCAGCCTGGCCAACATGGCAAAACCCCGTCTCTACCCAAAATACAAAAATTAGCCAGATGTGGTGGTGCACACCTGTAATCCTAGCTACTTGGGAGGCTGAGGCAGGAGAATCGCTTGAACCCAGGAGGTGGAGGTTGCAGCGAGCCAAGATCATGCCATTGCACTCCAGCCCGGGCGACAGAGCAAGACTCCCTCTCAAAAAAAATGCAGATCCTTAGATACTACTCTAGCCTTGCAAAAAATGATAAGCTTTGGAGATGGGACATGGAAACCTACATTCATTTTAAGCATGTTCCCCAGATCATTGTTTACATACAATTGTTAAAGAACCACAATTGTAGAAGCAGCCAGTAGCTCCTCCGAAAGGTTTGCACTTTCCAAGTGGACCCTGTGCTGGTTATTTTCTGTGTGAGTCCCCACTGATCCATTCTCCCTCTTTGCCATGATCTGTGCCCTGGAAGGTTGACTGTATCACCCGGGCTCCCTAGCCAGCTGGTTTCTGTTGGGTTCAACCCACAGGAAACTACAAGGCAGGAGGAAAGACAAATTGGGATATTTCTTCCCCTGCTTCCTCGCTGTTTAGGACTGTGTTTCTGACAGTAGCTGCATCCCCCATATGACCTCAGTTCCTGTTGGGTAGCCCTAGTGGTGGGCTGGAGCTGATTCATAGTGACTTGCAAAAGCTGATATGCACGCTTCTGTCCAACTGTGTATTTGTTGATGTCATACTGGTAGCTAGAAAATCATCATGGTGAGACTGTATACACCTTAGAAATCAGTAAACACTATATGTCAATGCTTTATGTATTTTTTTCAGAGTGCTAGTTGTGAAATATTTACCAGCACACCACTGGGTAACACCCTTCTTTATAATTCTAGCTCTTGCTAAAGTCCTATAACAATATTTCCCTCCTCATTCCACATGCCCAGGAATAGCAGTGTCTTCCCGCTATTGCTAGGCTCAGATACCTCAACATTTCTAGTCATTCCAGTTAACCCTAACCACGCCTCTATGAGTAGCGCCTTCATTAAAATCTTTAGCACTTTCGGACCCATAGATACAGAAGGGACCACCTTCCTATAGCAGGACACTGATCCTCTTCTACCCCAGGACAGGACCAGGAAGTATTATGTTAGGATTGCTCTGAAATCTCAAGTCCTTGGAGTTGGAACTTTTAGAGGCCTTCTCCCCTCTCCTGGACTCACCAACCCAGGCACTGTGTCTATTGCAAGCTCCTCTAGGCTGAAATTACCTGGAGAAGCATCACAGCAGGTACTCTCTGTTCCAGGAAACAGAAGGTAGCCCAGATTGTTTGAGAACTGCTGACATCCACAGATCCTCACAGTTAGGTTAAAAATTGTTGAAAAGGCACTACTTGGAGAATGTGCTGTGTTTCTGCTGCATGTGTGATCAGAAGGCAGCTGCAGCTTATGAACCAGAAAAATAGGGTTAGTGGCTAAGTAGAGGGTGTGTGGAGCAACCACAAAATGATTCAGGGTTATACTTCTCCCAAAGGACGGTAAAATTAAATCGAGAACAAAATCAAATCAAAAGAAGAGAGAGGTATACTCAGTACATATTGTGGGATCACAGCTACAAAAGCATTAGATGGTAAAATTATCCTTTCCTGCTTTTTGTGTTTAGGATGTCTCCCCGTTCAATGTTGTGGCCTGGCACGGGAATTATACACCCTACAAGTACAACCTGAAGAATTTCATGGTTATCAACTCAGTGGCCTTTGACCATGCAGTAAGTCTGAACCCTGTAGGGGCCTTGGGATGAGGCAACGCTTGGGTGGGAGGGGTCCACAGTAGACCCCTGACATTTACAGATCTAACATTTCCAATGTCACCATTGGAAGCCCTAGATATAGTCATTTGTCCTTTGGTGAGGGAGTAAATAACACAACTAGTAGGGAAGCAAAGCCAGATACTCAACATTCCCCTGTGAACATAGCTTCATTCTCTACAGAGCATTGGTGATACTCTGACTTGTATTTGCCAAACTAAGTGGATAAACACTTAGTTTCTTTGTGGAAAATTTATCCCCCAAAACAACCAAGTGTTAATGTCGGTGGTAGAATGAGGAGAAAGGAACTTTATGAATTTGGAGAAGTCCCTGACCCCACAACTCTCAAGAGCCTCCTCTATGATCTCTGACTTCTCACCCCAGTGCCTTCATTCCTGGCTGTATTTGGCAGTGACAGAGTGAACAGCCCACTTCTAAAGTTACTCATAACTTTCAGTGCTTGAGTTTAAACCAAAGAAATTCTAGAGCATGAACTTGGTCATATTTTTCACTCAGTTCGCAGGCCACAAATGGTCTCTGGTCTACAGTGCAGGCTCCCAAGACCCTACATTCTTAATAAAGTGGTGGTTCTGAGACCCCGGGGGGAAGTTCATTTTGCAGCTCACTTCATAAGAGATGAACCTAACCCACAAGCTGGAAGGATAATTAGAGCAGAAGTCAGAGACTCAGAGGCAAAAGGATTATTGTGAGCCAGTTCAGTTTATCTCTGGGGGGACAAACCTACCTCTCCAAACAGCAGCAACTCTTAATAAAAGCAAAGGGGAAAAGAAAAGTGAGACATCAGACCCCAAACAAACAGCACGAAAAAGGATCCTGAGACACTGATAAAGCTTTATTTGTGATTCACTACCTTTGCTTTAATAGTTTCAGATCATGTCCCATGACAGTTGAAGAAATGTCAATTCTCACAGCAATAAGGGTTGGGTTTATTTTTATTTGAATTTACACAGATGCGATCTTCTCTGTATTGCTGCAATAGTTATTTTTCCAAAATTCAGTTCTGATCATGCCACCACTGTCTTCATTAGAAAGCCTTTGCAGGCTTCCCATGGCTTAGGATTAAGTCTGCACTCTGAAGCATGGTGTTTGATGCTCTTCACCATCTGTCCCTGGACTCATTTTCCAGTATCACCTCTTGCCCCTCTCCCTTCTGTCAATGCACTGGGGTTTTAGCCTTCTCTCCTCTTAACAAAATCTCTGTGCACTTTGATGTGTTTTCAGTGATTAAAATGTCATTTCCCTTCCTTCCCACTTCCTTAGTCCTCCCTCCCTCCCTCCCTCCCTTTTTCCCCCATCCCCGCCACGTCCTTCCTTTCTTTTTTTTTTTTTAACTTTTATTTTAGGTTCAAGGGTACATATGCTCCTTCCTTCCTTCCTTCTTTCCTTCCTTCCTTCCTTTCTCTCTCTCTTTTTCTTTCTTTCTGTTCATTCTTGAAGACCTACCTCAAATGTCACCTCCTCTTTGAAGCCTTCCTTGACCCTTTCAGGTAGAATTAGCTGCCCAACCCCCACCCCACAATTAATGCTAAAGAAGCAGGGAATCGATCCCCATGATCTTTGAATCTCCAGACTCTTACATGGCATCTGAAAGGGAACATGATTGTTGATTTCAATTAAATTGAATCTCAACCTTCTCACTAAAGAATTCTGAAGAGTTTTAAAAAGTATAATTTCGTCCCTCAACCTATCCTATCTCTACACTACCACTATGAAGACTACGGATGTAAATGCTGTGTTTTAGACCTGAAAGTCAAACAAAGGTAGGAAAGCAATGAACCACTTCTCAGACTTTTCTGCCAATGGATACAATCTGGAATCTCCGTATTCTCCCAAAGAGGAGCACATCTACACCAAAACTTGGATTTTGCTTTATTTCTATTTCTACTTTGCTCTGAGCATCCCTTCTGCTGCACATCTCAGCTCTAGTCAACTTGATCTGAGGTTGAGAAGCAGGCACCGTTGGTTCTCAGACCCACGGGGTAATAAGTTGCATGTAATGTGGGCTCAGCAGGGTGAAAAAGCAGTTCAGAATCCTTTTAGCTGGTGTTAATTCATTTTGCCTCAAGCACAGCAAGAGGAAAAAGTCATATGAGTGATTATTGCACCTTGATGACAAGCCCAGACTTCTGTTGTTTGATCAGAAATTAGGCTGTCCGTTTGCAGCAACATGGATGCAGCTGGAAGCCATAATCCTAAGCAAATTAATGCAGGAATAGAAAACCAACTTCTGCATCTTTTCACTTATAAGTGGGAGCTAAACATTGAGCACCCATGGACATAAACATGAGAAAAATAGACACTGGAGACTACTAGAAGGGGGAGGGTGAAAAAACTACCTATTGGATACTATGCTCGCTACCTGGGTGATGGGATCCTGTATTAGTCCATTTTCATACTGCTGTGAAGAAATACCCGAGACTGGGTACTTTATAAAGAAAAAGGGGTTTAACATATCCACAGTTCCACATGGCTGGGGAGGCCTCACAATCATGGTGGAAGGCGAAGGAGGAGCAAAAGCATGTCTTACATGGAGGCAATCAAGAGAGCATGTGTTGGGGAACTGCCCTTTATAAAACCATCAGATCTTGTGAGACTTATTCACTATCATGAGAACAGCATGGGAAAAACCTGCCCCCATGATTCAGTTACCTCCCACCGGGTCCTTCTCACAACATGTGGGGATTATGGAAGCTACAATTCAGGATGAGATTTGGGTGGGGACACAACCAAACCATATCAGATCCCTACCCCAAACCTCAGTATCACACAATATACCCATGTAACAAAACTGCATATGTATCCCTCTATCTAAATTAAAAGTTGAATAAAAATAAATAAAAAAATTAGAATGTCACTTGCAAACACCTTCATGTATGCATGAAATGTGTGTCATTGTCCAGTCACTTCCCTTGCATCATGCGTTCAGTCTCTCCTTGTGTGTTCACAGGACCCATCCATTTTCACAGTATTGACTGCTAAGTCTGTCCGCCCTGGAGTGGCCATTGCTGATTTTGTCATCTTCCCACCTCGATGGGGGGTTGCTGATAAGACCTTCAGGCCTCCTTATTACCATAGTAAGTCTCTCTTTTACCAAGCCACATTTGCAAGCCAAAGAGACAACAAAGCAGTGAGCGCTACACATTGGGAATAATGCCTGGGTTATTTCTGGACACCCACCATGGCATGAATTCAGGATCCTGCTGCACAAGGCCTAGTGCTGATCCCCAAGCTTTAATCTCTTTAAGGGATGGTAGTTGTGTTAGTCCATTCTTCGTTGCTATAAAGGAATACCTGAGGCTACTTAATTTATAATGAAAAGAGGTTCATTTGGCTCGTGGTTATGCAGGCTGTACAAGCAGCATGGTGCTGGCATCTGTTTCTAATGAAGCCTCAGGAAATACAATCATGGTGGCAGGCAAGAGGGAAGCTGGCATATCACATGATGAGAGCAAGCAAGAGAAAGGAGGAAGTCCCAGCTTCTTTTGAACAGCCAAACCCCATGTGAACTCATAGAGTGAGAACTCACTCATAACCGTCATGATGGCACCAAGCCATTTATGAGGGATCTGCCTCCATTACCCAAACACCTCAAACCAGGCCCCACCTCCAACACTGGGGATCACATTTCAACATGAGAGTTGGAGGGAACATACATCCAAACTACATCAACAGTGATGCATTGATTCTGAGCCTAGTTCCCAGTTTCTCTGTCCCTGTAAGAGGCAGAAAGGCTGGTAAAGTTTAGAAGCCTTGTTAGAAAGGCTTCTAAACAAGTTTCCTCACATTTTAGATGTTTCCTTTTGGGGAATACTGGGGAGGTTGTTAGTTAGTCTGTTGTTTTGGGAAAGTTCATCACCTAAGTCTGGTTCAGAGAACCAGAGAAATAAGAAGAGAGAGACAGAGAGAGACAGAGAGAGAGACAGAGAGACAGAAATGTGCCTTCTCCAATTATTTTGGCAGGGCAAAGCAGACTGCAGCCTGCATTAAGGAATGAACTCTATTCTGGAAAGAGTTTCTGCAGAACATTTGTTGCCTAGTACAAGACCTAACAAATCTACTATTTTTATTTTATTAATATTATTATTCTTAGCACCTAATAATTATTGTCCAATTTCTATGGCTCTGTTACAAGTTTTTTAAAAAACTAACTCATGAAGTGTTTATAATACTTGTAAGAGACAGGTAGTATTATTGTCCCCCCCGCTTTTTTTTTTTTTTTTTCAGAAAATTAAACTGACACAAGAGGGATTAAGTAACTCTCTCAAGGACTCACAGCAAGTTAAGTGTAGAGTCAGGATTTAATTGCAGGCTGTCTGATACCAGAGCAAACACTCATGACCACTAACTGGTATGGCTAGCATAGTGCCTGATATATAGCATGCTTTTAATAAATATTTATTTAATAAGTGAATGCATCAACAAGAATAAATAAAGTACTTCACGGCTGTACTTAATGAGGTTGACATTTTTAATTGTGCAATAGCTAGCTGAAAATCCAATCAAAGGTCAATGTGCAATTCTACTTCCTGGAGTGTGCATTTTTTTGTGCATAGAGTTCTGGAAAGACTCTAAGAGGCATTCCACCTGGAACATTCTAGAAAACAAATTCCTTTCTTTAGTAAACTCCAGGGCCTTCTGTTTATAATAGGTCCCTCTCTATATATACCAGTTCCCAGGTGTCAGGGCTCAACAGAACACAACAGTGCACTGAATGGCCAATTTAGCTATTTTATAGCATCAGGAATGAAGGCCCTTAGGATGGACGTAGGCCACTCCATGGTCAAATGCCAGCATCCCCCTTTTCAGATGGCACCATCATGGTAGAGAAAAGAAAACAATCAGTTACCATGGCAAAGACAGCAGCTATTTTGTGAATAGCATCATAAGTCGTTTCTAAAAACTGTGAAGCCTACTAAAGACTCTAACTTTTCTCCTCCTGGAAGTTAGTGACCTAGAGGACCTGTTGTCAAGGAGAGAAAATTGCCCTGGCTTATAGTCTGTACTTCGCATGTTACTCCTTAATAATTCACCATTTCACTCTTGTTCTTGTATTGAGGTTACTCTGTGTGCCTGTAGTGGTTCTTACATTTTACCATGTGTCACAGTCAGCTGGAAGGTTTATTAAAACACAGATTACTGGGCTCCATCCTCAGAATTTCTGCTTCAGTAGGTCTGGGATAGGACCTAAGAATTTGCATTTTTAACAAGTTCCCACAAGTGATGCTGAATCTGCCTTTTTTTTTTTTTTGAGACAGGGTCTCACTCTGTCACCCAGGCTGGAGTGCAGGTGGCACAATCTCAGCTCACTGCAACCTCCACCCCCCAGGCTCAAGTGATCCTCCCCGCTCAGTCTCCTGAGTAGCTTGGACCACAGGTGTGCACCACCACACCTGGCTTTTTTTTTTTTTTTTTGTATTGTTAGTACAGACGGGGTCTTGCCATGTTGCCCAGGCTGGTCTTGAACTCCTAAACTCAAGCAATCCACCTGCCTTGACTTCCCAAAGTGCTGGGATTACAGGCATGAGCCACCATGGCTGGCCAGAATCTACATTTTTCACTGGCAAGTCAGGGGATTCTGATGAAGGAGGTTTACAGACTGCTTGTTGAGAAATACTGGCCTAGGGTGTGTCCCCATCCCTAGGTGGAGGAATAATAGAGTCATCTGATTTAGACAAGTTTGCTACTGTGCTATAGGGTCTCAACCCATTCCTTAATTTTTATTTGTAGTTCAGACTTGCTGACACAAATAATCTTGAGAGATGCCTCCTATAGTTTTTTAATGACTCTCAAAGTAAATTTGGCCCCAGGGTAGATCTTATAAAGGTATGGGTACCCTGAGTTCGTTGGGAAAAAACCACAGAACCCCAGGTTAGAAATGAGTTTTCCAGAGATATTAAAAATATTGCCTTGGCAATACTCAAAATCTTTGCTGCTTTGATGTGACTTTATTATAAGAGAAAATGGAGAATTATTTCTATAGAAATATTGCCTCCAGTCATCTTAATGTGCCTTAGTCAACTAGATTCAGCTTTTTTTTTTTTTTTTTTTTTTTGAGACGGAATCTCACTCTGTCTCCCAGGCTGGAGTGCAGTGGCGCCATCTTGGCTCACTGCAAGCTCTGCCTCCCGGGTTCATGCTGTTCTCCTGCCTCAGCCTCCTGAGTAGCTGGGACTACAGGCGCCCGCTACCACGCCCGGCTAATTTTTTGTATTTTTAGTAGAGACGAGGTTTCACCATGTTGGCCAGGATGGTCTCGATCTCTTGACCTCGTGATCCACCCGCCTCGGCCTCCCAAAGTGCTGGGATTACAGGCGTGAGCCACTGAGCCCGGCCTAGATTCAGCTTTAATCAGAAAGGCAAGGTCTATCCTCCCACTGTCCTTTGAAATATAGAAAATGATATAGAAATGTCATCACCAAGCTCACTGCTATCTAAATTCATATTCAGATCAAAGCTGAATTCTGTTTTGCTCTCTTCTTAAAATTAAGCCATGAAGGTGACCCTGAGGACACATACTAGAGCAAGGAGCTTGACACCAAATTTAAGTCATGAGCTGAACTGTTTTTAAAACATAGACAATTTATGCTTACATTTGCTTCTTTTTCTGTATTTCCACTTCATAGAGAAACAAGTAGAACTATGATCTGGGTCTCACCTCTTCAGCAGGAGCTCACACACTCTCACTCACTTTGTAGGGGCCTGCAGTAGCTTTCTGTTTCTGAGCAGGGTGGGTGTGGCTGCTTAGTCAATTATAAAAGCATTTGGCACTTGGTTATACTTCACATGTAAGCAAGAAGGGCAGGCATGTATCATGTCCAGTGTTTGATTTTGTAACGGTTGCCACTGCCACATCTCTCTATTCTGTCCTTGGTTTGCCCTCTCAGTACTCTCACAGGACAGACTATGAGTAGCTTTAAAGGCTATGTTGTTGTTGTTGTTGTTAATTATTTCTTTTTTAAGTAGCTTTAAAAGCTATTTCTTATTCATCTCTGTCTCATGTTAGCCAGCACATATCTAATTATATGTGCTGGCTAACTGGATGGGCAGATGGGTGAAGTGGGAAAAAGACAGATGAATGAATGGGTAAGTAGATGTGTGGTTTGAGATGCAAAGGCACTTAAATTTGCCCAGGTGTTATATTTCTTTAATTCCTGCTCTATGGTATTGCTACTCTAATAAAGAGCTTTATTTCAATAGAAGCATAAGATTGGAAGAGTGGAAGCATGGTGATTTTTGTTAAATTTTGTGTGACTCTAGAAAGCACAACTAGGACCAATGAATTTAACTCATATAAAAGCAAATTTCCATTTAATATAAGAACTTTCTTACACACAGAGCTCTTCAATAATATGATATGCTTTGTAGAGTGGAGAGCTTCCATTCACATCCAGGCAGAGCCCGGGAGGTAATCAGTCAGGAAAGATATAGAAATTTCTTCTACATTGAGTAGAAGTAAGGATACCTTCCAATTTCAAGATTTAGGACTCTATGAATAGGGTATCAATGGAACTAGAAAAAATAAAAACAAATCCAAAAGACATTCTGAAGAACAGAAAAACAAGAGGATAACAGATTCATCTATAGAAGATAATATTTGTTATAATAAATAGCATTTATGGTCTGTTTTATACACATACCAAGATTCTTTCACACAGATTATCATTTGATAATGGACTTTAAGTCTGGGGTTCTTTTCATTACATTATCATCTATCATCCATCAAAACCACACACCCTCAATCTAAGCCTTCTAGATTGGGAATTAGAAATATGCTGTTGCTGTGTCCTACAGTGGAGCTACTTGGGAAAGGGTTATGATCTGGGAGATAAGATAACTTTGATACAGGGCTCGTAAGCTTAGATGATAGAGTACATTCGCTCTCTATTATGACTAGCATTTTAATTATTATTATCTTCTCTGGGCCCTGATTTTCTTTAGATCTAGCCTGATTCCTGTCAGAGAGTGGAACTCGAGACCTCTGATAATCCACATGGCCATGGAGTAGAGCTGTGCCTGCCAAGAATGCCAATATGAATGTTTTATGATTGTTCTTCTGTCAATCCATATTCTTTATTAATCCTATACAATTTACTAGTTTCTCCTGTGTTCTTGGAATTCTGCAGAAATAATGTTTAAGGGGCTTTGTGTTTTACTGGTCTTGCCTTGGATAATAAAAATAATACTGCTTCAACCTTCCCAGGGAACTGCATGAGTGAGTTCATGGGACTCATCCGAGGTCACTATGAGGCAAAGCAAGGTGGGTTCCTGCCAGGGGGAGGGAGTCTACACAGCACAATGACCCCCCATGGACCTGATGCTGACTGCTTTGAGAAGGCCAGCAAGGTCAAGCTGGCACCTGAGAGGATTGCCGATGGCACCATGGTAAGTATGTTAACTGCCACATTCCAGCGGCCTCTGAACTCCCCACCCTTACTGAGAGGGGTGGCCGTTTTTCATTTCTCCAAAGTCACAGAGGAAGAGTCAAAAGAGGGAGAGTTAATGACTGCATAAGTATGTTTACATGTATATATACTCACATCCTTGTGTATATACTAGACTTCTGTTGTGGTGGTGTAGAAAGATCGTTGGACTTGGAGTCAGACCTGGGTTCTGAGTTTAAGTCCCATCTCTTAGTTCCTACAGGATCTTGAACAACTCACTTAGCTTCTCTGTGCTTCATTTTCCCCATCTATAAAATGGGTATAGTATCCAACCCAGCAGATGGCTATGAGTTAACCTAACAGACTGTCCAACACTATTCAAATGTAAGGGAACATTATTAATACTATGTGAAGCCTCTTCCTGTATCCTTATGCAGCCCTGGGCATATGCTATGTCTCAGAGTCTTCTGCGTTTTGAAGTAATCCTCCAGGGCCACAGTAGTAGCGGAGGCAGGATCTCACCTTCAGCACGTGTTTCAAGCCAAGGAGGGTCAAAAAGCCCTTGCCTCACTATAGTCAGGGCTTGTGAGAAGCAATTCTCAGCTGTTTTTTGCATTTTCCTTTGCTCTGCTTTGGCATGGATGCAACTGATGGGATTTAAAACCTGTTTTGTATTCTTCCTGTGTCAGGCTGTAAACATTGAGGCTGAACACAATTGCAGCTGGCTGCGGTGCTTGATTTTATTTTATTTTTGCATTCTTCGAGGTAGAGTTTATGGTCCACAGGGAGTAATTTTATGCTAAATCACATGCAAATTTGCTTTACTTTTGAAAATAAATGCCTTCAATGCTACCTGGTTTAAAATCTATAGCAGAGACCTGCCTGCTTCATGCTTGCAAACTACCTAAACAGTGAGCATTATCTGTCCGTCTGTCCACTGCAGTTTGCTTTCAGTCCCAACCCTGGAGCCAGAGTTGGTGGAGCTCCTTTGCAAAAGGAGGGTGTTCAGAGTCCCATTTGCTTGCTTTGGCTCTATTTCCCCTTTCAAGGGCCTCTATGGAGTTTCTGTAGAACCCCTACATCTCAAAGAGATGCAGTCTGGCAGTCTCAGTTAAGCTATTACCTCTGAAGTCTCCTGGAGGTGCAGTCCTGGAGGCTATTCTAGAGTTGCCACTCAATAACCTTTGGTCCCCCAATTTGGCTTTGGGTAGTCAATGTTATGAGGGAGCTGTGTTTTACAACAGTGAGGCGTAGGACAGGGCTGTTTCTATGAGGAGCAATACTTTGAATTACTAGTGAGAAAGAGCTCTCCTATTAGGATGGGAGACCCTGGGTATCAAGGAGCCAGAATACCTGATGGCGGAGGGTCCAACATCTTACCTAGACCTAACTTTCAGTCGTCCTCACCATTTCCCATTATATAATTCAGACCCAGGTCTATCTACATGCCTTATCCTTATTCTTGTTTGGAGTGATTAACTTGGTACAATAGCATCTTCAAAGTCAGCTGGGATGGGGCTTTTGTTAATCCAGCCAAATGGAGAGGCTTTTAAGAAGCAGTCAGCAAAGAGACAATAGCAATGGCCATAATGATCCTTGTATGTGAATAGTGCTTTTTAAAAATCTTTATTACTTATTATTTATTATTTTTATGGATACATAATAAGTATGTATATTTATGGGGTACATGAGATATGATGATACAGGCATATGATACGTAATAATCACATCAAGATAAATGGGGTATCCATTACCTCAAGCATTTATCCTTTGTGTTACAAACAATCCAATTATATTCTTTCAGTTATTTTAAAATGTGCAATTAAATTTTTATTGACTATGGTCACCCTGTTATGCTATCAAATGCTAGGTCTTATTCATTTTTTTTCTTTTATTTCTTTATTTATTTTTAACTTTTATTTGAGGTTCAGGGGTACATGTGAAGATTTGTTATATAGGTAAACTGATGTCACAGGGGTTTATTGTACAGATTATTTCATCACTCGGGTACTAAACAGTACCCAATAGTTATTTTTTCTGATTCTCTCCCTCCTCCCACCCTCTATTCTCAAGTAGGCATCAGTGTCTGTTGCTCCCCTCTTTGTGTCCACAAGTTCTCATCATTTAGCTCCCATTTAGAAGTGAGAACATACAATATTTGGTTTTCTGTTCCTCTTAGTTTGCCAAGGATAATGGCCTCCAGCTCCGTCGTGTTCCTGAGAAACACATGATCTTGTTCTTTTTTATGGCTGCATAGTATTCCATTATCTGTGTGTGTGTGTGTGTGTGTGTGTGTGTGTGTGTATGTGTGTGTGTATGTGTATATATATATATATATATATATATATAAAGCTCTTAAGTTTAATTAGATCCATTTGTCAATTTTTCTTTTGTTGCCAATTGCTTTTGATGTTTTTGTCATGAAATCTTTGCCCATGCTGATGTCCTGAATGGTATTGCCTAGGTCATCTTCCAGAGTTTTTATAGTTTTGGGCTTAACATTTAAGTCCTTAATCCATCATGAGTTGGTTTTTCTATATGGTGTATGGAAGCGGTCCAGTTTAAATCTTCTGCTTATGACTAGCCAGTTGTCCCAGCATGATTTATTGAATAGATAGTCCTTTCCCCATTGCTTGTTTTTGTCAGCTTCATTGAAAATCGGATGGTTATAGGTGTGCGGCCTTGTTTCTGGGCTCTCTATTCTGTTCCATTGGTCTATGTGCCTGTTTCTGTATCATTACCACACTGTTTTGGTTACTGTAGCCTTGTAGTATACTTTGAAGTTGGGTAGCATGATGCCTCCTGCTTTGTTCTTTTTGCTTAGGATAGCCTTGGGTATTTGGGCTCTTTTTTGGTTCCATATGAATTTTAAAATAGTCTTTCCTAGTTCTGTGAAGAATGTCGTTGGTATTTTGATATGAACAGCGTTGAATCTTTACATTGCTTTGGATAGTATCGTCATCTTAATGATGTTGATTCTTCCTACCCATGAGCATGGAAAGTTTTTCCATTTGTTTGTGTCTTCTCTGATTTCTTTGAGCAGTGTTTTGTAATTCTCATTATAGAGACCTTTCACCTCTCTGGTTAGGGGTATTCCTAGGTATTTTATTCTTTTTGTGGCAGTTGTGAATGGGATTGCATTCCTGATTTGGCTTTCAGCTTGACTGTTGTTGGTGTATAGGAATGCTAGTGATTTTTGTACATTGATTTTGTATCATGAACTTTGCTGAAAGTTGTTTATTGGTTGAAGGAGCTTTTGGGCTGAGACTATGGTGTTTTCTAGATATAGAATCAGGTCATCTGCAAACAGGGATAGGTTGACTTCTTCTCTTCTGGATGCACTTTATTTCTTTCTATTGCCTGATTACTCTTTGCCACGACTTCTAAGACTATGTTGAATAGGAGTGGTGAGAGAGAGCATCCTTGTCTTATGCTGGTTTTCAAAGGGAATGCTTCCAGCTTTTCCCCATTCAGTATGATGTTGGCTGTGGGTTTGTCATAGGTGGCTCTTATTATTCTGTGATGTGTTCCTTCAATGCCTAGTTTATTGAGAGTTTTTAACTTGAAGATATACTGAATTTTATTGAAAGCCTTTTCTGCATCTTGAATAGCACTGTATAACTTGCATAGCACTTCCATATGATCTCATCCAGTCTTCCCATCAAGCCTGTCACAGGAAATCAGGCAGCGATACTCATATCCATTGTTTTAGACAAAAATAATTTAATGTATATTAGAGCCCAAACATTAATGTGGGTGCTTTGGGTTGTAGCACAAGATAATTCTATTATTTTCCTTTTGCCTGTCTGTATTATACAAATTTCCAAATGTGAGCATATAAGAATTGTAGGGTTTGGTTTTTGGGTTTTGTTTTGTTTTTAAAGCCACAGTGGATAAGAAAAGTCAGCAATTGATGAAGCTGTAATGTCTAAGATGCACAGAGTATTTACATATTCTTTCTGTTGTGGACAAAAACCTCCTGACAGTGCAACATCCACCATTCAGACACTTCTGAGATATGACTTTTAAAAGTGCTACAGCCATTCCTGCCATTTCCTTCACCTCCCTCTCCTCCCCACTCCCTTTTTCCCTTTTCCCAGCCCATCTCTTGGTCAGAGTCCTGAAAAGACAGGCTCAAATCCCAGTTCTGCGATGACTTGTCGCCTTAAGCAAGTCGTTTCCCAGCTCTCAGCCTTAATTCCTCCTCTGCAAAATGGGAAGTATGACTTTCCTCACAAGGACATAGCCACAGTAAGTGAAGGCCCTCAGAAGATGGATATTCCCAGGATTCTCCCATGTCTGCCCTTGGATCTAGCAGACTTAGTTCCGTAATACCATGAAGATAATTTGAAGCTTAAGGGCTGAATTTTATTTTACAGAATGAAACTTGAGGCCCTGAGAAGTTAAGGGTCTTGTACCAGGTCTCACCAGCTTACAAATGGTAGGACCAGAGCCACAACTCAGGGCTTGAGCCTGCTCTCCTC
Source organism: Homo sapiens (assembly GCF_000001405.40). Lineage (NCBI taxonomy): Eukaryota > Metazoa > Chordata > Mammalia > Primates > Hominidae > Homo > Homo sapiens. Next base: position 120,628,663 of record NC_000003.12, on the reverse strand, counting down.
ACCACTCTAGCACACAAATCTTTGATTTGTTATTGGAAGATTTCACCTACCCATACCTTCTGTTGACATCTAATCAAATGTGTTTATTATCTATCTCACCTCTTTTTTCTCATCCCCATCGTCACTTCCTCCAGGCATTTATGTTTGAATCATCTTTAAGTCTGGCGGTCACAAAGTGGGGACTCAAGGCCTCCAGGTGTTTGGATGAGAACTACCACAAGTGCTGGGAGCCACTCAAGAGCCACTTCACTCCCAACTCCAGGAACCCAGCAGAACCTAATTGAGACTGGAACATTGCTACCATAATTAAGAGTAGATTTGTGAAGATTTCTTCAGAATCTCATGCTTTCTGGTAGTATTGGAGGAGGGGGTTGGTTAAAATGAAAATTCACTTTTCATAGTCAAGTAACTCAGAACTTTTATGGAAACGCATTTGCAAAGTTCTATGGCTGTCACCTTAATTACTCAATAAACTTGCTGGTGTTCTGTGGACGTAGTGATTGGTCATAATCAAGTCTTGATGAGACAAACCTGGCAGGTCAGGTCAGTCTTGCTAAGATTGAACCAAGGCCCAGGGCCCTTTGCCTTGTGGTTGGCCTGAATGCCTTCATTCTAGGAGCACAAGTCCAGGCATATACTAGGTATCACAAGACCAGGCCATAAGGCCAAACGTTAAGACCATGAGCTGAGACTGGAGGTATGGCAAAGCTCTTAGGAGCCAATCCAGACATGGGGAAATTTAGGGGATCATGAGTGCTCCAAATATCCAGCTTTCAATCGATGAGGAACCGGGCCAATAGGCTGTCTAATCTTGGTAGTCACGTAGCAGCCAATATGATGATACTGGAGAAGAACACCAGCCACCAAGAAGTAAGAATCACTCCTTTTCTTGGGGTGACCAACTGTCCCAGTTTGTGCAGGACTATATCAATTTTTTCACTGAAAGACCCACATCCCAGGAAACCCCTCAGTCCTGGTCAAACCAGGACAGTTAGTTACCCTACCCTTCACTCATTTATCAATCCATTCGGTAACCACATGTTGAGTCCTTACTACCAGCTACAGTTGAAGATGCTGGGAATGAAGGGTTGAATAAAAAGAAGCAGGCTGTCCCCTTAAGGAGCTCACAGTCTGGAGAGATAAGGGCCAAAGAAAATCAAGGCCCGAGTATAAGGCCATGATAAAAATTTCCACTGTGTGAAAAGCTGTACCTACCAGTTCCCTTCCTATGGTCAGCATCCCTCCCAGAGCGCTGGGCTGCCCAAGACTTTAGATGTGAGTTGATTAGAGTCTCCTGGTGTGAAAAGACAGGCAAATCTGAACAGAAATATGATGGAAAATGATATTTTTCACTACTTCAGTTCTGTACTTTGCACATTTCCCCAGCTTTGTTGCCATAGTAGCAATTTTGATATGCTGCTACCAAATTTTCATTCAGTAAGATGTAGTGAGAGTCAGCTATGTGTCAGGGCCTAAGGATTAGGATTGCCAGATAAAATATATGAGGCCCAGTTAAATTTAAATTTCAGACAAACCACAAATAGTTTTTAGTGTAAGTATGTCCTATGCAATACTTGGACATTCTTATGTTAAAAAATTATTAATCGATTACCTGAAATTCTAATTTAAGTGGGCATCCTGTATTTTTATTTGCTAAATTTGGCAATCCTACTAGGGGTAAGTGGTCAAGGAGATAGGCATGGTCCTGCCCTTACCAAGGTTACATTACAGAGAGGGAGATGACATGACTTCCCCCTGGAGAGATAGCAAATAAAATAAATAAATAAATAAATAAATAAATAAATAAATAAATAAATAGAGGGAGTTCGAGTGCCGTGGCTCACACCTATAATCCCAGCACTTTGAGAGGCCAAAGCGGGCAAACTGCCTGAGGCCAAGAGTTCAAGACCAACCTGCCCAACATGGCGAAACCCCATCTCTACTAAAAACACAAAAATTAGCCTGGCATGGTGGCACATGTCTGTAATCCCAGTTACTTGGGGGCTGAGGTATGAGAAATGCTTGAACCCTGGTGGCAGATGTCGCAGTGAGCCAAGATTGCACCACTGCACTCCAGCCTGGTTGACAGAGCAAGACTCTGTGTCAAAAAAAGATAATAATAAAATAAAGAGAGGGAGACAACAAAATAAACAAAAATATTACAAACTGTGGAACGTGCTGAGAAGAAATCAAACGGGGATTGATATGGAATAACAAGTGGTATGAGCTAGGAGAGCTCTTTCTTCAGAGGAAGGAAGGTCTTCAGTGAAGATGTGACTTTAACCAGACCTAAAGGATAGGAAGGAGCAAGTCATTGGAAGAGCGGGGATGGGGAGAGGTGGGAAGGGGAGAAGCATTTTAAGAAAAAGCCTCATGGATTCAAGTGCCTGAAAGAGGAGTGAATGTGGGGTGCCCAAGAGGAAGCTATTGCGATAGTCCAAGCAAAAATAAACCTTGTCCTGAACTAATGAGGTAGCAGCAGAGACAGAAGTGGATAAATTCCAGAATGTTTTAGAGTAGACCTGAAATGACTTGGTGGATTGGATGTAATGGGTGACTCAAAGAAGAGTTAAGGACAGGGCTGGGATGACTGCTAGGTTTCTGGCAATGGTATTTCATGGTCTCAAAAACTAAGGTGAAGATATCTTTAAGGCTGACGGAGGTTGATACATTTTTTTTTTTTTTTGAGGCAGGGTCTCACTCTGTCACCCAGGCTGGAGTGCGGTGGCACAATCGCAGCTCACTACAGCCTCAACCTCCCGGGTTCAAGCGATCCTCCCACCCTCAGTACTGAGTAACCGAGACTATAGGCTCACACCACTACACCCAGCTGATTTTTTATTTTTTTGTAGAGACGAGGTCTTGCCATGTTTCCCTGGCTGGTCTTGAACGCCTAGGCTCAACCTGTCCTCCCACCTTGGCCTCCCAAAGTGCTGGGATTACAGGTGTGAGCCAACATGCTTGGCCCCGATATTCTTTCATATAAAAAAAGTCTATTAAAAATTAAACATTAACTAAGCAAAGAAGTCAGTACTTTAAAATAAGTTTAAAAATCGACCACTGTAGCAGAGGCTGCCAGTGGCTTACCTACATCCCATCAGCAATCACCATTCAGTGCCAACTGGCTGCTTTCTATTGCCAGCACTGGCAACTCTGCCTGAAGCCAAAACCAGAACTCAGCCAAAGTGCTTAGGAATGAATGGCCTTGGATGTAGCCTTAAACCCATGACAAATAGGAATTAGTGGATTAATACAGCAGCTCTGTCACCTCATACCTCTGAGGTTTGTGTTCTGCCCTGGCTCTCTGCAGCTCCCAGAGGAATTCTGCTCCAAGTGCCCACATGGCAACTTCTTGATAATGCACCCATTATTCACATCCTTCCCTTCCCTCTCACTTCCCCACTCTCCTAGGGTACTTCCTGGACTCTTCTCTCAACCAGTAACTAAGACAACCACTGAAATATTTCATTCACAAACCCCAGGCTTCCCCTTATGAGTTCATTCTAACACTATTCTTATACACATATATCAACTCTCACCCATTTCAGCTCACTCTACTCTCAATTTGGTGGCAAAGCCTTCCTAGGGCTAATGCAACATTCCTGGTTGACATCCACTTAGCACCCAAGCCCTTTTACTTTGTCACCCCACTGCTGGCTGCAACTCCTTAGTTGGAGGCAAGATTTCATCCAAGCCAGACTGTTCATACTAATTATAAGAAGATTTCATTTCCTTTTGTTGTGCCTCAGATCAGCTAGAAAGTTTCCTGTATCATTTTCTTAATTCCGTTTTCTAAGATGCCTTCCTCTACCATGCTCCCCAAGAAATATGCCATCTCTTTGCTTAGAAATAGAAAACCTTAAAGAACAGAAAGCACCCTGATTAAGTTTCTTCCAATGACAGGAGAATTTTCTGCCAGATCCCCTTGGCATCTCTCTCTCTCTCTCTCTCCATATATATATATACACATATATATACACATATATATATATACACATATATATACATATATACATATATATATACATATATATACATATATATACACATGTATATATATATATATATTTTGTTAGAGAGGGTGCAATAACAGCCACCTTCTTTCTTTCTTTCTCAGAGATGTCTTTCACAGCCCAGACTACTAGCAATGGCTCAGGACTAATGGTGCTCAACAGAAGCAATTTTGTCCTTCCCACCCCAAGACATCTGGCAAAGTCTAGAGACATTTTTTGTTGTCACAACTGGGGAGGGTGCTCCTGGCATCTAGTCAGTAAAGTCTAGACGTTCTGATAAACTTTCCACAATGCCCAAGACAATCTCCCACAACAAAGAACTACGTAGTGCTGAATGCCCATAGCACTGAGGTTCAGAAACCCTCCTCTAGAAACAGTGGTTCTCAAGTTCATCTGTGCATTGGATCTTTTGACAACTCCATAACTCACAGTGCCCAGAGCATGCCTCAGATCAACCAAATAGAAACACTAGGGATGAGACCCAAATATGATAATTTTTTTGAAACTCCTCAGGTGATTCCAGTGCACAGGCAAGGATGAGGACCATTGTTTTAGGAATTTCAAATCAGTATCCAAAACACCCTCTATTTCCAACCTCAGATCCTGGTCCAACTCAGGGACTGGTTTTGTTTTATTTATTTTTCAGGGACAGGGGTCTCACTATGTTGTCCAGGCTAGCCTCAAATTTCTGGGCTCAAACAATCCTCCTGCCTCAGCCTCCCAAGCAGCTGGGACTACAGGCATGTGCCACCAGGCCCAGCCATATCAGGGTTTCTTAAGGTGTACAGAAAGGAGGTGAAAAATCCCTGAGGCTCCCAACATTTGAGTAACATAATGGGATGAGCTGAGGTATAGAGTGAGGGATTGCCCTTCAGGGCAGTGTTAGATATGAGTTCTAAATTTCTTTTCAAAGAATCAATATGTCAGTATGTTCAATTCTTTGCCTTCTACTTTTAAACTTAACTTTCTTGTAAAGCAACTTTTTTAATTACCTGCTCCACCCTGACTCATGCCGATTATCTACTCTGCCCTGACTCATTCCAATTACATGCTCTGTCATAACCATTTTTCCCGACGAACCACTCACCCCTTCAGTCTGTTTAGATTAGCCAGTCGTAATTAGTTTAGCCTGTGTGATCTAACCCTAGCCAATAGGGGAATGACACAGCAGCAGGGGCCACATGCGTCAGGGATAAGAACCCCTTCCCCTCCCTTGTCCAAGTGTGTGCTCACCATTGCTCCATCTGTAAGGGCGCACCCTTCTATATAAGTAACTTGCCTTGCTGAGAATTAAAAAGAAAATGTTATATCTGAGTGCTATTTCTTTTGCAGCACCAAAACTTTATTTATAACAATTTGGGGGCTCATCCGGGATTACATTCCACTCTGGGGGCAGTCTCTGGTTCTCTCTCATGAGGAGGCATGCCCCGCCCCCTTGTGGTGGCCTCAGGGGTGAGAAATCAAGACTCACCCAGTGCAAGGAATAACCTGAGCTCTCAGCAACATGGGAAAAAAAAAAAAACTGGCCCACAACCTAGCTTAAAGGATCCTCACATACTGCGACAATGACTCTGTGCACAGACCAAGGAAGGAGAAGCCACAGGAGCTGGTAAAGTATTTCCTTGGTGGTCGAGACTAAGGAAAAAGCTGCGAGGCGGTAAATCATTCCTTGGTTAGGACATACCAAGTAGAGAGAAACTGCAGGGGCAGTAAAGCATTCCTTAGTTAGGACTAGGGAAAGAAAGCCACAGGGGGCAGTGAAGTATTCCTTAGTTGGGAAGCCTTGGAGGTTAAAAAGACGTGAGAAATCCCCATGATGGGGAGGTTGAACCTCAAAAAGAGGTAAGAAATCCCCATGAGGGAGGGTTAAACCTCAAAAAGAGGTGAGAAATACCCATGGGGGGATTGAACCTCAAAAAGAGGTGAGAAATACCCATGGGGGGGGTTGAACCTCAAAAAGAGGTAAGAAATCCCCATGGGGGGGCTGAACCTCTAAAAGAGGTGAGAAATCCCCATAAGTGGGGGGTTGAACCTCAAAAAGAGGTGAGAAATCCCCCATGGTGGGGGTTGAACCTCAAAAAGAGATGAGAAATCCCCATGGGGGACGTTGAACCTCAAAAAGAGGTGAGAAATCCTGATGGGGGGAATTGAACCTCACACAAACCTCCGGTAGTAAGAAAAATATTCAGAACTCCCCTTTCCTTTCTTCTTGGGGGAAGAAAGAGTAGCTCCACTCCTGCCAGTCCCTCCTCCAGGGGAAGGGGAAGGAGACTGGAGAACAGCAGCCTAAGCAGCTGGCAGAGGCAGGGAAAGAACAGCAGAGAGGAAAGAGGGAGAGAGAGAAAGTGGGGGGGAGAGAGAGAGAGAAAAGAGAGAGAGAGAAAAAAAGAGAGGGGAAAGAGAGACAGAGAAAGGGGAAAGGGGGGAAGAGAGAGGGGAAAGGGGGGAAGAGAGAGAGGGGAGAGAGAGAGAGAAAAGAGAGAGAGAAAAAAGAGGGGAAAGAGCGACAGAGAAAGGGGAAAGGGGGGAAGAGAGAGAGGGGAAGGGGGGAAGAGAGAGAGGGGAAAGAGAGAGAAAGGCAGAGAGAGAGGAAGAGACAGAGACAAAGAGGGAGTCAAAGAGAGAGAGAGAAAGAGAGAGGGAGAGAAAGAGAGGAAGAGACAGAGACAAAGAGGGAGTCAAAGAGAGAGAGAAAGAGAGAGACAGAAAGTCAAAGAGAAAAAGAAAGAGACAGAAGTAGTAAAGAAAAAACAGCGTACCCTATTCCTTTAAAAGCCATGGTAGATTTAAAACCCATAATTGATAATTGAAGGTCTTCTCCATGACCCTGTAACACTCCAATACCACCTTGTTGCCAGTGTAAACAAGGGCATAGCCCGAAAGCACTGAGGCCACTGACAACCCGTAGCCTTCCTGTCAAAAATCCTAGGCCGGGCGTGGTGACTCACTCCTGTAATCCCAGCGCTTTGGAAGGCCAATGTGGGCAGATCATGAGGTCAGGAGATCAAGACCATCCTGGCTAACACGGTGAAACCCCATCTCTACTAAAAATACAAAAAATTAGCCAGGCATGGTGGCGGGTGCCTGTAGTCCCAGCTACTCAGGAGGTTGAGGCAGGACAATGGCGTGAACCTAGGAGGCGGAGCTTACAGTGAGCCGAGATTGCACCACCGCACTCCAGCCTGGACGACATAGCAAGACTTCATCTCAACAACAATAATAATAATAATAATAATAATAATAATAATAATAAATAAATAAATAAATAAAAATCCTTAACCCAGTAACCCGCGGATGGCCCAAAAGCATTCAATCTGTAGCGGCAACTGCTTGGCTAGCAGAAGTAGAAAAATAACTTTTAGAGGGAACCTCATTGTGAGCACACCTCACCAGTTCAGAACTATCCTAAGTCAAAAAAAAAAAAAAAAAAGGCAAAAAGGTAGCTTACTAAATCAAAAATCTTAAAGTTTGGGGCTATTCTGTTAGAAAAAGATGATTTAACATTAATCACTGATAATTCCCTTAACCCAGCAGGTTTCCTAACAGGGGATCTAAATCGTAATTAATTACCATACAAAGGTCCGACAAGACCTAGGAGGAACTCCCTTCAGGACAGGACAACAATAGATGGTTCCTCCCAGTGACTGAGGGTAAAAGACACAATTGGTATTCAGTAATTGATAGGGAAAACTCTTGTAGAAGTAGAGTTAGGAAAATTGCTTAATAATTGGTCTGCTCAAATTGGAAGCTGTTTGCACTCAACCAAGCCTTAAAGTACTTACAGAACCAGGAAGGAACCATCTGTACCAATTCTAAGTTAATTTAGACTAAACAAGATCTTATTAATAGCAAAGGATAATTGAAATCCCAAACTTACAAGGTTTTCAACAAAAGTAAAGTTTGCTAAAAGTTAATAGTGTAACATGTATTATCCTAACTTCTAATCTTGAGGCCTTAGACAGTCTAGTCCACAGACATGAAGGAAGTTTACTTTGGAAAAGAATGGTTATCATCTTTGTGTAGAAAGGAATGTTATATGGTAAAATCTTGTCCTAAAATAAATTAACTGGTTGTTTAAAGAAAGGGATATTTGCAACAAGTCAGAAAGTTGAGGCATGTCAAACAATTGACTGTGAAAGTCGTGAGAAAAAAATGTTATAAAAGGGAATTTATGAAAGATGTGTTGTATAGTTTAAAAGTAATTAGGCCTCCTGAATGTAAAACTATTGAAGAAACAGTTTATGTGCAAGGTGTATAAGGAAAGTAAAATATACCTTTGGTAAAAGGATTATAAGGAGGCATAAAAATGTGGATTTTTATCTATTAAAAGGTTAAAAAATACTTTGTTTTAAAGATTTAAGCAAGTTTTGAAATGTTAATTGTGAAGGAAATTCTGTGTGTAAACATATTCGCTAAAGTTAAAGGGGTATCATCCAGTTTGTCTGTGAACTGGACATTAAAATAAAAGCACAACAGTTTTTTCTTAAAGCACTAACCTGCTCTTTAACAAAAATTATAAAAGGTTAAAAAGAGCCTATAAAAATCTTACCCTATGGTCAGACATTAAAAATTGGATAAATATGTCTACAAGGTTTTATTAAAATTAAGTTTAACATGAATAACACTAATATAAAGGTGAAGTTTAGCTTATTTGGTATAAAAATCATACAGGAAGCATTGTCAAATATAAAATGGTGTTTGGCTTTCTTTAGTCTAAAAGCTAATAAAAATACGTGCTAAAGGAAATTTCTCAGTAAGAAGGCACCGAGGACTATAAAGTCCACTGCTGATGTCCCCACATTTAAAATAAAAGATCAATTTCTTAGAAATTATATACTTGGTTTATATACTTCCACTTTATATTATATACTTCCACTTTCCTTTCCCTCAAAACTGAGTCTTTTTGCATAGGTACCACCCCTAGAATTTCCAGTAAACCAGCACCAGCCTGAGGATCACGTTCTCATCAAAGGGTGGAAAGAAGGAAAACTTGAGCCAGTCTGAGAATGACCCTACCTTGTGCTGCTAACCACCGAGACTGCTGTTCGCACAGTGAAAAGGGGATGGACTCATCACACCCGGGTCAAGAAAGCACTGTCCCCCTCCAGAGTCATGGGCCATAGTCCCAGGGGAAAACCCTACCAAACTAAAGCTAAGGAAAATTTAACTCTTTCATCTATGCTATTACTCTTTCTTCTATCCTCGCTCTATTGCTGACCATCTAGTTATTAACATAACCAAGTCAATTTTGCCTCAAACTATTACATTTAATGCTTGCCTTGTTATACCCTGTGGGGACTTGCCAAGTCAGACTGCTCTCTACTTCAGAAAAGTACGTTTGTCCCTCCTGACTCTCCTCAGACTGGGCATTAGTGAATTGGGACCATTTAATCTGAGGAGACTTCAATAAAAACCCCAGTGTCAACCAGGATTCTTGCTCCCTGATGTAGAGCTTTTATGCCATAGTTGGTCCAATGTTCTTTGGACCACTAAAGAGCAAGAATGGACTGCCACAACTGGTTTTTGTAATTTCCTAAAACCATACATTCATTTTACTAGAGGGACAGCCCCCCGCCACCAACTGTCAGCTAAACCGGTGCAATCCTATACAGGTTATTATCTCGAACCCTCAAAGTTGTTCCCCTTTTCTAAGCCGGTTCACTTCTTTAAGCCTGTTTTATGGTATGGGGGCTAAGGTTTCAGGAACAGACCCTTTGGATTCTTTGAAATGCATTTCTTTGATCCCCCGCCACCTGCACCTTCCTCTAAGCCTTCTTCCAAAACCTCTTACAATTGAACAATTGCTCCTCCGCCATCTAACGACAAGACCAAGATAGCTATCATAGAAGTTAAAGACTTAAAACAAACTTTGGCAATTAAGACAGGATACCAAGATGCAAATGCCTGGTTGGAATGGATCAAATATTCCGTCCACACATTATACAAAAGCAGTTGTTAACGCTTATGCGCACGGCAGGCCAGAGGCCCAGATTGTCCCCTTTCCACTAGGGTGGTCCTCCAGTTGATGGGGCATGGGCTGCATGGTAGCTCTTTTCCAGGATTCTAGAGCCTGGAGTAACAAGTCATGCCATGCTCTCTCTCTGCTATATCCCAAAGTCCAGCACCCTGCAGGTCAGCCCCCGAGAGCCATCCAGCTTCCATCTCCCAACACTAAGTTCACTTCGTGTATCTCATGACAGGGAGGAAACTTAGTGTTCCTTGGAGACCTGAAGGGATGTAGTGAGCTTAAGAATTTTCGATTCAATTTTACTTATCAATCAGTCAGCCCTTGTTCATCCCTGAGCGGATGTATGGTGGACCTTTACTGGACACTCTGCCAAATAACTGGAGTGGCACTTGTGCTTTAGTCCAATTGGCTATCCCTTTCACCCTGGCATTTCATCAGCCAGAGGAAGGAAAAATAAGACATCGTAAAGCGAGAGAAGCCCCTTGTGGGTCTTTCGACTTTCACGTCTATTTAAATGCAATTGGAGTCCCACAGGGAGTACCAAATCAATTTAAAGCCCAAAATCAAATCGCTGCAGGATTTGAGTCAATATTTTGGTGGGTGACAATTCATAAAAATGTAGATTGGGCCAGGCACGGTGGCTCACGCCTGTAATCCCAGCACTTTGGGAGGCTGAGGCGGGCAGATCACGAGGTCAGGAGATCGAGACCATCCTGCCTAACACAGTGAAACCCCGTCTCTACTAAAAATACAAAAAAAAAATTAGCCGGGCATGGTGGAAGGCACCTGTAGTCCCAGCTACTCAGGAGGCTGAGGCAGGAGAATGGCATGAACCCAGGAAGCGGAGGTTGCAGTGAGCCGAGATTGCACCACTGCACTCCAGCCTGGGCAACAGAGCGAGACTCCATCTCAAAAAAAAAAAAATATGTAGATTGGATAAATTACATCTATTACAACCAACAGTGATTTTTTAACCACACTAGAGATGCTGTTAAAGAAATAGCTGAGTAATTAGGGGCCACTAGCCAGATGGCTTAGGAAAATAGGATAGCCTTAGACATGATATTAGCAGAAAGAGGAGGAGTTTGCGTCAAGATTAAACTTCAGTGTTGCACCTTCATCCCAAACAACTTACATGGAAGTATAACAAAGGCATTGCAAGGTCTGACTGCTCTACCCAGTGAGTTAGCCAGAAACTCAGGGGTAAATGACCCCTTTACAGAATGGCTAGAAAAGTGGTTCAGTAAATGGAAAAAAATAATAGCCTCAATTCTTACTTCCCTCGCAGCTGTAATGGGTGTACTTATTCTTGTCGGGTGCTGTGTCACACCATGCATCCGTGGGTTGCTGCAGAGGCTCATAAAAATGTCACTTACTAAAACCTCCCTTAACTACCCTCCACCTTATCCAGACAAGCTTCTTCTTTTGGAAAATCCAGCAGAACAACTAAGCCAAGACATGTTAAAAAGTTTGAAAAGAAATTGCTGTAAGGAAATGCAAGATGAAGGGTTGTTAGATATGAGTTCTAAATTTCTTTTCAAAGAATCAATACGTCAGTATGTTCAATTCTTTACCTTATACTTTTAAACTTAACTTCCTCGTAAAGCAAACTTTTTCAATTACCTGCTCCACCCTGACTCATTCTGATTACCTGCTCTGTCATAACAATTTTTCCTGCCAAACCACTCACCCTGTCACTCGCTTTAAATTAGCCAATCGGAATTAGTTTAGCCTGTGCGGTCTACCCTAGCCAATAGGGGAATGACACAGCAGCACGGGCCACGTGCGTCAGGGATAAGAACCCCTTCCCCTCCCTTGTCCAAGTGTGTGCTCACCATTGCTCCATCTGTAAGGGCACACCCTTCTATATAAGTACATTGCCCTGCTGAGTATTAAAAAGATAATTTTATATTTGAGTGCTATTTCTTTTGCAGCACTGAAACTTTATTTATAACAGCAGTGTGGGGAGGGGCACTACCTCCCATAATAAGCTTGAATTCTGCAAGGGTGCTCAGGTGGGGCACAGGGAGAGTCAAGGTGTTGTAGGAGTTATTAAGAAATTATTTTAGGCAGATACAGAAGAACAGGGGTCCTTTGGAAGTTTTCATTTTTTAAAGCATCTTCAGAAACCTTTCTTGTAAAGCCCGGGCTCTTAGAGCCAGGCAGGCAACCTTTGATATGCAAATGCAGGCCACTAGAAACTGGGTCCACCCAACATGGCGATTCCCAGCATTGTCCTCTTGCCCTTGCCCCAACATGTGCTGGGCAATATGGCCACCCCCACATATCCCCTGTGTAGAACATCATGGCAACCTGTACTTTCATATTAAAAGGCTAGGGTGGGAGGGCCAGCTTTTTCGTGGGCTACATGAAGGACGTGCCTGGTCAAACCAATCCCCTGAGCCCTGTGCAAATCAGACACCGCCTCCTCCAGCCTATTCATAAAACTGGCGGATATCCATGGCACTTGGGGGAGCCCCCCTCCCTCTGTCTCTGTACAGGGGAGTGAAAGATTCTCCCCAGGGCCTGAAAGCTTAAGGGAATGAATAACTCCTCCCTCCTCAGGCCCAGTCCCAAGGCTCCAGGCCACTTGTGCCAGCAGCATGTGTCAGCAAGACAGCAGAAGCAGGAAGAGAGCTGGCTGGAAGACACATATCCCCCGAAGACTGAGGAAGAGGCCGTCAGGATACTGAGTAGCAGTTACATCAGACTGAGACACTTCCTGTTTACAGGACACTATAAAACCCCTGTCCCGTCCTCATTTGGTGCCGACGCCATTTTAAGCCTCAGCCCGCCTGCATACAGGCGCTCATTAAAACAGCCTCTTGGGAGAAATGCAAATCAAAACCACAATGAGATACCATCTCAAGCCAGTTAGAATGACAATCATTAAAAAGTCAGGAAACAGCAGATGCTGGAGAGGATGTGGAGAAATAGGAATGCTTTTACTCTGTTCTTGGGAGTGTAAATTAGTTCAACCATTGTGGAAGACAGTGTGGCGATTCCTCAAGGATCTAGAACTAGAAATACCATTTGACCCAGCCATCCCATTACTGGGTATATACCCAAAGGATTATACATCATGCTACTATAAAGACATGCACACGTATGTTTATTGTGGCACTATTCACAATAGCAAATATGTGGAACCAACCCAAATGTCCATCAATAATAAACTGGATAAAGAAAATGTGGCACATATACACCATGGAATACTATGTAGCCATAAAAAAAGATGAATTCATGTCCTTCGCAGGGACATGGATGAAGCTGGAAACCATCATTCTCAGCAAAATATCACAAGGACAGAAAACCAAACACCACGTGTTCTCACTCATAAGTGGGAGTTGAACAATGAAAACACATGGACACACAGTGGGGAACATCACACACCAGGGCCTGCTGGTGAGTGGGGGGCTGGGGGCGGATAGCGTTAGGAGAAATACCTAATGCAAATGATGAGGTGATGGGTGCAACAAACCAAATGGCACATGTATCCCTATGTAACAAACCTGCACATTGTGCTTATGTACCCTACAACTTAAAGTATAATAATAACAATAAAATAAAATAAAAATAAAATAATCCACCGACATAAATGGAAAAAAAAAAAAAAGCAGCTTGTTGCTCCACACCGCTTCATGTTGTTTGTTGGTGGGCTCTCTGGGTTCCAACCGATACAAGAGCCTCGCAGGGAGCTTCTTCTTTCTGGCTTCTCAGTTCCTTCTTGCCTATTAAACTCTCCACTCCTTAAAACCACTGCACGTGTGTCCGTGTAGTTTTTTTCCAGTTTGACACAAGACAAGAGCCCTGGTGTTCCTCCACTCATCGAAAACGTATCAAAGGGAGGAGGAGAGGGAAGTTTAAAAAAAATCTAAGGCTTAGATATAAACTTTCTTACAAATTAATGTGCTGTTTCTGTATTGTGACTTTCCAGAGTGATGAAAGAGTTATCACTTCCAGGTGTGAAGGAAATTGTGTCCTTCTAGAAAGATATTTAACTATTAAAATGAAAAAATAGGCTTGAGTGCTGGCATTTAAACTTCTTTATTATATTTAGTAATCAGCTAGGCTTCAATTTGATATAATTAAATTTATATAATTACATCACCAAACCTGAGGTATATCCAAAATGTATCCTTTTGTGAGGCAGAGTAGTGTATAAATAAGAGAACAGATGCTAGAGCCATACTGCCTGCGTTCAAATTCAGATTCTACAACGTGTTAGCTGTGTGACCCTGAACCAGTTACTTAACCTCTCTGAGTTTCTTTTTCCTCAGCTTGAAAACAATAATAATAGTACCTACCTCATAGTGTTAGTGTATTAAATGAGTTAAGACAGGAAAATAGAATAGAATAGATAGAATAGAACCTATCACATAATAAGCACTGTATAACAAGTAGCTATTATTTCAGGGTGTTTTTAAAATTTGGATCTTGATATATTAGTTTTCAATATAATTGTTAAGTTATCATATAATAACCATTATCAATTAGTTTAATTTTTTCAAAAGAATAGTCATTAAGAATACAGGCCCTGGAATCCAGACTGCACTTTCATAGCTGAATGAGCTTGGGCAAGTTATTTAACTTCTGTAAATCTTACCTTCCTCATTTGAAAGAAGTAAATGATTTATTTCACAGGGGGTTTTCTGAGAGTTAAATGAGATAATACACTAGAGGCACCCACATGGTTTTCGGGACATGGTGAGCATACACGAATATTAGCCATTATAAGATAATGGCTCTTTAGCTATTGTCTTTATATAATTACATCACAACATCTGAGGTGTGTTCAAAATTTATGCTTATGTGAGGCAGTGTAGTATGTAAGAGCACAGATGCGACATCATCTAGATTATGGGGGCCCCTGAGACTCCAATTAGCCTAACCTAGGTTTTTAAAATCTGAAATTATATTAGAAGCTTCGACTCAACCCACCATGGCACTATTGAATGTGAAACCGTGTAAACCCTGTAACCAAGTATATGCAACTCTATACAGTCCTTGGAAGAGAAATTAGCAAATGGGGCAGTTTCGCTCATTCATGAGCATTTGCTGCCTTTATCTTGGATTCTATGAATAAAATTTAAATCTGAAGGGCAGGCACATTGTATGATATCACTTCTCTTTATATGTATCAATTAAGAGTGCATTCAATTATAAGTATCTGAAAATCTAACATTAGCTTAACAACTAGGGCTTTATCTCCCAAAAGAAAAAGTCTGAGGTTTGGCAGTTCAGGATGGAGAAAATGATAAGAAAATGATAAAGTTATCCCAGACCCACGTGCTTTCTGATTTTCTGTTCCTGGCATTTTGTCTTATTGTCTTCATTTTTAGGCCTCACATGCATGTTCCAGGTCAAAGGAAGGGGGAGAAACCAAAATGATGAATGAATAGAAGGCTCGTTCCTGAGGAGGGAAAGGAAGCCCTCCCTGCAGATTTCTCCTTAGGCCCCATGGGCAGAACCGGGTCACATGATAACCCTTACACCAATCCCTGTGAATCCCCGATTCATTCTCTGGGGCTGGGGTCATGTTCACCCTCCCTGAGATAAAGGGATCCCCACCAGCCTCTTGAACAAATCAGGATTCTATTGGAAAGAAAGAAAAGGTAGGTGGTATTGGTAGGCAACAGCTAGTGCCCGCCATGGATTCTTGTATTGTGACATTCCAGCAAGAACAATATGGGAGACATTGGGTTTGAATCTAATATCTTCATTCTCACAGCCCCAAGAAGAGACAAATCTGCTAATACTTTACACACACAAAAAAATGCTTCAAACATCTGCCTGATTTCTTCCTAAATCTTTCCCTATTAAAATGGCTTTTCAAGTCTTCTGTTTGTATGAGGTAAGAAAGTCAACTGGACATCGTCTTTAGTGCCTGACAGTTTCACTTCTAATCACAAGCAGGTGATGGGGCAATTGGAGCAGTAGTTCCTAATCAAAACCTAGAATCCTAATCCTTGAATTTGTAGGGTTTCTCGAAGAACTGAACAAGTCATTTCTCCTGTCCAAACTTTTCCTATAAAATTAGGCTGTGAGACTAGCAGATCTTTAAAGATCCTTCCAGCTCTAACATTCTATAAGTCTGTGAATGTGCTAGAAAACCTAAAAGTACAAGTGTTACTGGAAAGGGATGCCAATCTGGACGCCAAGAGAGGGTTCTTGGATCTCGCCAAAGAAAGAATTCAGGGTGAGTCCATAGAGTAAAGTGAAAGAAAGTTCATTTAGAAAGCAAATGAATAAAAGAATGGCTACTCCATAGGCAGAGCAGCAGCTTGGGCTGCTGGACTAAGGATACTTACAGTTATTTCTTGATTATATGCTGAATGAGGGGTGGATTATTCATGAATTTTCCAGGAAAAGGGTAGGCAATTCCCAGAACTGAGGGTTCCTCCCCTTTTTTGACTATATAGGGTAACTTCCCGACTTTTTCATGGCATCTGTAAACTGTCATGGCTCTGGAGGGAGTGTCTTTTATCAGGCAAATGCATTATAATTAGCACATAATGAGCAGCAAGGATGACCAGAGGTCACTTTCGTTGCCATCTTGGTTATGGTGGGATTTGGCCAGCTTCTTTACTGCAAACTGTTTTATCAGCAAGGTCTTTATGACCTGTATCTTGTGCCAGCCTCCTATCTCATCCTGTGACTTAGAAAGCCTAACCTCCTGGGAATGCAGCCCAGTAGGGTCTCAGCCTTATTTTACTCAACCCCTATTTAAGATGGAGTGGCTCTGGTTTGAACGCCTCTGACACAAGTGGGAATACTTGATCTCTAAGGCACCGTCTCTTAAACCCTCCAGGCTGGATCAGATGTCCTTTCTCAATACCTGGATCCCCAATGCATCAGTCTTTATCCCTTTCAAAACATGGTTGAAGATATGTTCTCTGGAGTCAGGCTGCTCAGATTTAAGTCCCACCTTATTAGCTCCGTGGACTCAGGCAAAGTATTTAATCCTTCTAAATCTCATCGGCATAAAGGGGCTATTAGGACCTACCTGAAAGGGTTGTTTTGAGGTATTTTGAGAGGTGTGTAAAGCCCTTAGTTTAGCATAGTGCCTGGAACACAAGTCAGAGTTAGTAGTGTTGGCTGCTGTAATTGTCTTTGTCCACTATAAGTTCCTCTAAGAAGGAGCTGTATCTTCTTCATATTAGTATCCTCAATGCTCAGCAAATGATAGGGGCTCAGTAAGTGTTTGATCAATGCAGAAGAGGCCTGCACACCTACAAGAATTCAATAGGACATAGGCTCCTCTACCACAGCATCTCCAGAAAACCAACCATCCCCAGTATCTGCACACCAACAGCAGCTCATCCTCCTTACAGCCTGCAAAACTGTTCTGAAAGGACCAACTCACTTCTGGGCCACTCTTTCTGCACCACATGATTTTGGAGGGGAAGCTGCCTGATCAGCTTATAATAGATGGCTTCAGGGAAGTTGGCCAGTTCCATCTCCATCTACCCTCCACCCAAGCCATCCCATATAAAATAATAATACTCTCTGATGTTTTCTCCATTTTCTATAAAATATGAATAAAACCCTTTTTAGAAAACTTTCTGTTTTTAATGGATATGAAACATATAATGTAAGGTTTTTTTGTTGCTTGAGATGGAGTCTTGCTTTGTCACCCAGGCTGGAGTGCAATGGCATGATCTCGGCTCACTGCAAACTCTGCTCCTGGGTTCAAGTGGTTCTCCTACCTCAGCCTCTCAAATAGCTGGGATTACAGGTGTGCGCCACCATGCCCAGCTAATTTTTGTATTTTTAGTACAGACAGGGTTTCGCCATGTTGGCCAGGCTGGTCTTGAACTCCTGACATCAAGTGATCCGCCCACCTTGGCCTCCCAATGTGCTGGGATTACAGGCATAAGCCACCATGCCCAGTCTAACATGAGTTTGTTTTTTTTTTAAGTGCTTAAATGTGCAAAGTTTTGGAAGTCTCCTACCACCTTCTCCTACCCTCAACAATTTCATACCAGAATTCAACCCCTGAGTACCTCCTATACTGATTTATGGAGCAACCTCAGACAATTTTCTCTTTCCCCTAGTGCCAAGATTCCTCAAAGCATAATTATTAAATAATAGATGAATTATTTAAATACAGTTGGTGATAGAAGTAAATAATAACTCAAAACTGATAAGGTAATACTCCTTGTGATTAAGGGGACAAGTGAACTCTAGTGCCAGGTTTGCTCCAGAAATCTCAGATGTTCCACCAGCCATCCAGCTCCAGGAAATTCAGAGGTCAGATGTCAGGAATTGAGCTTCCTTTAATACTTTGAATCCTGAAGCTTGGCAATGAGATTGATGTGCTCTGTACTTTCTTGGTAACTCAAAATGAAGGTTCTCCAAATAGGTGATGTGGCGCCGTGTCTCTCCAGGCCACAGTGAGTATCAGCAGAATGAGGAGTCTCTATCTTAGCCACAAAAATGGCTGTAAACAATGCAGCCATAGGGGAAACTATAGGAAGTATTAGTCGTATTTATAGGTATAAGTGGGTCCTCTAAATGAGGAATAGAAACATGATAAAATTCTATTTGTTCACACAAAGGTAGAAAGTGGCAGTGTGTCAAAAAATAACAGATGCTGGTGAAGATGCAGAGAAAAGGGAACACTTATATACTGGTAGAAGGAATGTAAATTAGTTCAACCATTGCGGAAAACAGTCTGGAGATTTCTCAAATAACTTAGAACTACCATTTGACCCAGCCATCCCATTATACATATATATCCAAAGGAATATAAATCATTCTACCAAAAAGACACTTGCACTTGCATGTTCATTGCAGTGCCATGTACAACAGTAAAGACACAGAATCATCAAAGTGGATCAAGTCAATGGTGGATTGGATAAAGGAAATCTGGTACATATACACCATGGAATACTACACAGCCATAAAAAATAATGAAATCATGTCGTTTGCGACAACATGGATGGAGGTGGAGGCCATTATCCTAAGCAAACAAATACAGGAACAGAAAACCAAATACTGCATGTTCTCACTCATAAGTGGAAGCTAAACCTTGGGTACACACAGACACAAAGAAAGAAATAATAGACCACACTGGTGGAGGGAGGGAGGAGGGTGGAGGGTGAGGATCAAAAAACTACCTATCAGGTACTATGCTTATTATCTGGATGATGAAATAATCCGTACACCAAACCCCTGCAATACACAATTTACCTATATAACAAAACTGCACATGTACCCCGAACCTAAAATAAGAGTTTTTTTAAAAAGACAGTGGCAGTGAAAGCTTTGAAAATCCAGAATCTTTGAATATATGTATAGCATTACATTTTTAGTAATTTTAAAGTGCTGTCCATATTTTGTAACCATGCAAATTTGATCGAGAGAGCTTTTTGTGCAGATCTCTGATTTTTTCAAGTACACCATTAATTATCCTGAAGAATATAGACCCAGATATTATGAGAAGACTGCCAGGTGCCACTAGGAATGAGAAAACATAAAAAGGAAAATAAATCAGAGACTGGACCCACTGGGATTTCAATCAGAGCATGGATGTTATCTTTTTCTCCAGGCAGGATCCACAATAAAGGGTAAAAAGACATGGTACTTGAACCAGCTTGTTAGGGAAGCAATATTGTTCCAGGGACGGGGAGAAGATGTTATAAAAGGGTAAGGAATTATAAGACTGACTCCTCTTGCATATGCGTAAAGGAGAACTCATAGAGATAATGTATTTAGACTTTCATAAAGCTTTCAACAAGTTCACATCCAAATGAGTCACCTTGGTATTGGCAGGGGCTGCTTTGTTCTGCATTGAGGGCTGTCTCAAAAATAAAGAATTATGTCTGATTGAAAATGAACATGATTATCGTCCTCCTGCAGCCTCTCTTATCCTGCAATCATCCTCCATCCAGGAACCAGATGATTTTCCAGAAATGAAAATCCAATCATGTTTGTCCTGCTTAATCCCTTCAGTGACTCTCACTGCCATCAGGCTAGAGCCTAAACTCTTTATGTGATAAGGGCTTTATGATCTGGTTCCTGGTTACCTTCCTCATTGCACATGTCATTTTTTGGATGCTCAATAGTACCAGAGTGAGCTCCTGTGCCCAGTGCCCAGGGCTAGTGCATTGGTCAGACAGATGGTAGCATGTGGTGCTCAGACGAGGTGGCAATTGTTACCCGCACCGGACCACTTCCCGGTGTGATTTCAGACATTTCATTGTTCCTGACTGATAAAAAATCTATTGAAACTGATTAAATCCACAAGAACACACTGCTCAATAATTCCTAACATTAAAACATGTTTTTTAAAAATCCTACTAAGTAAAAATTGCTTCGGGTACTGCCTTCTTTCAACATTGGGTACCAAGAATATACTGTAAATATTTTTCCTGTTACTGAGGGGTACCAAAATAATTCCTGATGAAAGAAGACTAGTATGATCAAGAATTAATGTCTTTAATATATATTGTTTATGCCTTAAAATCATTAAGAAAAAAGACCTATCAGAAAAACAGAGCCAGGTCAGGTGGCTCACACCTGTAATCCTAGCACTTTGGGTGGCCAAGGTGGGCAGATCACTTGAGCTCAGGAGTTCAAGACCAGCTTGGGCAATATAGTAAGACCTCCTCTCTATTTTCAATTTTAAAACAAAGAGAGAGAGAGAGAGAGAGAAAGAAATACAGGCCGGGCACAGCAGCTCATGCCTGTAATCTCAGCACTTTGAGAGGCTGAGGTGAGCGGATCACCTGAGCCCAAGACTTTGAGACCAGCCTGGGCAACATGGCAAAACCCTGTCTCTACAAAAAAAAAAAATACAAAAACCAGCAGGGCATGGTAGCACTTGCCCGTAGTCCCAGCTACTTGGGAGGCTAAGGTGGGAGGATCTCGAGCCCAGGAAGTCAAGGCTGCAGTGAGCCATGATCGCGCCACTACATTCTAGTCTGGGCAACAAAGTGAGACTCTGCCTCAAAACAAAACAAAACAAAACAAAACAAAAAACAAAAACAAAAAAACAAGCAGTGATTTTGAACAAAGAAGTAAAAAAAACAACTGGATAATATGAAAAAAACTTTTAACCTCAATAATAAATAAATTCCAAATTTAAAATAGTTTTCATCCATTAGGTTTAAAAATAATAATAGTAAACACTAAGACTATATACCACTGTCCTAAATACTTTATTAGTAAGAAATCATTAAACAATACTATGTGTTATTTAGTACATCTATTATAAAGATAAGGAAACTGAGGCACAAAGAATGTAAACACTTTCCAGGTCACTTCACCAGTAAGTGGCAGAGCAAAGATACAAGGGCAGAGTTTGGCTTCTGTGACTGTGCTCAGGGTACAGGGAACAGACACTGCATTCATTGCCCAGGAATATAAAATTATAAAACCTTTTATATTTATACCCAAAACAAAACATTTGAATACTTATTGACCCAGAAATTTCACTCCCAGAAATTTATCCTATGAGAAAACTTAAGACACACACAAAAATTCATGGCAAGAGCATTCATTACATTAATTATAACAGCAAAAAAATTGGAAAATGAGTCGGGCACAGTGGCTCACGCCTTTAATCTCAGCACTTTGGGAGGCCAAGGTGGGCAGATCACCTGAGGCCATGAATTCGAGACCAGCCTGACCAACATGGTGAAACCCCGTCTCTACTAAAAATACAAAAATTGGCCGGGCGTAGTGGTGCTTGCCTGTAATCCCAGCTACTCGGGAGGCTGAGGCAGGAGAACCACTTGAACTCAGGAGGCAGAGGTTGCAGTGAGCCAAGATGGCACCACTGCACTCCAGCCTGGGCGACAGAGCGAGATTCTGTCTCAGAAAAAAGAAAAACTTGGAAAATGAAATGTCCAACTATGAGATTGGTTAAATAAATTGTGGTAGACACATGGAATACTAGCAGTTATTTGAAATGTTGCAGAAAAGTCATTGCATGGAAAGATGTCCATGACAAATCATTGAGCCAAAAATTTACAAATTATTATACAAAGTGTATCTCATTTTGTTGAAAAAAAAAGATATATAAGCACAGAGAAAAAAAAAGTTTTAGAAGGATATGCAATTGGCCCTTAATATCCGAGGGTTCCACATCTGTGAATCCAACCAACCATAGACTGAAATTAAATAAATAAATAAAGTCAATATAACAATAAAAAATTATAGAAATAAACATGACAGTATAACAACTATTTGCATAGCATTTACATTGTATTAGGTATAATAAGTAATCTAGAGATGATTTCAAGGAAGATGTGCATAAGTTACGTGCAAATACTAAGCCATTTTACATAAGGGACTTTAGCATCTGAGGAATTAGGTAACCACAGGGGGTCCCAAACCAATCCCTTGCAGATACCGAAAGACAACTGTACACTAAAATATCATCCCTGTGTGATGGAATTGGGAGTGGCTTTTATCTTATTCTTGTACTTAACTAATTTGTAATTTTCTTTTTTGGAAATTTGTAATTTTCTTATAATAGACTTGTATACTTGTATTCTTATTAGAATAGCGTGTTCCCTTTTATCAACAGAAAAGACATTCCAAGACCCCCAGTGGATGCCTGAAACCATACAGATAGTACCAAACCCTATATATACTGTTTTTTCCTATAAATACATACCGATAATAAAATTTAATTTAGAAATCAGCCTCCAAAAGAGAATAAAACAATAACTAATAGTAACATAGAACTATCATTATATACTGCAATAATAATAGTAAACACTGTTATGTTATGGGAATGTGGTCTCTCTCTCTCAGAACATCTTATTGTACTGTCTCACCTATTTTAGAACTGTGGTTGACTTCAGATAACTGAATAAGTGGGGACTACGGGGTAAACTAAAGTCATCTAGAAAAAAAGACGGAAGGTCACAGTAGGATTCCTTCTGTTTTTGCCCTCTAGCAAAATGAGAATCAAGTAATACAATTCTTTAAGATCTGGAGAACAATATAACAATAATGGCCATTAGGATGGGTGGAAGAAGCAGGGTCTTACCGTTATTGTAATGATATGGGCAGGGGCAAATTAGCAAACAGGAACCACATGGAAATCATATGATTTGGTCAAGTCTCATGGGCACAGGATGGTAGCTGTAGATCCAAAATAGTTTTAAGATCCATTTTGCAGGAATTCATGGATCTTTACTCCACCATTACACACAGCTACTCCCACGTGTCTACCACCTTGGCCCCTTTGAATTGCTGTTTCTCACACCTTCTAGTATTTCTGCCTTAAAGCTTCTGTTTACTCATAGATTAGATTCCTCATTACCTTAATGCACTAGTATAAGATCCAGAAAGTGGGAGATAATCTCTATAAAGGTTTAGGAGCTTCCCATATCAGTGATGTTTGTGGGTATCCAGTGGTCTTTGGCATGCCAGGATAGCCCCTCCAAAGTAAAGCACAAGTTGAACCACTTCACACCCTCTACTACAAAGAAAAAGGCACAGCACTTTGTGGGCCTCTGGATTCTGGAGACAACACATACCCTACTTGGGAACAGTACTCTGACCCATTTATGCAGTGATTTGTAAAGCTGCCAGTTTTGTTCTTCCAGAGAGAGGGTCACAGTTTGTCACCCAGGCTGAAGTGCAGTGGGTGGCATGATCATAGCTCCCTGCAACTTTGAACTCTTGGGCTCAAGAAATCCTCCCATCTCAGCCTTCCAATTAGTTAGGCACATACCAGGCATGCCTGGCTATAAGCTGCCAGTTTTGAATGGAGCCCAGAAAGGACTCTGCAGCAGATCCAGGCTGCAGTGTAAGCAGCAGCCACTTGGGTCATATAACACAATAAAGCCAATACTCTAGGTGTCTGTGGTAGGTAGCTAAGGATGCTGCTTGGAGTCTCCTACAAGACCTTGGCAACAGAATAGTTGCAGTGCTGACTTCTTAGGTTGTGGAGCAAGGCCATGCCTTCTGCAGCAAAGAAAAATTCACCATTCCAAAAGCAGCTGGGCACCCAGTATGAGATGAGGTGACCATTCAACCAGAACTGCCTATCAAGATCTGGACAGTCAGAAGCACTGTCATGTGATTGGATGTACACAGCAGCTCTAGGGCACAGATGAATTTAGCTAAGCCTACTAAAGGCTTAGCTAAAGTACCAGCTTAAGGACATCTAGCAGGACTGAGGCTCAGGGTTGACCATGTGGTATATGCAATGAACCAATGGTCATAGATACAGTGCTATGCCCCAGCAGCTAGAATTTATGACTCTGAGAACCAAGAAGTAGGATTGGCCCCTTTTGCCATCCCAGTAACTCATGGTGGAATGTGCACTTCCCCTCCCTCCAAATTTAGGTTCTGCTGGAAGAAGTCCTGATTCCCATGCTGGGGCATAAGAACACTTTCACCAGGGAAACAAAATAATCTGGTACTTCTTGTATTTGGGAAACAGTAGACCGAAAAAGAAATTTCCATACTGGCAGCAGTAAGTGACCCACGGAGCTAGGGTTGCTGCTACACAATGGGGCAAAAAGGGTAATGTCTGGAGTCCAGGGGATTCACTGGAGCATCTCGGTGCTTCCACTTCCAGCCCAGCTGTAAACATGCAATTGCTACAACAAAGGGCTGATGATGATAGAGTAACTAAGATTCTGGTCCTTAGAAATGAAGGCTTTGGTGACTTCATCTGGCTAGCAATCTAGACCTGCTAAAATGATGGCCAAGGAAGGGAAATCTAGTAAATACGATGAGGGGAGATGAATGAGTTACAGACTCTGGGCCAGTTGCAACAGTATGTACTGTAGCTGGTTCCACTAATTGTCCATACTGAGTGTTCTGTAGATTGTATACAGCCATCACCTTGAAGGACATGTTATAGACTGGACTCAGTGTATGTCCAAATAGATCCAAGCAGCGCATGAAGTGGAGGAAGAAATCCTATATCTCTTTTGCCTGCCTCACAACCTCTTGGTCCACCTTTTTACTCTAACTATTGCTGCCACTGTCAGCTGCCTGCAAGTGTGACCTGACAATACTTTACCTCAGCTGCACATCACTTGCTTTCTGCCCTAAGCTTCCTTTCTCCCGCATGTGTAATGCCTGTAAAAACATCGTCAGCCTTTCCAGAGTATGTCCATACCCTGATGTACACGAGAATTGCATGGGATAACCCTTGACCAATGGAGACAAGACAAACATTTGCTTTTCCCACATCTGGTTGAAAAATTCTACATTCCACAGGGCTTCTCAGAAGGTCCCAGGTGGGAGCCTGTTACTCTCAGAGGCAACAGGTTCATGGCACATGTTTGCTGGCTTTCCCTCCTTCCATGTTTCACTCTTCCCAAACTTCTATTCCTTCAGATCACTTCCTAATATAAACTACCTGCACAGAAGACTTTCCCTCAGTCTCTGCTTTCTGGGGCAACCCATGCTTATGCAAGCTTCAAATCAAAGTAGTCGTGGATATCCTTTGAAAGTTAAGACCAATATACCATCTACACCAGCCTTACAGAGCATGCTGGTTATCTACAGCACTTGACTTTACTCTGCCTTTGTGGTGAAATTATCACCCTACTGTTTCCAGACTTAACTACAAAGCATAATACTGTTATTTCATTGTCATCTTCATGACCTTGTGAGGTAGTAGGCTATCTCCATGCTATAGATGAGCATATGGAGGCCCAGTATTCCAACTGTTTAACTTGAGCTAGGATTCTAGCCCAGATTTGACCTCCAAAGGTCACGCCCCTAACCATTATATTTCTGCTCCTCAGCATGACCTCCATGCTCCATCTCCTCACCCCACAGTAGCCCACAATCCAGCCATACCCAACACACCTTGCCCCTTCATGCTCCTGTTTTGTCCTGTCAGCCTTGTGAACTTCAGAGCCTAGATCAAATGCCACCTCCCTAAATTCCTCAGGTAGAACTGCTTCTCATCAGCTTGCCTACATCATTTTCCTGAATCTCGATTGTATTTTTTACATTGGTGTTAGTTTGGCTGTATTTACCACTGCAGCTGGGGCCAGACAAGGGCTTAGGTATTAAATAGTACCAGACGGTAGTAAGCACTCAAATAATTGTTCAATAAACAGCTGTCAGAGTACGTACTCCTTAAGAACAGGCTCTGTCTTACTGACTGTTGTATTCTCTGCACATAACATAATGCCTGGCTCGTAGTTAACACTCGCTTGTTGAACAACTGATTGTAGAATCTGTACTTTCTAAGAGCTCACAGTTTAATGAAGTTTATGTTCATTCATTCAATGTACAGCAAATGTTTGCTGTCACTCTGACAGCAGATTCCCAACACGGGCTGCGTCTGCTTCTGTGTTGTTAGGGTGTTAATAGTTTTTAACATTGAATCAAGGTAATACTAAGAAAGAGAAACTACTACTTAATGATTAATAGATGATTTATTTAGGCAGGAATACATATAGTCATCATTGCCAGACTTAATATGAGAGGTGAAATGTTCGATCCAATTTTCCTTCCTGGATAAGTTTTTCTTTCCTATCCTGTAAAGACAGAAAAAAAGTACATTAAAGACAATATATTCTGCCAGTTGGCTATATTAGATAAAAATAAATAAATAAAAAAGGTAAGAAAAACTGCATTTTGGCACAACCCACCGTACAACTGACAAACAGAATGAAACACTCCAAACCTAATTGCAATCCCACTGTCTAAAGCCCAGGGAGTGTGCGAAGAAACAGTAATCCGAGGAACTAAAGACACAGTAAGAAAATGCTCCTATTCAAAAACATCTTACTCACATTTTAGTCATTAGAAATATATTATCCCATAAAACCATATATTGAAAGCAAAATGCAAACACTTTCTGGGAAAATGTGGACTACCTTTCTGTTAAGTAGATCATTCACCAGATAATCAAAATACACGAACTCTAATGGGAATGCAGATGGGCCAGTTAAAGACAAAGCTAGACGAGTGGGCTCCAGTGGCAACACAAGCCTGGGGGCTGCAGCTCAGGGTTTAGTACCAGATGTGGAATGGTTTGGTGCCAAAGATCAGCTTGACTTTCTCTCCAATCATATACCCAGGCTGCTGACGGCAGCTATTCCCCACACAGGCAGCTTGTGCTTCTCTGTCCGTAGAGTATTAATAGGTTTTAACATTAATTTGCAAAATGTGACCAACATAAATAGAATTCACGCAAACAGGAAACGTACTAAATGATTTATGTATTCTGCTAATACTTAACCCAATAAACATCATCTTTTTAAAAAACAAATGAACTAACAAAAATAGACAAAGGTGACTGAAAACTTTCTGTTTTAACTCCTGCTGGAAAGGAATAAAGATAAAAGAAGAGAGGAAGGGAAGGCAGAGGACAGCCCCAAGGTGGGAGGGGCACTGGTGGCAATCTTCAAGAGAAGGAGCTGCAGCTGGTCCCTAGAAAGTGAACCTATCACTCAAATACTAAACATCTGGTCTGAATACTTACCCTCTCAGTTTTGATAATATAATAAATGAAGATGAGGGGCCCAAATCCACACAGAGCTCCCATGAGTGAGTTTTTAGGAGTGGGTCTGAAATTAGGATAGACATTTATTGTTCTTGCATAGGCCCAACGAAGCAAGGCAGGATTTTCCTAAAATTAATGAAAACAAAAAGTTATAGAACTTAAGAAGGATCACATTGAGAAACAAATTCATAGGGACTTTTGTGAAGGAGCACAGACGCATTTTGTTCTCTAGAACAGTTAAGGGTATATCATGAATATTCCTAAACAGCTTCAGGAAAGATCTTTCATTTCTGGTGTTTTTTGAATTCTAATGATCTTGTTCAAATCCTTCAGAATGTAGAAGGCTCATATCACTAATTAGCTTTCTGTTTATTTAAGAATCCTAATCTTAATCTAACTAATCTAACCTAATCTAACTGTCAGAGAAGCCACTTTTTCTCCTTTGTCATTTTCATCTATTCTTCTCTGGACTGTTTTTAGCTTCATTGTCAAGTGTGACCATCAGAACCATGCAGTATTCCCAATGAAGAGAAACAGATTTCATATGCTCTATCATGCTTTGTATTTTGTTTCCAGGACCCTTTCTAATGCTATCACCAAAATAGTCTTTCCAGGCTACAAATAAGCTGTAGGAAGATGAAGGAGGGGGTAGGCTAGCTGAACTGTAAGTTTTTTAAGCTGACCTAGTGTGAAAAGCATTAATTCAGACATTTCACACTATTAGAAGTTTTGTAGAAAGGTCAAAGTTGTTAAAGAAAAATAATCAGACTGTCTTAAGAAAATAATTGTCCATTTTAATATATTTATACTAGAATAACTATCCATGAATAGCAAATCTACCCACAAACACATAAATTTAATTAGCTAAATGCCCAAGTGATTTTACAAAATTAGTCTCTCCAATTAACTGACAGATAAAAATAAGCAAATAAAATCAGCTTTAAGACTTTAATATATAACATGAATATTCAAGGTCCTAACCAACATCAAGAAGTCATGATTTGTAGGACTAAAATAATTTCACAAGGTCTTCCACAGTCATATTTCAAACTAAATTACAACAATTTACCCTGAGATAATCAGCTGCAGCTCAGAAGTTTAAAAAAAAAAAAAAACAAAAAAAAAAACCTTATGATGGAAATGCTTCCGTTCCTTTTAATCAGACTGAAATTCCTCAACGGTGTAAGCACTCACTACTAGATACAAAGTCCCAAAATATCTTCTGCTGTTCTAGAAACTATTGACATTATCACACCACATTAAAATGAAAGCACATGCAAGTGTTCTGCAGCATTGTTTATTATTATGCCTATACTGCCAACAAGAAAAAAGAGGGTAAAGACACAGATTAGGTCCAAGGGGATGTTAAAGCTCAATAGCTGAAAGGATTAATGCATCTATTCTTACATCCTTTCTACTATAAATGTATCTGAATGACTATCAAATGGCAGACTTCTCAATTTGCTAGTCACCTCTCTGTGCTTTAATATCTGCCAGATCTGTCTTCCAGAAACAGACATTTCATTTCATAAAAATACCAATTGCCCCATGACCATAGTTCATTAAGCCCGGTAATGTTATTGAGAGGTTCCAAAAGACACACTATGAAGAGAGTTTTCCTCCTCTGACATCACTAAAAGTCCAGTGCACTCTCAGTAGCATCTGACATGGTGAAAACTCCTGAAAATCATGTCTTCACTTGACTTCCAGGCCCACACCTGCTTGGATTTCCTGCTAACTCTATGGCCATTCTCTCTTCATTTCTTTGCTCTTTTCCTCCTCATCTCCCCAATCTCTTAATATTGGACCTCGCTGGTCTTTCCTATCTACATTTACTCCCTTGATGATGTCATCTGGTCAGATAACTTTAAATAATCTATCTAAAGGCTGATGATTCCCAAAATTTTACCTCCAGCCCTGTAACTCTCCAGACTTAATATCCAACCAACTGCTGAACTCTGACATACGGTCTAACAGGCATCTAAAACGTCACATATCCCAAACTGATTTCCCAACAGTCTACTCCACCTCCATACCTTCTCTTCTCCCATTCCTGTGTTTCTTAGTAAAAGGCAACTTCATTCTTAAAATCACTTAGGTCAAAAACCTTGGAGTCATCCTTGACTCCTCTTTCATACACCACATCTAGTCTATCAGCAAACCTGGTTGGCTCTACTTTTAAAATACACCTGGAATCTACCATTTCTCACCGCCTTCTGCCACCACCCTGGTAATCAACAGAGATTGGATTACTACAAAAGCCTCCTAGTCTCCCTGATCCTGTCCTTTCCCCCATAGTCAATTCTCAACTAAGCAGCCAGAGAAATTGTTAAGTCCAGATCACGAAATTCTCTATTCAGTAAAAGTCCTTACAATTACCTACAAGGCCTGGTGTGATCTTGTCCCACTCTGCCCTCACCTTTCTCCACTTTAGTCACAATGGTCTCTCCAGTGTTTTTTCAATTAACCTGACACTCTCCTGCCTAATGGCCCTTGCACTTGCCGTTCTCTGATGAGTAGGCTGCCTTCCTAGAGAGCTAGGTCCCTCACCCCACTTCTTTCAGATCTTTATTCAGATGTCACCTTCAAACAGAGGGCTTCCCTGGGCCTAAGATTGTAGCTGCTTACCTCCCCTACTACTTACACACACTCCAAATCTCCCCTGCTTTATTTTTTTTCTCATCACTTACCACTAACATGTTAAATGATTTTAATTTTTTAACTTGTTTCTTGTCTCCCCTACTAGAAAGTTTGTTCTACAAGGACAGGAATTTTTGCCTGTTTTGATCTCCATTGTTATCTTGGCATGTAAAATAGGGCCATAACAGACCCTGAGCAATTATTTATTGATTCAATCAATCATTCTTAAAGATTAGGCAAGATGGCCAGGCACAGTGGCTCAAGTCTGTAATCCCAGCACTCTGAGAGGCGGAGACAGGAGGATCGCTTGAGCTCAGGAGTTCAAGACCAGCCTGGGCAAAATGATGAAACTCCATCTCTATAAAAAATACAAAAACTTAACCGGACATGGTAGCGCACATCTGTGGTCCCAGCTACTTGGAAGGCGGAGGTGGGAGGACAGCTTGAGCCCGGGAGGCAGAGGTTGCAGTGAGCCGAGATCATACCACTGCACTCCAGCCTGGGTGACAGAGTAAGATCCTGTCTCAAGGGAAAAAAAAAAAAAAATTAGGCAAGAGAATTTACATGTATTGATTAATAAATGATAGTGTCACACACTCATTTAATCAACAGAACCAAAGAGACTGGTAGTATTACCTCTATTTACACATGAGAAAATTGAAACTACCCTGAGGCATACAGCTAGAAGACAGAAGATCTTGGTTTCAATTTCAGGTCTGACTGAGGCCTTATTCTTTTTTAATGCATCACACTAACACATCAAACCCAATCATGTGAGTTTGTAATAAATGTGTCTCTCTGCACCCTCTTCCCAAGTTAACAAGGTTCTGGCTGGAGACAGTATAACCAACTAGTTAAAAGCAGATGCTGTGGGTTACACAAACCAGGGTTAGAATTTTGCTCTATCACCTACTAAAGAGGTATCTCTGTATGACCTACTTGTCCTTCCCATGTTGTCTTCTCATCTGTAAAATGGGGACAGTAGTAGAGCTTAATCATCCAAATAGTTGTGATATGTAAATAGTACTCAAAAAGAGTTTTAGCACAGTGCCTGGCACATTGTAACTTTCATTCAATCCTCATAACTTCCAAAAATTCCAAAACACCAATGCAACGTGTGGGAAAAGTCCAGTCCTGTTCTGTTAACATCATATTTAACCTACTTAGTTCCTGTATAGAAAACTACCTAATGAAAGCACACCTGTTAATTACCAGTTTACTGGGCATATATTATGTGCTGCGAATGTTACACAGACTGTCTTATTTAACCTCATAATGCACATCATTTATATACGAAACCAGGAAACTATAATTCAGAGGAGTTGAAGTTGCCCAAGGTAACAGAGTTAGCCAATGAGTAGTGCTTTGGGTTCTGACTCCAAAGCCTAGAACTTCAGCAAGCTTCAGGGTCTTTAAAAGATGCAGGTTGAAGGAATCACTGTATTCCCATCAGGAGAGAGCAGTATCCCTATGAGCTGTGAACTGAAAGGTAAACACCAGCTCTTTAAAATTATATATATATATAAAATATATATGCATATATATAGAATATAATATATATGCATATATATAAAATATATATGCATATATATAGAATATAATATATATGCATATATATAGAATATATATATAATATAATATATATATGCATATATATAGAAACATTTTCTGAACACGCCTTACGAACGAGGCACTGTGCTAGGACAGTCACATACTCTATCTCATTTAATCCTAACAGCCTGATAAAAGAGTAAGCACTATATTACGCCCATTTTGCAGACAGAAAATCGAGGATAAGCAGAGTGAATAACGTTCTTAAGGTCACGCAGGCAGGAAGTGATCAAGCCAGGATTCAAACCCAGCCAGGTCTGAGTCCAGAGCCGGTCCTCTCGAGGGCCAAGCTCTGGCAAAGGTAAAAGGGTAGTGAGTTGGCTAGGCCTGGAAGAGGACCTGCGTCTGAGATACTGATCGGGAGCGGTGGCCGACCCTTTGCGTGGTCTCTCTCGGTCTCTCCCAGGACTCGGGCCCTATTCCCGCCTGGGAGGCCCCACACTCACGATGAGCCCTCGGCGGTTGGGATCGTTGTACTGAAGCAGGTACTCTCGTTTCAGCTGGGCTCTTATGGCCAACCGCTCGGCTTGCGCCCGCCGGGTTTCCGGAGATATGTTGTATTCGGCTGGGTCGAGGGTCTCAGGCAGAGTGCGCAGGCTCGACGGCTTATACTTTGGGAACGACATCTTGGCGAACCAGGGCACAATTGCGCCTGCGCGATTCTGAGGCCCTTTGTCTATGCTGACCTTCAGCTTCAGGAAGTGCGCCTGCGCGTTAGCAGAGGTTGGGGATGTCGTTAACAAGGAGCTCCGCCTCTTTCTCCTACCTTCCCGAACACGGCGCGTTCGCTCGGTGATATGCGCATGCGCGAAGTGCTCTTCTCGCAGTGCGCCCTGCCCCACCGCCGCTCCCCACCTACTCATCTGTCACCGCGCTGCTTCTTCCTAGCAGCCTTGTCTCTACTGACATAACCAGGGCTTATTATGTAAAGTTGAGCTGTGTGGGACTGGCTGTGGAGTCAGAAGTCCGGGTTTTCATTGTGGGTCTAACCGTGCTGTGTCACCTTGGATAAGTCACTTAAAGTCTCTGAGTTTCCTTTTCCTTATCCTGGAGATAATGACTCCTGTCCACCTAGCAAAGTTGTTGTGAGGATTAAATAAGCTAACAAATAGATCACAAAGTGCTTTGCAAAACAGAATTCCCTACCCAAGAAGAAGAGAATAAGCTTTTCTGTACTTTACCATGCTAGATTCATACAACATTAAGTGTAAGCTTATTTTTCACAGGTACGAAATAATGATTAATAGGAAAAATGATGTTATAAGAGAAATGTTGCCTGACTGACTATAGAAGGTCAGGAAGAAAATGAGATACTGAATAAAGCTCATGAGAAAACATCTTAGTTAAAATACTAAAACCTCTTGCCTAAAATCCTTAGCACTCTTCAGATGCAAAGAATTAAAAACATCCTTACAGGTATGAAAATACTCATAGGGGCATGTATCTTATTGTAAAAGACGATCTGGGGCGAAAACTGAAGTAATCAGAAACAAAACCTTCTCTGTCCCTACTGTCCTTCCTTCTCCCCAGTTACCAAGGAGAAAAACAACTTCAAGTTTCACAGCAGGGTCTTTGGGTTCCCCTTCTCCTCAGGGGAAAAAATGTAAACAATATTTCCATAACTCGGGCAAAGAAGGATGGATCAAAAGAGAGCCCCAGCTTGGCTGAAACGTCTGGGGGCGCGTAGGTATGTTGGGAAATGGTTGCTAGAAAAGGGACCTAGAAAGTGTTGGCATTTGAAATGATGAGAAGCAGCACTGCTGTCAAATTTATTCAACATTTTAATACTGTTTTAAAATATTTATTAAGCACCCACCGCGTGAAGCACACAGCACACTAGTCAGTGTTAAGTCAATCTTCTAGGCTCAGTGGGGGAAATCCAGACAAAATGGAAGATGGGGTGTTTGCCTTTCGGGAGCTGACAATCAGGCAGTACAGAAAGAATAGGCAGAAATGGTAATATTTCAAAGTAGTCTAATGTCCAGATGAATATAGAGCAAAATGGACTCATGAGGATTCAGGCTGAGAGAATGTAGAAAAAATGAACACAAGACGAGTTACTCAGACTCGATTTTAAAGGAGAAAAAAAAAGGAAATTCTGACTTGTTCAAAGGTGTTTTGAAATACTAAGAAAATAATACAATATGAAAAGCAAGAGCAGTTTATAAAATTCTAAAGACTACATAAAGTTTCCAAAACCTGTATAGATTAGACACTGATCTAGGAAGGAGAGCATGTAAAAAGAATAAAAGGATAAAGGAATGAGTCCAGCGAGTACGAACTGATGCAGGGCAGGCGAGCCCCAAAGTGGGGCTTAGGCAACCAGGGAACTTGGCTTTGCCCAGGAAAGAATTCAAGGGCAACCCGGAGGTAGAAGAAAACAATTTTATTGAAGAGGCAGTGTTACAGCTTTGGTGGTGTCACAACCGTGACTGCTCCTGTAGAGCAGGGCCACCTCATAGGCAGAAAGCACCAGCTCAGGCCAGCTTTGAGTCACATTTATACCCACATTTGGCAGTTTGGCCGGGCGCGGTGGCTCACGCCTGTAATCCCAGCACTTTGGGAGGCCGAGGCGGGCGGATCACGAGGTCAGGCGATCAAGACCATCCTGGCTTACACGGTGAAACCCCGTCGCTACTAAAAATACAAAAAAAAATTAGCTGGGCGTGGTGGCGGGCGCCTGTAGTCCTAGCTACTCGGGAGGCTGAGGCAGGAGAATGGTGTGAACCAGGGAGGCGGAGCTTGCAGTGAACCGAGATCGCGCCACTGCACTCCAGCCTGGGCGACAGAGCGAGACTCCGTCTCAAACAAACAAACAAACAGACAAAAAAGTAAAGAGGCAGTTTATGCAGACATTTCTAGGGAAGGGGTAGCAACTTTTGGGTCATCAGGTCATTGCCCTGGAAAGGGGTGGTAACTCCTGGGTGTTGCCATGGCAATGATGAACTGACACACTGGTGTGTGTATCTGATGGAAAGCGGCTTCCACCTCCGACCTGTTTAGGCTAGTGCTCAATTTGGTTCGGTGTCCGAGTCCTACCTCCTACCTCAAACCAGCTGACTAGGTTAAAGAAGATTTCTTAAGGTTACTATAAAGAAAGCTTTGGATGAGTTAAAGTAGTTATTACCACACTTGCCTGATTATCACGAGGATTGCTTATGATGAGTGTTAAAAAAAAAGGGAGTTTAGCCAGGTGTGGTAGCATGTACCTGTAGTCCCAGCTACTGGAGAGGCTGAGGCCGGAAGATCCCTTGATCCCAGGAGTTTAAGTCTAGCCTAGACAACATAGTGAGACTGCACCTCTAAAAAAAAAAATGAAGTAAAAATAATTAGTAAATTAAAATATGGAATTTTTTTTTAACTCCTAGTTCCCGTTCTCCACCTGGAGATTCAAAATTGGTATGGCAGAGGAACCCAAGAGTCTGTATTTTTTACAATTTCCAGTGGGGGAGTGGTGGTATTAAAATATATTACATGCTTGTAAAACAGAGATGAGTACAAAAGGTCTTTCTTTTCCAAAGATAATTGGTACCAGAAAAGGCCCTCTTAGAATGAATCCATTAAAGATAGAGATGTAGATTCCATAGTGAAAGAGTGAAAGAAAAAGACTTGATTTGAACTTTATATTGAAAAAAATTCAACCCAAACTTATAAAAATGAATTTATCTTATATTTAACACGTTAGGTTACAACTGCAAGTATGTGCTAATTCTGGTAACTCAAATGTTGTTTTGGAGGAGGGACATAATTTTTTATATGGCTCATTATCCTTCACTGTGCATTTGATTTTTGCTGCAGGGTCTTACTTGCAAAAGTTTTGGAGGCGTTTATCTAGTTTTCCCAAAGACCTCTCTTAATCCTTTGAAATCAGATTATTTCTCTTTGATGTATTGATGTCAACATCGTTCTCATTGTTTTTCTCTTTTTCATTTGTTATCTGGTCCAACTCTGTGAAGTCCTCCTTTATTAATGACTTTGCATGTGGATCCAGCAGTTTACTAACATCAATTTCAAGATCATGAAATTCCACATCTTTTGTAAATTTGCACTTTTAATTTGCAATAGATTTCAGTTGTATTTGAGGGCTAGATATTTCCAAATGAATGACAAGGATTTTGATAGAAGTGGGTATAGGCACTAAGGTTAAAAGATTGGACAATTTAAGTGGGGAACAATTTCACAAGTTGTCATTTCATCAATGAATATTTCCTGTTTTGAAGACTTTTACTTCCTAAGAAACCTCCTAACAGAGTTTATCAGGTCATGGGTTACAAGGACAAAGTATATGTACCTGTGTTTGGCTGGAAGAAGGGGGATGATGTGGTGAAGTGAAGAAGGAATGCAAATGGGAAGGGGTGGTTAAGTTATGTGGATAGGGCAGGGTTTTGGGGAACAGAAGATGAATAGGTGGATATAGAAACTGTAAGAAAGGTGCATCAAGAAAGCACTGTATTGTCTTGCTTTTTCCTCTATAGAATACAATATTACAACAATCTTGCCATCTGAAGAGGCAAACAAAGTGTATGCAGCCAAAATATGTAGGAAAAAATATAGAGGTATATCAGAAAATTAATACAAATATTTTATTATTTCTTTTATATATTTCATTTTGTGATGTTTATGTTTTAAATTTGTAATTTATTGTGATTTTTCTCATTTATATCTAATTGTATTTGTAGTTTTGTGTAATTTTTCTTAAAGAAGACTCCTCCAAAACCTGGATCTTCCTCAAACCTGGATCTTCTTGTTAGTTTTATTAAGGTTGCAAGGAAGAGACAGAGAGTACTATGTGAATTAATTTAATTGGCAAGGAGATCCAGGAACATGGGGTAGCAAGGACAGTCATCTCTTTGGTTGTATAGCCAACCTGGGACCTTGCCTCCCAATATTGGAATGAACAGCAGCCCTAAGGGAGAATAAGAACAATATTTTAGGGTTTTCAGGGTCCTACTTGAGCTTAATAACCCACTTTCTATTTGTTTACCTAGCACTTACTCTTCCTCCAAAAGAAGACATACTGGGTCCATTTGAAACTTCAATCTAGATTGCCCCAAAGCACCACATGGGAGGTTGGCTTTCATTGTATCCAACTCCTCTGTAGTTCTGTTGACTTGGGCAGTGTCCTGATCAGTCATGAATAAGCATACAACTGTTTTCACCCAATAGGTACACCTAAGTCACAGAAGTTTATGATATTTAGAAAAGACCCACCTAGGACTACTTTCTTTCTAAGTGGTAATGTATCCAGCAGGCACTTTGAGAATACAAGGAGTGTCCATGACAAACATATGTTACTTTTATGTGTTTTTACTATGGCTTTGTAATATCTTGTTATTTCATGGGGCAAATCCCTCTGTTTTATCATAGTTCAAAATTGTCTAAGCTACGTTTTTTCCTCTTCTCTTTCAGGTGAATTTTAGAGTTAAGTTATCAAGTCCTATAAAAAATCCATTGAAATTTTTATTGGAATTGCACTAAATTTATAGCTTGACTTGGGGAGAATAGGCATCTTTGTAAATATTGTATCTTCCCATCCATGATCATTAGTCAGGTCTCCTTTTATGTCCTTCAATCATGTTTTGTAACTTTCTCCATAAAGAACTCTTGCCTCTCTAATACAGTAATAGATTTTTATTGCTGCTGTTGTTTACTTTTCCGATTACATCTTCCAATTGGTTATTGCTGGGATATGGGAATATTATTGATTTTTATATACTTATCTTGGAATCAGTAACCTTGTTAAAATTTTTATTAGTCCCATTAGCTTTTCTTTACATTCTTTAGGATTCGTCTATGTAGTCAGTCATATCTCGTGCAAATAGCAGTCTTGCCTTTTCTTTTCCAAGTCTTAAACTTATTTTCTCTCTCTCTCCTATTGCATTCGCTAGGACCTCTAGTACAATGTTGCATAATAGTGGAAATAGGGGGTCTCCTATCTTATTCCCAACTCTAATAGAAAATAATCTGATATTTCACCATCATATATGATGCTTACTATAAGTTTTGACAGAAACCCTTTATTGGGTTAAGAAAATTCCCTTATATTCCTTGGCAAAAGTTTTTTTTTTTAATCATTTATGGGTGTTTAATTGATCAAATGCTATTTCAACATTTTTAAGATCTATTATCTGTTTTTTCTCTATTAGTCTATTAAAAAGGTAGATAGCCTTGGTAAGTTGTTCTGATGTGGAGTTGTTTTGCATTCTGGAATTTACCCTATGTCATGGCTATGATGTATGTTTCTTAATATGCTGATGAATTACATTTCTTAGCATTTTACTTTGAATTTTGTCATTTATGTTTATAGGTGAATTGGCTCTAAATGTTCTTTTTAGCTTATTTTGTTGTCTAGCTTTGTTATTATATTTACATGAATACATGGGATATACTTCTTTCTTTTTTAATGGGGGTAGTATATTTACATGAAATGAGTTGGATAGATTTCTCTCTTTTTTTTTTTTAACTCTCCAAAACAGTTTGTATAAGATAGGGACTATCTATTCGATGAAGGCTTGGTGAATTAACTTGTATAACTGTCTGGGCCTTCCATGTTTTTTTCAGGGGAGCTTTTTGGCTATTATTTTAATGTCTGTAATGGTTGTTGGTTTGTTCAGTTTTTCTCTTCTTGAATTAATTTTGATAATTTATATTTTCTCAAATATCTTGTTTCAAATGTACTGCCATAGAGTTCCTAATCTCATCCCATGAATTTTTTCAATCTCCACTGTCTTTATAATTATGTTCCTCCCTTTACTTCTAATATTATTGATTGCTTTTTCCTTCATCCATTCTGCTAGAGGATTGCCTACTTTGTCTTTTAATAGAACCCATTTTTAAGAAGATTTTATTTTTTAGGGCAGTTTTAGTTTCACAGCAAAATTAAGAGGAAGATACAGAGATTGTCCATATACCACCTGTGCCCCCATATAGACAGCCTCCCCCGTTATCGACATCCTCCACCAGACTAGTACATTTGTTACAATTGATGAACCAACATTGACATCATTATTACCCAAAGTCCATAGTTTACACTGTGGTTCACTCTTGTTGTTACACATTCTATGTATTGGACAAACCTATAATGACACATATCCAATGTTATAGTATCATACAGCGTATTTTCCCTGCCCTAAAAATTACCTGTGCTCTGCATATTCAACCTTCCTCTCACCTTCTCACCAACCTCTGGCAACCACTGATCTTTTTCTCTTTCCATAATCTTGCCTTTTCTAGAATGTCAATAGTTGGAATCCTACAGTATCTGGCCTTTTCAGATTGTCTTCTTTCACTTAGAAATATGCACTTAAGTTTCCTTCATATCTTTTCATGGCTTCATAGCTCATTTCTTTTTAGGGCTGGGTAACATTCCATTGTCTTCATGTACCAAAATTTATTCAGCCATTCACCTACTGAAGGACATCTTGGTTGCTTCTAAGTTTTGGTAATTATGAATAAAACTACTATAAACATCCACTTGCAGGTTTTAGTGTGGACATAAGCTTTCAACTCCTTTAGGTAAATACCAAGGAGCATAACTGCTGAATTGTATGGTAAGAATATGTGTAGTTTTGGCCGGGTGCAGTGGCTCACACCTGTAATCCCAGCACTTTGGGAAGCCAAGACAGGTGGATCACCTGAGGTCAGGAGTTTGAGACCAGCCTGGCCAACATGGTGAAACCCTATCTCTACTAAAAATACAAAAATTAGCCAGGTGTGGTGGCAGGCGCCTGTAATCCTAGCTACTCAGGAGGCTGAGGGACAAGGTTGACTTGAACCCGGGAGACGGAGCTGGCAGTGAGCTGAGATCTCACCACTGCACTCCAGCCTGGGCAACAGAGTTAATCTTTATCTCAAAAAAAAAAAAAGACTATATTTAGTTTTATAAGAAAGCACCAAACTGTCTTCCAAAGTGGCTGTACCATTTTG
Organism: Homo sapiens; assembly: GCF_000001405.40. NCBI lineage: Eukaryota > Metazoa > Chordata > Mammalia > Primates > Hominidae > Homo > Homo sapiens. Next base: position 120,589,059 of record NC_000003.12, on the reverse strand, counting down.
CATTCCCACAAGTGATGAATGAGCATTTCTGTTGCTCCACATTCTCTCCAGCATTTGATGTTGTCAGTGTTCTGATTTTGACAATTCTAATAGGTGTATAGGGGTGGCTCATTGTTGTTTCAATTTGCATTTTCCTGATGATACATGACATGGTGCATCTTTTCATGTGCTTATTTGTCATCTGTGTGTCTTCTTTGGTGAGGTGTCTATTAAGGTCTTGGCCCAGTATTTATTTATTTATATTGTGTTGGCTATTCTGGGTCTTTTGCTGCTCCATATAAACCTTAGAGTCAGATCATTGATATCCACAAAGTAAACTGCTGGAACTTTGGGATTCCATTTTTATTTAGTTAATCACTTCTAATCAATAATTTTTCCTCTCTTCTGCTTTTCTTGCACTTACTCTAATGTCTTTCTTCTAGATTTTTAAACTGAATGCTTTCTCATTCATTTTTGTTTTTATGTTTTATAATACATGCATATTATTCTGTACATTTTATTTAATTACATCTCTACAAGTTATTATTATCATTTTCATTCATATACAGTTCTGAGTATTTGACAGTTTCCAGTATGATTTTTTTCTTAAGTCACAAATTCTTTAGAAATGCATTTTTTGCTCTCCAAAAAATGTTTTAAGTTTTTATTGTTAAATTTCAATTTAATTGCATTATTGTCAGAGAAGCTTGTGTGATATTCCTTTGAAATTTGCTGAGCCTCTCTTTGAGACTTTATCTTTGTTTGCTCTGATTTGGTTTGGCTTTTTTTAAAAACAAGCCATTTTATGGAAATTTAACATACATATAGAAAAATGCAAAAAATATACATATTCTGTTATTAGAAAATGAACTTACCTTGTAATCATACATAGTCAATGTATATAATAGTTCCATGTGAGCTTAAAAAGAATAGATATATTCCATATTTATTGAGTGCAGGGTTAGATCAAGCTTGTTAATTGTGTGGTTTGAATCTCTCATATCTTTATTCATTTTGTCTATTTGATCTATAGAGGTGTATTATAATCTCCCAATGCCATTGTGATTTGTTAATTTCTCCTTGAACAAAATTAGAGTATTCAAGATGAATTGAAGGTGAAATGGAAGCATTTTAGTGGGAATGCCTCTGTGAATTGTTTGTATATAAAGAAAAAGTAACTCATATATAATGCTTTGTTCCCTCTATCCATTCAGTGTGCTGTATACAAACCAGCCAAGAAAAAACATTCTGCCTAAAATATACAGTACACTTAGAAACACATCTGTCATGTAGACATATCCAAAAGCTTATGAATATTACATTTTGCATTCCACTTCTTCAGAGACTGTCTTTTCATCCTAGTGTTAGCATATATCTGTTCTTATTGCTAAAGTCACTTACATAAGCACATATTTGTACTTGAAAGGAACAATAAGTTTCCTACAAAGTGTAAGGTGACATTTTCTTGCACGCTTTCAATTTAATATAAAAGAGAGTTAATCCTCTTAGCTGAGGCTATGTCATGCTTTCTTATTTGTGATAAAGTATAGCCCTATCATCATCTTTTCCCTGGGGAGAGCAGCGGCTTCTTAGTTGATTTTCTTGCATACATCTACTCTTGTCATACTCTCATTCCTTTTCCATACAGCAGCCAGAGTGGCCTTCTTAAATATAAATGATCCTATCACCCCCAATTAACCCTTACCTGACTTACAACACCCAGTGGTGGTCTGCTTCCTGTCTCGTCAGCAGTACTTGTCTCTATGCTCCTCATCACTGTCTGTGCTTCAGACATGCTGGCCTGTCTTCAGTTCCTTCTTTCCACAGGGCCTTTGCACTTACTCTTTGCTCTACCTTAAACACTACACTCTACATTCCTATTCGTCCTTCAGAACTCAATTCTATAGCCCCTTAACTAATCAACAAGGTCGAATCCCTCTACGAACTTTCATAGCGATATAGGCTTCTCCTTCATGGCACTAACTGCAATCCTAATTAGGCATTTTTAAAATTATTTAGTTCATCTCTGCCCCCAACCCCAACAAGATTGCAGGCTCTTTGAAGACCAGGACCACATCAGACTTGGATCTACTGCATCTCGATACTAGCACAGTGTTTGGTACAACGTAGTAGTGATGAATGAATGAATGACTAGTTGCCTTTCTTCACTTCCAAGTAAGTCTATTAAACAAATGTGCCTACACCCCTCTTGCTGCCTCTGCTTTCATCTCACTCTCACCTCCAGGATGTATTCCATACCCACCACCCCTCAACCCATACACACATACAGCCCCCCACCACACACACACACACACACACACTCAAAATTCAAGTCTAACACATTGTCTAGTAATGTAGATTGTGATCAAAGATTTATCTGGATACACAGGAGAGGAGTTATATCACAAAGCAAAATGACTCAATGATGTCTTTTTAGTGTCTCTTATTTGCTTCCTACCAAGTTCTTATCTCTGTAGCAGCAAGAGCTCTTATTCCTCTTCTTCCCCACTCCTTAAGTCTGTTCTGGGAGCCCCACCAGCCAAGCAGCCTCCACCTCCACCTGCCTTTCAAAGTTCACAGAGCTCCAAGTTCATACCCAGCAAAACAAAGCCCAGCCATAGGCCAGGCCATGACTCCCGGGTCCTCAGTTCATAGGGCCACTTGCATTTTTAGAAATTTGGATTGGAACATGTTATCTTTTTTTTTCATATCTTCTTTTGCTTGATAATATTCTTCCCTCCATCAAAGTTATCTTATACCTTCCCTGCTGCCTGTGGCTGACTGAAATCTTATGTCTATCAAGGGCTGCTTCAAATGCCTCATTCTCTGGAAATCTTCCCTTATGGCCCCCAAGTAGAGGTGATTTTTCTCTTCCCTAAATTTGCATCCTACTTATTTTATTCTACTTGGTATTACAGGCAATTTTGTACTTGTTTTTTTCTCCCTCTCCTTAAGAACAATTTCTGTTTCTTACTCCACATGTCTCCTGAAGAAACTGGCCCGGGACTTGGGGTGCATGGCAGGCCCTAATGCTGGTTAGGTTATAAGGAAACTTTTTATATTTTTCTTCCATGTTGGTTTAAGTCTCTTTAAGAAAGCTGCTGAATTTCATGTTCCTAAATGATAGATATTCAATATTTCAATTTCAGAATCAGCTAGAAGAAACCACTAGCCCCTGCCAAGGAATTCTGTAGCTATTGTGGGTGAGTGTAGTATAGCTTTTGGTTTAACAGTCCTAGAGAGATGTTCTCTCTCCAGGTAAAAGGTATCATTGACATTTTTGCCTGGGTTGACTCTGGCTTTCTAAAAATGCAGCACAGGCCTGGCCTCTGAAAGACTATTATTTACAGAATCTAACTCTTATGACTTGTTAAGTATACCAAGGATGGCTAATTAAAAATATTGGCTTATGAATTTAACCTCCTGAGGTCTCCTATCTTTTGGTTCAAGCTTGTCCTCAGCAGAAGCAGGCTGATTCCCAGAAAATCAATTCAGCAGAAGCCAGTTTGTGAATGACCACTTCTTAGAATGGCAAGGTGACCTAGGGCCAACCACAGCAAGCTAAACTGAAGGCTGTGGAATATACCAGACTTTGCTAGACCTATTGCTAGAGTCTGTATTCTGCCATCATTGGTATGATCTTTAGGTGAACAGACTTCTTTTTTTTTCTTTTATGATGGAGTCGTGCTCTGTCGCCCAGGCTAGAGTGCAGTGGCACGATCTTGGCTCACTGCAACCTCCACCTCCTGGGTTCAAGCGATTCTCCTGCCTCAGCCTTCTCAGTAGCTGGGATTGCAGGTGCCTGCCACTGTGCCCGGCTAATTTTTTGTATTTTTAGTAGAGATGGGGTTCCACCATGTTGGCCAGGCTGGTCTTGAACTCCTGACCTCATGATCCACCCACCACGGCCTCCCAAAGTTCTGGGACTACAGGTGTGAGCCAACACACCCAGCCAGGTGAACAGACTTCTTAGTGTTTCATAGTCACCTTGATCAAGGAAAGGGGATGGAGACCCAGTGATGAGGTTTGCTTCATGTGTATATGGCTAACTGAGGGCAGCCAAGACATAACTTAGTATCGCTTGCTCAGAGTTTCTTCCAAACTATACTTAAATTCTCAACATGAAGTATCTTTAACTTCTTTTATTCTTATAAGCATTACCCTGGATTAAACAAGGATAAAAAGTAAAATGAAGTTCTTTGGGGGTTTTAAACCATTTTTTCCATTCCAAAAGTAATACATTTCATTATAGGAAAATTTTAAAATAGAATGAAAAATTAAAATATTTGAAACCCATCTTTCAGCAGCCTAAGGACAATCACATAACATTTTTGACATTTTTTTCTTCCAATCTTTTTTCCACAGAGAGGATGTTTTAGAAAATTGTAATTATCCTATATGTATTTTTTCTTTTTTTTATTTATTTTTATTTTATTATTATTATACTTTAAGTTTTAGGGTACATGTGCACAATGTGCAGGTTAGTTACATATGTATACATGTGCCATGCTGGTGTGCTGCACCCATTAACTCATCATTTAGCATTAGGTATATCTCCTAATGCTAACCCTCCCCCTTCCCCCGACCCCACAACAGTCCCCAGAGTGTGATGTTCCCCTTCCTGTGTCCATGTGTTCTCATTGTTCAATTCCCACCTATGAGTGAGAACAAGCGGTGTTTGGTTTTTTGTCCTTGCGATAGTTTACTGAGAATGATGATTTCCAATTTCATCCATGTCCCTACAAAGGACATGAACTCATCATTTTTTATGGCTGCATAGTATTCCATGGTGTATATGTGCCACATTTTCTTAATCCAGTCTATCCTTGTTGGATATTTCGGTTGGTTCCAAGTCTTTGCTATTGTGAATAGTGCTGCAATAAACATACGTGTGCATGTGTCTTTATAGCAGCATGATTTATAGTCCTTTGGGTATATACCCAGTAACGGGATGGCCGGGTCAAATGGTATTTCTAGTTCTAGATCCCTGAGGAATCGCCACACTGACTTCCACAATGGTTGAACTAGTTTACAGTCCCAACAACAGTGTAAAAGTGTTCCTATTTCTCCACATCCTCTCCAGCACCTGTTGTTTCCTGACTTTTTAATGATTGCCATTCTAACTGGTGTGAGATGATATCTCATAGTGGTTTTGATTTGCATTTCTCTGATTGCCAGTGATGGTGAGCATTTTTTCATGTGTTTTTTGGCTGCATAAATGTCTTCTTTTGAGAAGTGTCTGTTCATGTCCTTTGCCCACTTTTTGATGGGGTTGTTTGTTTTTTTCTTGTAAATTTGTTTGAGTTCATTGTAGATTCTGGATATTAGCCCTTTGTCAGATGAGTAGGTTGCAAAAATTTTCTCCCATTTTGTAGGTTGCCTGTTCATTCTGATGGTAGTTTCTTTTGCTGTGCAGAAGCTCTTTAATTTAATTAGATCCCATTTGTCAATTTTGGCTTTTGTTGCCATTGCTTTTGGTGTTTTAGACATGAAGTCCTCGCCCATGCCTATGTCCTGAATGGTAATGCCTAGGTTTTCTTCTAGGGTTTTTCTGGTTTTAGGTCTAATGTTTAAGTCTTTAACCCATCTTGAATTAATTTTGTATAAGGTGTAAGGAAGGGATCCAGTTTCAGCTTTCTACATATGGCTAGCCAGTTTTCCCAGCACCATTTATTAAATAGGGAATCCTTTCCCCATTGCTTGTTTTTCTCAGGTTTGTCAAAGATCAGATAGTTGCAGATATGTGGCGTTATTTCTGAGGGCTCTGTTCTGTTCCATTGATCTATATCTCTGTTTTGGTACCAGTACCATGCTGTTTTGGTTACTATAGCCTTGTAGTATAGTTTGAAGTCAGGTAGCGTGATGCCTCCAGCTTTGTTCTTTTGACTTAGGATTGACTTGGCGATGGGGGCTCTTTTTTGGTTCCATATGAACTTTAAAGTAGTTTTTTCCAATTCTGTGAAGAAAGTCATTGGTAGCTTGATGGGGATGGCATTGAATCTATAAATTACCTTGGGCAGTATGGCCATTTTCATGATGTTGATTCTTCCTACACATGATCATGGAATGTTCTTCCATATATTTGTATCCTCTTTTATTTCATTGAGCAGTGGTTTGTAGTTTTCCTTGAAGAGGTCCTTCACATCCCTTGTAAGTTGGATTCCTAGGTATTTTATTCTCTTTGAAGCAATTGTGAATGGGAGTTCACTCATGATTTGGCTGTCTGTTTGTCTGTTATTGGTGTATAAGAATGCTTGTGATTTTTGTACATTGATTTTGTATCCTGAGACTTTGCTGAAGTTGCTTATCAGCTTAAGGAGATTTTGGGCTGAGACGATGGGGTTTTCTAGATATACAATCATGTCATCTGCAAACAGGGATAATTTGACTTCCTCTTTTCCCAGTTGAATACCCTTTATTTCCTCCTCCTGCCTGAATGCCCTGGCCAGAACTTCCAACACTATGTTGAATAGGAGTGGTGAGAGAGGGCATCCCTGTCTTGTGCCAGTTTTCAAAGGGAATGCTTCCAGTTTTTGCCCATTCAGTATGATATTGGCTGTGGGTTTGTCATAGATAGCTCTTATTATTTTGAGATATGTCCCATCAATACCTAATTTATTGAGAGTTTTTAGCATGAAGGGTTGTTGAATTTTGTCAAAGGTTTTTTCTGAATCTATTGAGATAATCATGTGGTTTTTGTCTTTGGTTCTGTTTATATGCTGGATTACATTTATTGATTTGCGTATATTGAACCAGCCTTCCATCCCAGGGATGAAGCCCACTTGATCATGGTGGATAAGCTTTTTGATGTGCTGCTGGATTCGGTTTGCCAGTATTTTACTGAGGATTTTTGCATCAATGTTCCTCAAGGATATTGGTCTAAAATTTTCTTTTTTGGTTGTGTCTCTGCCTGGCTTTGGTATCAGGATGATGCTGGCTTCATAAAATGAGTTAGGGAGGATTCCTTCTTTTTCTATTGATTGGAATAGTTTCAGAAGGAATGGTACCAGTTCCTCCTTGTACCTCTGGTAGAATTCGGCTGTGAATCCATCTGGTCCTGGACTCTTTTTCGTCGGTAAGCTATTGATTATTGCCACAATTTCAGAGCCTGTTATTGGTCTATTCAGAGATTCAACTTCTTCCTGGTTTAGTCTTGGGAGGGTGTATGTGTTGAGGAATTTATCCATTTCTTCTAGATTTTCTAGTTTATTTGTGTAGAGGTGTTTGTAGTATTCTCTGATGGTAGTTTGTATTTCTGTGGGATCGGTGGTGATATCCCCTTTATCATTTTTTATTGCATCTATTTGATTCTTCTCTCTTTTCTTCTTTATTAGTCTTGCTAGTAGTCTATCAATTTTGTTGATCTTTTCAAAAAACCAGCTCCTGGATTCATTATTTTTTGAAGGGTTTTTTGTGTCTCTATTTCCTTTAGTTCTGCTCTGAGTTTAGTTGTTTCTTGCCTTCTGCTAGCTTTTGAATGTGTTTGCTCTTGCTTTTCTAGTTCTTTTAATTGTGATGTTAGGGTGTCAATTTTGGATCTTTCCTGCTTTCTCTTGTGGGCATTTAGTGCTATAAATTTCCCTCTACACACTGCTTTGAATGTGTCCCAGAGATTCTGGTATGTTGTGTCTTTGTTTTCGTTGGTTTCAAAGAACATCTTTATTTCTGCCTTCATTTCCTTATGTACCCAGTAGTCATCCAGGAGCAGGTTGTTCAGTTTCCATGTAGCTGAGCAGTTTTGAGTGAGATTCTTAATCCTGAGTTCTAGTTTGATTGCACTGTGGTCTGAGAGACAGTTTGTTATAATTTCTGTTCTTTCACATTTGCTGAGGAGAGCTTTACTTCCAGCTATGTGGTCAATTTTGGAATAGGTGTGGTGTGGTGCTGAAAAAAATGTATATTCTGTTGATTTGGGGTGGAGAGTTCTGTAGATGTCTGTTAGGTCTGCTTGGTGCAGAGCTGAGTTCAATTCCTGGATATCCTTGTTAACTTTCTGTCTCGTTGATCTGTCTAATGTTGACAGTGGGGTGTTAAAGTCTCCCATTATTATTGAGTGGGAGTCTAAGTCTCTTTGTAGGTCACTCAGGACTTGCTTTATGAATCTGGGTGCTCCTGTATTGGGTGCATATATATTTAGGATAGTTAGCTCTTCTTGTTGAAGTGATCCCTTTACCATTATGTAATGGCCTTCTTTGTCTCTTTTGATCTTTGTTGGTTTAAAGTCTGTTTTGTCAGAGACTAGGATTGCAACCCCTGCCTTTTTTTGTTTTCCATTTGCTTGGTAGATCTTCCTCCATCCTTTTTTTTTTTTTTTTTTTCTTTCAATTCATTTTAATTATTAATAGACAACAGGAAACCAATTGAGGCTTCCAATAAGTTACTGTGTATTAAACCATGGTTGAAAACTTCAAGATAAGATGGGATTCTTAGAAGCAGCGAAATAAAAAACAGATTATGTTAGATTACACTTTATATTATCTGCTGTGACAGTTACAGAAATATTAGTAAAAGGTCAATCAAATCAAGTCTTGTTGTGGTTGTTAAAATGAATAAACTTATAATAGATGTAGTAAGAAATTTTTATATCTAGGGAAACATACGAATTAAGTTTAATATACACCGTCATCATTAAACATCTATGAAATATGTTTTTGAATTACAATAATAAGAGCCATGTACATTCTTAAAATATTTTGGACAAAGGAATAGTACAATAGTAAAGTTGCTTTTCCCTCTTGGGTAATCACTATGTAGAAGCAATATGATGTGTTCCAGTGAATCCTCTAAATTTCCAGAAGGAACGAAGTCATTTACCTCTTGTCTTCATTAGGTAGCAGCACATTATAGCATCATGAACACTAGGGACCAATAATCAATGGCTCTTGTCAGTATAGTAACTCCTTTCTTTGTCTGCCAGTCTGCCAGCATGAAGATCCCAAAATGACCATGCAGCTGCTCAGTTTGGATTTGGTGGAACCTTTAACAAGGATGCTGGTAGAATAGCTTTCCCCACCCCTACTCCAGGAACTGGGACCTTTAGTCCAGAAAAGCCTAAAGTTGTAGTAATGAAATCACTAATTCTCCCACAGATAACTGCAAATTATAATTAGAAATGCTAATCCTAATTTCACCATTTCAGTCCCAGACTCATGTTTTCTAACTGCTAAGTACACAGTCTTATATAATGGCCATTAGTTAAATAATATACTTTACCTTGAAGCCTTGAAGGACAATGTCCCCATCTCAGAGATGTCACTTCCAAGTTGGTGCTTAGCTCTGCCCTCAGGAGACCACATGATGTATGGTAGAAACAGTACATTCCTTGGTTATTTATCATTGTCACCCCTCCTTCTGAAAGTGTGACCCTTGGTCCTAGGAGATGTTTTTCAAGATTTATGAACCTTTGAGTGGTGGTGCTTTGCAAGGTGCTGTGGGAAAGACAGAGAGTTCTATGCCAAGAATAATTCAAGTCGGGGCAAATCACTACTCCTTTTAGTAGGTAAGTGGTCTGATGTTTTCAACTTGCCTCCAAGTGGCTAGTTGGTCTCTTTGGTGGATGGTACCATCATCCGTCAAGTGCTCAACATTGATCTCTGCTTTTGACAGATCTGATATTCAGTAGCAGCAGTACATAGTACTGATTAGCACGAGGGAGCCCATGCTATTTGGCCCATGTGCATTTTTATTATGACACCATAGCTTTTTTATTTTTGAGTTCCGTGCTCAGGCACTGGAGTGTATGAGTACAGAGGCTGACTGAGCTTCCCTTGATGAGTCATCTAGAACCCTTTTTCTCTAATCTTCCAATATTGCTAGTTGCTCTTACCAACCAGCAAAGTCATTTACCACTGTCCGCTATACATTATTCCTTGAGGAAAGTGTCCAGGTGTCCTGTTTTGTTTTTTTTTTTTTTTTTTTTCTTTTTTTTTTTTTTTTATTATACTCTAAGTTTTAGGGTACATGTGCACATTGTGCAGGTTAGTTACATATGTATACATGTGCCATGCTGGTGCGCTGCATCCACTAATGTGTCTCCCAATGCTATCCCTCCCCCCTCCCCCGACCCCACCACAGTCCCCAGAGTGTGATATTCCCCTTCCTGTGTCCATGTGATCTCATTGTTCAATTCCCACCTATGAGTGAGAATATGCGGTGTTTGGTTTTTTGTTCTTGCGATAGTTTACTGAGAATGATGGTTTCCATTTTCATCCATGTCCCTACAAAGGATATGAACTCATCATTTTTTATGGCTGCATAGTATTCCATGGTGTATATGTGCCACATTTTCTTAATCCAGTCTATCATTGTTGGACATTTGGGTTGGTTCCAAGTCTTTGCTATTGTGAATAGTGCCGCAATAAACATACGTGTGCATGTGTCTTTATAGCAGCATGATTTATACTCATCTGGGTATATACCCAGTAATGGGATGGCTGGGTCAAATGGTATTTCTAGTTCTAGATCCCTGAGGAATCGCCACACTGACTTCCACAATGGATGAACTAGTTTACAGTCCCACCAACAGTGTAAAAGTGTTCCTATTTCTCCGCATCCTCTCCAGCACCTGTTGTTTCCTGACTTTTTAATGATTGCCATTCTAACTGGTGTGAGATGATATCTCATAGTGGTTTTGATTTGCATTTCTCTGATGGCCAGTGATGATGAGCATTTCTTCATGTGTTTTTTGGCTGCATAAATGTCTTCTTTTGAGAAGTGTCTGTTCATGTCCTTCGCCCACTTTTTGATGGGGTTGTTTGTTTTTTTCTTGTAAATTTGTTTGAGTTCATTGTAGATTCTGGATATTAGCCCTTTGTCAGATGAGTAGGTTGCGAAAATTTTCTCCCATGTTGTAGGTTGCCTGTTCACTCTGATGGTAGTTTCTTTTGCTGTGCAGAAGCTCTTTAGTTTAATTAGATCCCATTTGTCAATTTTGTCTTTTGTTGCCATTGCTTTTGGTGTTTTGGACATGAAGTCCTTGCCCACGCCTATGTCCTGAATGGTAATGCCTAGGTTTTCTTCTAGGGTTTTTATGGTTTTAGGTTTAACGTTTAAATCTTTAATCCATCTTGAATTGATTTTTGTATAAGGTGTAAGGAAGGGATCCAGTTTGAGCTTTCTACATATGGCTAGCCAGTTTTCCCAGCACCATTTATTAAATAGGGAATCCTTTCCCCATTGCTTGTTTTTCTCAGGTTTGTCGAAGATCAGATAGTTGTAGATATGCGGCATTATTTCTGAGGGCTCTGTTCTGTTCCATTGATCTATATCTCTGTTTTGGTACCAGTACCATGCTGTTTTGGTTACTGTAGCCTTGTAGTATAGTTTGAAGTCAGGTAGTGTGATGCCTCCAGCTTTGTTCTTTTGGCTTAGGATTGACTTGGCAATGCGGGCTCTTTTTTGGTTCCATATGAACTTTAAAGTAGTTTTTTCCAATTCTGTGAAGAAAGTCATTGGTAGCTTGATGGGGATGGCATTGAATCTGTAAATTACCTTGGGCAGTATGGCCATTTTCACGATATTGATTCTTCCTACCCATGAGCATGGAATGTTCTTCCATTTGTTTGTGTCCTCTTTTATTTCCTTGAGCAGTGGTTTGTAGTTCTCCTTGAAGAGGTCCTTCACATCCCTTGTAAGTTGGATTCCTAGGTATTTTATTCTCTTTGAAGCAATTGTGAATGGGAGTTCACCCATGATTTGGCTCTCTGTTTGTCTGTTGTTGGTGTATAAGAATGCTTGTGATTTTTGTACATTGATTTTGTATCCTGAGACTTTGCTGAAGTTGCTTATCAGCTTAAGGAGATTTTGGGCTGAGACGATGGGGTTTTCTAGATAAACAATCATGTCGTCTGCAAACAGGGACAATTTGACTTCCTCTTTTCCTAATTGAATACCCTTTATTTCCTTCTCCTGCCTGATTGCCCTGGCCAGAACTTCCAACACTATGTTGAATAGGAGTGGTAAGAGAGGGCATCCCTGTCTTGTGCCAGTTTTCAAAGGGAATGCTTCCAGTTTTTGCCCATTCAGTATGATATTGGCTGTGGGTTTGTCATAGATAGCTCTTATTATTTTGAAATACGTCCCATCAATACCTAATTTATTGAGAGTTTTTAGCATGAAGGGTTGTTGAATTTTGTCAAAGGCTTTTTCTGCATCTATTGAGATAATCATGTGGTTTTTGTCTTTGGCTCTGTTTATATGCTGGATTACATTTATTGATTTGCGTATATTGAACCAGCCTTGCATCCCAGGGATGAAGCCCACTTGATCATGGTGGATAAGCTTTTTGATGTGCTGCTGGATTCGGTTTGCCAGTATTTTATTGAGGATTTTTGCATCAATGTTCATCAAGGATATTGGTCTAAAATTCTCTTTTTTGGTTGTGTCTCTGCCCGGCTTTGGTATCAGAATGATGCTGGCCTCATAAAATGAGTTAGGGAGGATTCCCTCTTTTTCTATTGATTGGAATAGTTTCAGAAGGAATGGTACCAGTTCCTCCTTGTACCTCTGGTAGAATTCGGCTGTGAATCCATCTGGTCCTGGACTCTTTTTGGTTGGTAAACTATTGATTATTGCCACAATTTCAGAGCCTGTTATTGGTCTATTCAGAGATTCAACTTCTTCCTGGTTTAGTCTTGGGAGAGTGTATGTGTCGAGGAATGTATCCATTTCTTCTAGATTTTCTAGTTTATTTGCGTAGAGGTGTTTGTAGTATTCTCTGATGGTAGTTTGTATTTCTGTGGGATCGGTGGTGATATCCCCTTTATCATTTTTTATTGTGTCTATTTGATTCTTCTCTCTTTTTTTCTTTATTAGTCTTGCTAGCGGTCTATCAATTTTGTTGATCCTTTCAAAAAACCAGCTCCTGGATTCATTGATTTTTTGAAGGGTTTTTTGTGTCTCTATTTCCTTCAGTTCTGCTCTGAGTTTAGTTGTTTCTTGCCTTCTGCTAGCTTTTGAATGTGTTTGCTCTTGCTTTTCTAGTTCTTTTAATTGTGATGTTAGGGTGTCAATTTTGGATCTTTCCTGCTTTCTCTTGTGGGCATTTAGTGCTATAAATTTCCCTCTACACACTGCTTTGAATGTGTCCCAGAGATTCTGGTATGTTGTGTCTTTGTTTTCGTTGGTTTCAAAGAACATCTTTATTTCTGCCTTCATTTCGTTATGTACCCAGTAGTCATTCAGGAGCAGGTTGTTCAGTTTCCATGTAGTTGAGCGGCTTTGAGTGAGATTCTTAATCCTGAGTTCTAGTTTGATTGCACTGTGGTCTGAGAGATAGTTTGTTATAATTTCTGTTCTTTTACATTTGCTGAGGAGAGCTTTACTTCCAACTATGTGGTCAATTTTGGAATAGGTGTGGTGTGGTGCTGAAAAAAATGTATATTCTGTTGATTTGGGGTGGAGAGTTCTGTAGATGTCTGTTAGGTCTGCTTGGTGCAGAGCTGAGTTCAATTCCTGGGTATCCTTGTTGACTTTCTGTCTCGTTGATCTGTCTAATGTTGACAGTGGGGTGTTAAAGTCTCCCATTATTAATGTGTGGGAGTCTAAGTCTCTTTGTAGGTCACTCAGGACTTGCTTTATGAATCTGGGTGCTCCTGTATTGGGTGCATAAATATTTAGGATAGTTAGCTCCTCTTGTTGAATTGATCCCTTTACCATTATGTAATGGCCTTCTTTGTCTCTTTTGATCTTTGTTGGTTTAAAGTCTGTTTTATCAGAGACTAGGATTGCAACCCCTGCCTTTTTTTGTTTTCCATTGGCTTGGTAGATCTTCCTCCATCCTTTTATTTTGAGCCTATGTGTGTCTCTGCACGTGAGATGGGTTTCCTGAATACAGCACACTGATGGGTCTTGACTCTTTATCCAATTTGCCAGTCTGTGTCTTTTAATTGGAGCATTTAGTCCATTTACATTTAAAGTTAATATTGTTATGTGTGAATTTGATCCTGTCATTATGATGTTAGCTGGTTATTTTGCTCGTTAGTTGATGCAATTTCTTCCTAGCCTCGACGGTCTTTACAATTTGGCATGATTTTGCTGTGGCTGGTACCGGTTGCTCCCTTCCATGTTTAGTGCCTCCTTCAGGAGCTCTTTTAGGGCAGGCCTGGTGGTGACAAAATCTCTCAGCATTTGCTTCTCTGTAAAGGATTTTATTTCTCCTTCACTTATGAAGCTTAGTTTGGTTGGATATGAAATTCTGGGTTGAAAACTCTTTTCTATAAGAATGTTGAATATTGGCCCCCACTCTCTTCTGGCTTGTAGAGTTTCTGCTGAGAGATCCACTGTTAGTCTGATGGGCTTCCCTTTGTGGGTAACCTGACCTTTCTCTCTGGCTGCCCTTAACATTTTTTCCTTCATTTCAACTTTGGTGAATCTGACAATTATGTGTCTTGGAGTTGCTCTTCTCGAGGAGTATCTTTGTGGCGTTCTCTGTATTTCCTGAATCTGAATGTTGGCCTGCCTTGCTAGATTGGGGAAGTTCTCCTGGATAATATCCTGCAGAGTGTTTTCCAACTTGTTTCCATTCTCCCCATCACTTTCAGGTACACCAATCAGACGTAGATTTGGTCTTTTCACATAATCCCATATTTCTTGTAGGCTTTGTTCATTTCTTTTTATTCTTTTTTCTCTAAACTTCCCTTCTCGCTTCATTTCATTCATTTCAGCTTCCATCACTGATACCCTTTCTTCCAGTTGATCGCGTCGGCTCCTGAGGCTTCTGCATTCTTCACGTAGTTCTCGAGCCTTGGCTTTCAGCTCCATCAGCTCCTTTAAGCACTTCTCTGTATTGGTTATTCTCGTTATACATTGGTCTAAATTTTTTTCAAAGTTTTTAACTTCTTTGCCTTTGGTTTGAATTTCCTCCTGTAGCTCAGAGTAGTTTGATCATCTGAAGCCTTCTTCTCTCAACTTGTCAAAGTCATTCTCCATCCAGCTGTGTTCCGTTGCTGGTGAGGAGTTGCATTCCTTTGGAGGAGGAGAGGCACTCTGCTTTTTAGAGTTTCCAGTTTTTCTGCTCTGTTTTTTCCCCATCTTTGTGGTTTTTATCTACTTTTGGTCTTTGATGATGGTGATGTACAGATGGGTTTTTGGTGTGGATGTCCTTTCTGTTTGTTAGTTTTCCTTCTAACACACAGGACCCTCAGCTGCAGCTCTGTTGGAGTTTGCTAGAGGTCCACTCCAGACCCTGGTTGCCTGGGTAACAGCAGCGGTGGCTGCAGAACAGCGGATTTTCATGAACCGCGAATGCTGCTGTCTGATCGTTCCTCTGGAAGTTTTGTCTCAGAGGAGTACCCAGCCGTGTGAGGTGTCAGTCTGCCCCTACTGGGGGGTCCCTCCCAGTTACACTGCTCGGGGGTCAGGGGTCAGGGACCCACTTGAGGAGGCAGTCTGCCCATTCTCAGATCTCCAGCTGTGTGCTGGGAGAACCACTGCTTTCTTCAAAGCTGTCAGACAGGGACATTTAAGTCTGAGGAGGTTACTGCTGTCTTTTTGTTTGTCTGTGCCCTGCCCCCAGAGGTGGAGCCTACAGAGGCAGGCAGGCCTCCTTGAGCTGTGGTGGGCTCCACCCAGTTGGAGCTTCCCGGCTGCTTTGTTTACCTAAGCAAGCCTGGGCAATGGCGGCCGCCCCTTCCCCAGCCTCGCTGCCACCTTGCAGTTTGATCTCAGACTGCTGTGCCAGCAATCAGTGAGACTCTGTGGGCGTAGGACCCTCCGAGCCATGTGCGGGATATAATCTCCTGGTGTGCCGTTTTTTAAGCCCGTTGGAAAAGCACAGTATTCGGGTGGGAGTGACCCGATTTTCCAGGTGCCGTCTGTCACCCCTTTCTTTGACTAGGAAAGGGAACTCCCTGACCCCTTGTGCTTCCCAAGTGAGGCAATGCCTCACCCTGCTTCGGCTTGTGCACGGTGTGCTGCACCCACTGTCCCGCGCCCACTGTCTGGCACTCCCTTGTGAGATGAACACGGTACCTCAGATGGAAATGCAGAAATCACCCGTCTTCTGCGTCGCTCATGCTGGGAGCTATGGACCGGAGCTGTTCCTATTCGGCCATCTTGACTGCCCTTATCCTATATGTATTCTATATTCTGCTTTTTCAGTTAAATTTTTTAAATAAACAGTTTTCCATAATCTTTATTATGGATAATAACATCCATAAACTATGGACATGTAATACTCCAACAGTAGGAAATAATTATAATTTACTTAGTTATCTCCTTTGCTTGACTTTAAGGTTGGTTTTTTTTTTTTTTTTGAGACAGCATCTCCCTCTGTCACCCAGGCTGGAGTCCAGTGGTGCAATCTTGGGTCACTGCAACCTCTGCCTCCTGGGTTCAAGTGACTCTCCTGCCTCAGCCTCCCAAGTAGCTGGGATTACAGGCACCCGTCACCACACCCGTCTAATTTTTATATTTTTAGTAGAGACGGGGTTTTGCCATGTTGGTCAGGCTTGTCTTGAACTCCTCACCTCAGGTGATCCACCCGCCTTGACCTCCCAAAGCGCTGGGATTACAGGCATGAGCCGCCGGCCCCAGCCTTAAGATTGGTTTTCTAAAAAGCATCAGTAAGTACTTAGATAAGGAAACACCACTTTTTAAAGCATTTTATGTTTGCTTATGGAATTATATGCTTTTTTACAGTTCCATTTATCTTTGCTTTTCACCCAGTTGCTCTTCTAGGTGTTGTGCCCACCTCCACCCTTCCTGTCAAACCCTGCCAATGCCTCAAGGCTTTGGAGGAAACGGACACAATGCTTTCCTGACAGTTCTCACTTAGTCTATGAACTCTATCACCCTATTGTCCCTGCCCAAGGAGGCATGCTGTTGATTTTTGTTGGTTTAAGCTTGTCCTCAGCAGAAGCAGGCTGATTCCCAGAAAGTCAATTCTGCTGAAGCCAGTTTGTGAATGACCACTTCTTGGAATGGCAAGGTGACCTAAGGTCAACCACAGCAAACTAGACTGAAGGCTGTGGAATATACCAGACTTTGGAGTCAGATACATGGAACGTCAAACCTGGGCCCTTCTCCCAATGCCCCTGGAATTGATTACTCTATGGTCTATAGGCAGAAAACCTGACCTCTCCAGCCTGAGTTCCTTCATCTTTGAAATGGGTGCCTAGAGAGCGTTTTGGAGATAAAATGACAGCATGCACACAAAGGCCCTGATGTGGGACCATCGTGGTAAGGCATGATGGAGGGTCATGAGATGCCTTCTTATGCTCTGGAAAATGGTGGAAGGAATCACATGGTTGGCAAAAACATATGAAATTCTACATCTGAATCTTGGTTTCTTCTCTCTTTTAAAATCCAGCTCCTCACAAGTCTATTTTTTGAAAGAACCAGCCTCCTTTTCTTCTAAATATTCTAAATATATGAAATCCAACCAAAGTTTCAAAACACACTTTTGTGGTTGTTCTTTCACAGGTGTTAAAGACAATTGGATAAGATATCCTGCCAAGAGCATCTTAAAAATACCAGGGTAACTTCTTTTTTTTTTTGTTATGGAAACTTCCCACACACAAAAGTAGAGGAAATGGTATAATGGACCCACTGTATTCATTCTCCAGCTTTTATCATTTTAAATATTTTTCCATGTTGTTTTATCCATCCCCCTAGATATACCCTTCATTTTTCTTTTTGCTGGATTATTTGAAAGCAGTCCCTCACAGTGTTTTATATTATCCATTAAATACTTTGGCATGTATTTCTAACAGTTAAGGAGGTTTTTTTCTACATAACCACAATGCTATTATCACACGTAACAAAAGTATCAATAATCTCAGGAGCATTTTAAAAATAGTGTTCTGGAAAAAGCAAGCCAAATAAGTGAGTAATAGAGAATTTCAAGCCCTATGGTAAGAGGTTTGGGAAGATGCTTTTGGCAAAGGGGGCACTTTCATTTTTGCAAATGACATCACAGAGCCAGATGTCACTTTCTCCTACATATCCAAAATTGGATTTACTTTCTTACCCCTGAAATGTATTCTCTAGTTCAGTGTAAGGCATCAGTATCCACCCAGGAGCTTAAGCCAGAGACTCAGAATTCTTGTAGAGTCTTTTCTCTCCCTCCTTTCTCTCTTACCCCTCCATTTAACCAGTTTTTTAAAATCGTGATAACATTTAACACGAGATCTACCTTCTTAACAAAATATTAAGTGTACAATACATTATTGTTGACTATAGGTACAAGGTTGTACAACAGCTCCCCAGAGCTTATTTATTTTGCTTGACTGAGACACAATGCTCATTGTTAGTGATTCCCCATTTCCTCTTCTTCCCAGCCCTGGCTACCACCATTCTATGATTCTATTAATTTGAATCATAGATACTTCATCTTAGATATTTCATATAAGTGGAGTCATGCAATATTTGCCTTTCAGTGACTGGCTTATTTCACTTAGTGTAATGTCCTTAAGGTTCATCTGTATTGTTACACATTGCCAAATTTCCTTTTTAAGGCTGAATAATATTCCGTTGTATGTATGTACCACATTTTCTTTTTATCCATTAATCTGTTGATGGACATTTAAGTTGTTTTCACATCTTGGCTATTGTGAATAGTGCTGCAGTGAACATGGGTATACTAATATCATTTTGGGATCCTAATTTCAATTCTTTTGGATAAATATCCAGAAGTGGGATTGCTGGATCATATGGTAGTTCTATTTTTAATTTTCTTAGGAACTTCACACTGTTTTCCATAGTGGCTGCACCATTTTGCATTCCTACCAACAGCATATGAGGGTTCCAATTTCCTCCACATCCTCACCACCACTTGTTATCTTTATATATATAACAACCATCCTAGCAGGTGTGAGGTGGTATCTCATTACGGTTTTGATTTGCGTTTTTCTGATGATTGGTGATGTTGAACATTTTCTTATACCTGCTGGCTATTTGTATGTCTTCTTTGGAGAAATGTCTATTCCAGTCCTTAGCCTATTTTTAAAATTAGGGGTTAGTTTTTTTTTAATTACTGCTATTAAATGTAGGAGTTTCTTATTTTGAAGTTCTAAATCTCAGAGTGAATATTTCTCATAGCAACCCCCTCTTCTCCATTCCTACTTCTGTTCCCTTTGTCTAGTGCACATTATCCATCTCGGCACAAAGTACTGAATGGTGTTTTTTTTTCTTTTTTAAATGAGGCTTTTATCATGTTGGCCGGGCTGGTTTTCAACTCGTGGCCTCAAGTGATCCACCCACCTCAGCCTTCTAAAGTGCTGGGATTACAGGAATGAGCCACCACACCGGCTTCTGAATGGTCTTTATCTGGCTTCCTCTGGAAACGAAACCTGAAACATGGATTCTACTATAAATAGTTCATTTGAGAGGTGATCTCAGGAATCCCTGGGAGCTGATTCAGGGAGCAGGACAGGGAAGTGAAAGAAGCCAATAAAGGATGTGTTACTAAGCACTGCCGAGCTCCATGCCACTGAGAAACTCCACTGGAGCTCCACCTCACTGAGAAACTCTGAGACACAGAGTAGAATACGACTTAAGAGTTATCCCAACCAACAGGCAAGGAAGCTGGGGTGTTTACCCATCAACTCTCCTGTTCCTCATTGTTTGAGGGCTGATCTCAGGGACATCAACCCCCCAGCACATCTGGCCTGCACTCCTGCACTGTGTATGGGCTATGCATGCTGCCAAGCCAGAGCACAGAGGGTCACAGGCCTTGGGGGTGTGGGGTGCATACTAATTGGACGTGGGCGGGGCACTGACAGCACCGCTGCATTGCCTCCCTTCTCCCTTTCCCGACAGAGGCCTGGGATAACTTCCCGAGGTGCAAATCTGATTATGACACTCCTCTAGTCAATAAAAGCATATGTGGATGATGCTAAAGACCTACCTTGCTTATTTCACCTGATGCAGGTGACTGGAGTGGTGCCAAGCCATCTGACCCTGGGCACCTTTGGCATACCTTCTGCAGGTGGTCAAAGCTTGGACTGGATTTTCAGTAACGTGAATTAAATGGATAGATAGCTTTATTCATATATTTATAATTAAAATCTGTTTATTTGCAGAACAGGTTGGGAAGGGAAGAGATAAATGATTGCCTGTGGTTTGGGGCCCACTGGTGCAGCCCATCTCCTCTCAACAGCTTTGCTGACCCCTTCTCGACAGTGCAGAGCCTCTCCCCTGTGTTTCTGTCACTGCACCAAAGCCACTCGTGGCAGCACCTTGTTCTTCTTTATGCAGTCACATTATCTGGGAATCTCAATGTGATTTGCAAGCTTACATAACTTCCCAAATGAGTCAGCATGCTCATCAAGAAGGCAGCATGGTGTCGTGGAAAGAACAAGGCATTTGGTGCCAGATAGAACAAGTTCAATTCCTGCATCTGCCACTTCCTAACTGTGTGTCTACACAAGTTATTCTACCTCCCCCAGCCTGTTTCTTCCTCTAACAAATGGAGATGAGAATATCTACCTAGGAGGGTTATTATAAGGATGAAGGGAGGTAAGGAACACTCAGAGTGTGATCAGTGTTTGCTTCTCCCATCCTATATCCTGATTTACACATCTAGCAGCAAATTCTTGAACCTTACTGACATGTAGTGAGTAGAAAATGCTGATTTGTCTTTGTCTGCTTTTAGCACCAGTTAATTTTTGATGAAAGTTTAAATCATGTATTTGTAAAGGAAAAATTGGTCTTGCTCTACTCTGGGCAAAGCAGGCACAGTGCGTGTGAAATAAATCAGCACCAGAAAGGTCTGTGGTGCTCTAGGTAGGGCTGGGCAGGCACAGCCTGGCTCAGGCCTGGCCGGACTGCAGTGGCAGCCAAAGATCACTAGCTTTCAGAGGAAACTTTGGGAGCATGCAGTAAGACAGACAGCCTGAAAAACAAAATATCCAAGAGAGGATGTGGGATCCAATCCGAATAGCTGCTTACCACAGTGGGGAGCGGTTAGGAATGGCATGGTAGAATGCCTTTTGCCAGACAAAGCAGCAGCATACGAATGAGGATGCTGCTGTGCTGGTCAGGGCTGGGGATAGTTCTGGAACTGTTTTTCCTAAGCGGTTAAAGCAAATGCAAGCTTAAAAAAAAAATAAAATCCCTGATCAGCAAATAAGTACTGCTACAAATGTTCTTCCCTGCTGGTCACAACACTATTAGGGCAGGAGTAGCAGACAAGCTCATTTCCAGGATCTTTACAGCCAGCATAATACATAGCTAGCAGTCAGCTGGGGGCAGCAGAGAGAATATTTATAATTTAGAGATGATTGGTTTGCATGTCCGTGGAGCAAAGAGGTAGCTAAAAAAGTAAAGCAAGAGCCGATCTTTAAACTCAGACACCCCAGAATGTTAGAGCTGGAAAAGATCTTTCAGATCATCTAACTGTTCTGGTGATTTTTATATACTAACAACAGCAGAACTTTTCTTTTAAATAAAATCTTATGCAGACTCTCCCCTTTAAAACAAATAAAAGGAGAGCTGCTCTGAGTAGGGGAGGGAGGGAGACAAGGGGGCAGTGTGGTTCTGGGACGGCAGCCTCTGAGCCTTCACTGTAGGTCTCCAGCAGTAGCCCAGAAATACGTCATGGAAATCCTGAGGCCCCACTGACCACAGCTTAGAAACCCCTCATCCAGTCTTAGGCTCACAGAGGGCAGGTGACTGGTCTAGGGTTACTGAGCAGAATTGGGACTAGAGCGCAAACCTCTTGATTTTAAGTTCCTTGCTCTCTGCTAAAAACCATCTCTCCTTCAGAAAAAAAAAAGTATCTGTAAAGATAAAGTTACCTCGTGAAATAGCTTATTAAAGTAAATGAGAAAGCCAGAGGCATCTGAGTGTAAACACTGGCTTTGAAAAGGATCCAATTTTATCTTCTTCTCTGCTGGACCCAAGGGCAGCTTCTTACTACATTTATTTTTAAGGCTTTTAGCGTAACAGTCACAAAATCCAAGGAGATTTACTAAATTAACGGTCACTTAAGCCAGGACGAGTCTAACCAGTTTGTACCTGTTAGAAAACAGAAACTTAAAATAATAGCTTAGTGTTAGAAAAAAAATTATTTTTACTATATTGGCACAATAAGAAAGGAAGGTGAAATGCACGGCAGATGAAGGGGCCAAACCAGAGCTCTCAGGCGCTGGAGCACGAAGCATTTCAGACTCTTGCCTCCGTTTATCGTTTGTGAGAACTCAGACAAGTCACAACGTCTCTGGACCTCAGTGTTTTCAATCTATAAAATGATTAAATCATTAAGGCTATTAAAGGTCAGTATGCAACAGAACTCTGACATAGAACTTCCCAGTGAGCAGGGTCAGCTGGTGCTGTGCCTAATTAACATGCAGCAGAAGTCTCTGTGTCCAAGGCCAAGGGCCTAGTAGTGCAATTAATACAGAAGAGAAAGGAGCGGGAGGAGGGAAGCAGGCAGAGAGGAAAGCAGAGCCTCTCCTTTCATGCTTCAGAGGACAGGACTTTGGTCAGCAGCATCCTGCACATTTATGTGAGGACTATTACCTGGAAGTCCTCTAAATGGCAAGATAAATGGCATGTGCATATGATGAAAAGTCTGTAAGGACATACACCAAAATGCCAACAGTGTTTTTACTGGGTTAAATGTTTATGAATGTCCTTTGCTTTCTTCCTTTCTTCCCTTCTTTCTTCCTTTCTTCCCTTCTTTCTTTCTCTTTCTTTCTTTCTCTCTCTCTCTTTCTTTCTTTTTCTTTCTCTTTCTTTCTTTCTTTTTTTCTTCCTCCCTCCCTCCCTCCTTCCTTCCTTCTTTCTTCATTCCTCTCATCCTTCCTTCTTGCCTTTCTCCTGTGTTTCCTACATTTTGTACCTTACCTATGTATTGCTTGTGTTTTCCCCACCAGAAGGTAAGCTCCATGAGTGCAGGAATTTTTGTTTCTTTTGTTCACTGCTGTATTCCTAGTGCCTAGAACAGTGCCTGGCATTTGGTAGGCACTCAATAAACATTTGTTGAGTAATGAATAATGTGCAATTTAAAAGTGAGAATTTTTTTTTAATTGCAGGCAACACAAATTATGTCTTAAAGCAGTAGTTTTCAATCTTTTTGGACTACAGCCCATGGTAAAAAATATTTTTAAAATTGTGACATCACAGTACATAAATTCACACACACAAATATGACATATATAACAAAGATTTCACAAAGTAATACTTATTATTATAACTTGTGGCGTACTTTGATATTTTAAAATCACTTCTATTTCCATTTTTGAAATACTGACTCACTAAATTTATTTCAAGACTCACTAATAAGTTATGATCTGCAGTTTGAAAATCACTTCCATTGAAAGAGCAGCCACCTGGAAGGTCAGCCATGGTTGCCTTGTAGGGGAAGGCATGGGTGAGAATCTTCCATCTGTTTGCACCTAATCTTTGGAAGATCAAGAGCTTGAAATTAGCAAGGGCAGATGAAGTTGTCCATGGTTACCTGTGTTTCCTAGCTACTCTTCAGAAAGACATTGTGTCTCAGAACCTTGAGTAGAATCATTTAGACAACTCCATCACCGTACAAGAAGAAACTGAGGATTGGGAAAGGAAGAAGGCTTCCTACCACATCCTACATGTGTGAGCTTAATGTTCCTTAAAACAAATATTCTAGTCAACTCCACCCCTGAACATGAAGTAGAGACAAAGAAAACTGGGGCAGGAATCAGAGATTCCAGTTCTTATGATTTGGCCAACCTGCTTTGAAACTCAGTTTCCTCATCTGTAAAATGAGGAATCGGCCATAATGCTATTCAAGACCAGTGCCAGCCCTAAAAGTTGATACTCTAAAAGTAAGACAAACAAATAAGAGTAACAATCTTTGCCAAGCACCTATTATGTACCAGACAATGAGCTAAGTGTTTTACCTATAGCATCTCACTAAACCTCCCAACAACTCTGGGAGAATAGGGTTATTAGCCTTCACAGAGGACGAAACTGAGGCTCAGAGAGGTTAATAACTTGCCCCAAATCAGCAAGTAACAGGGTTGGTTTCTAATTGGGGTCTCTCTGATGTCAACCCCCGTGTTCTCAACTACAACACATACTGTTCCCTAATGGAGTTGCTTTGGGGTTTCCATTTCAAACCCCTGACACATTTGGTCTCCCTTTAAGCTAGGAATGTTCAATTAAAGGTAGTAGTACGTTGTAACAAATGATAAAACGATACCAAGGGGGTATATATAAGGAGAAGGGAAGCAATACTATTTGAATGCAATATTCAAAGCATTTTGTTTATGGTATTCAATTTAATCCTTACAACAACCTTCAAATTTGTTTTTGTTTTTGTTTTCATTTTACAGATGTAAACACAGAAAGGTTTAGTAACCTTTCTTTTTTTTCTTTTTTGAGACGGAGTCTCACTCTGTCACCCAAACTGGAGTGCAGTGGCACGATCTTGGCTCACTGCAACCCCCGCCTCCTGGGCTCAAGCGTTCTACAGCCTCAGCCTCCTGAGTAGCTGGGATTACAGGTGCTCACCACCATGCCCGGCTAATTTTTGTATTTTTAGTAGAGACGGGGTTTCACCACGTTGGCCAGGCTGGTCTCAAACTCCTGACCTTAGGTGATCCGCTCTCACTTTAGCCTCCCAAAGTCCTGGGATTACAGGTGTGAGCCACAGCACCCAGCAGGTTTAGTAACCTTTTAAAGATAACAGGTATTTAGTGTAGCTGTGGGACTGTAAGCTCTCTGAAGATACAGACTGTCTCTCCCATTTGTGCTTTTATTGTCAATGCCTAAAAGAGTGCCTCGTACATTGTAGGTGATCAATACACACTTACTAAAGGCATAACTGAAGGAAGTAACCAGGTTTTAAGCCCAGATCTGCCCAACTCCCAAATCCAATTATTTTCACTGCTGAACTCATATTATTTATTTAAAACAATTGGTATTTAGCCAGTTGTTACTGAGTTCCCATCTCTTGGCCGAATCTATAATTAAGGTAATTTTGTAAGACATAGTTAGAGCTATTCCCTGGCTCCCTAAAATGCGTAACGTTCACCCAGAGGACCAGACTTGGAGAAAAACACAGGACTGGAAAACATGTGATCACACCCTAGTATCATTGCTCTCCCTGATCACCAAGAGCAGTTACAGAACAGAGAGGTTTGTTTTGTTTGGTTTTTAAATCAGTAAACACAAATTTTAAAAGGCCTACTCTTAGGCAGAGTATCTTCATAGTGACAAGGACATAGTGACAAGTGCATCTTCTGGTGCATCTTCTAGGATGTTTCTGCCCAGGAATTGGAGGAAGGCGAGAAATGAGGCATACCAAGCATGCCATAGCAGACGGGTGTGTGCAAGTGTGCCTGAGACATGGCCCTGCTTAAACTCAGCCAGGCAGGTCCAGTGATGGATGAGTGGATGGCTCTGATAAAGAGCAGGCATCTCCTATCTTTCTCATTCAAGGGTAGTTCCTCTCCAATGCACTGACCAAGGCTACACCTGGCCCTGGCTTCGGTCATTCAGGGTACTTCCCCTGCCCTTTGGAGTTGTGTGCTCATCTATTTCTTAATTTCTCCACCTTTTCCAAGTATTTACTAAGGGCTCTCATAGGCCCAACCTACGCAAGGTGCTGTGGTGGCTACTACAGAAGGAACAGAGCACAGGCTTCTTCTGGCCTCTTGGGTGTCACTGGTAATATACTTGGAACTCAAGTGTAACCGTGAAGTTCCCTGGTAGCTGAGCTGGTGACTTAACTATTATCACCTTCCTTGCCACCTCCTGAGAGCTTGGGAAGCCTTTCTTGTTACTGTGGTTTGAAGAGTGTGATTCTCCCTTATTTCCCTGTGCACCTTCTGTCACCATGACATCAGCTCAAATGTGGTCTTCTTGCCTTGAGTGAACCAGCACCCATATTACCAAGGCCAGCATGATCAGAGAGGTGTAAACTCTTTACAGGTGGGTCAGCTGGAGAAGATGCAAGGTCAGTACAGCTTTGTAGATAATTCTCTTTGCTTCCTACACTGAATTTGGCTGCCTCTGTCTTTAACCTGAACTAAACCTACTCTGTTCTCATCCAAAGTGTTTTTTTGGGAGGGGGTAGGGCTGGCTGTCCCAGAAGTCAAATGTTCTCTTTATATTCACCTTGTTTCCTGCTCTGAGTTTCCTTCTGTAGTGTCTGTTAATGCCTGTTTTGGTCCAAATCTTTTTTTTTTTTTTTTTTTTTTTGTTTTTTGAGACAGAGTCTTGCTCTGTCACCCAGGCTGGAGTGCAGTGGCACGATCTCGGCTCACTGCAAGCTCTGCCTCCTGGGTTCACGCCATTCTCCTGCCTCAGCCTCCCGAGTAGCTGGGATTACAGGCGCCCGCCACCACGCCCGGCTAATTTTTTGTATTTTTTAGTAGAGACGGGGTTTCACCATGTTAGCCAGGATGGTCTCTATCTCCTGACCTCGTGATCCACCCGCCTCGGCCTCCCAAAGTGCTGGGATTACAGGAGTGAGCCACCCCACCCGGCCTTTTTTTTTCAATAGAGATGGGGTCTCACTATGTTCTGGAACTCCTGGGCTCAAGTGATCCTCCCACCTCGATCTCCCAAAGCTGGGATGACAGGCATGGTCCACTGTGCCCAGCCCCAAATCTTTTCTTAATAACAGTTTTATTGAGATATAATTCACATACTTAAAATTTACCTTTTAAAAGTGTAGAATTCAGTGGCTTTCATTATGGTCACAGAGATGTGCAACCATCACCACTATCGAATTTCAGAACATTTTCATCATCCCCAAAAGAAATAACATGCTCATTGGTAGTCAGTCCCATCTCTCCCTTCCCCAGCCCCAATCAATCACTAATCTGGTTTTTTATTTGCCTATTTTATTTTTTATTTGCTTTTTATGAATTTGCCTATTCTAGACATTTCATGTAATTAGAGTAATACAATATGGCTCTTCAGTGACTGGCATCTTTCAATTAGCATGAAGTTTTCAAGGTTTATCTATGTTGTAATGTATCAATACTTCATTCATTTTTAAGACTGAATAATATTCCATTATATGGATGAACCACATGTTGTTTAGCCATTCATCAGTTAATGGACACTTGGGTTGTTTCCACTTTTTGGCTATGGTTAATAATGGTAGGAATATTTGTGTACAGGTTTTTGTGTGGACATGTGTTTTCAATTATCTTGGATATATACCTAGGAGTCAAGTTGCTATGCTGACCCATATCTTAACGAAACATTTCCAGTAATCTTCATTCCTATCTCTCTGTTTCCTCGGGAGCAGATTTCTCTATATTCATTAAACAAAGAGGAATGACCAACAGTAGGGGCTTTTTCACCAAGTGCATGACACAGCACCTGCTTTTCCAAGTCAGATACAAAGCTCGAACACTCCTACTCCAAACTATATGCGGCTGTGAGTAGCTGTGTCAGGCCCAGGACAGCGACAAGTCACTTCGGTGACTGCACATTAAATAGCAGTTTGTGGCACCCAGAGGGAGGTTTGTGCAAAACCAGCCCTTTCTGCCCAGATTTTAACCTTACAAACAAATAAATATGTATTACAAAGAGCTGGTTCCTTGAAATCTAGTCACTTGTAACCTATCAAGAATCTTGGACTATGATCTCTGGGGGTATGCATAGGCCCAAAGTGAGTATTTACACCATGGAATAAGCAGTTTACAACCTTGAACCATCAATTACATTTCCCCACTATCTGTTCTACAGTCTTCCGTTTATAACTGAAGTCTGCCCTCTGCTGGTCACAAGCAGCCCAGACCCACAACTCGGGGCCGCTGAGCAGGTCTCTTCTAAAATCATTCTCCAGGAGCATTTTAGCAATTGCTACAATTTATTCAGCTATAGAACACAAAGTAATGTCATCTTCTGCAGAGCGTTCCCTTTTTATTTTTTATCCTTTGATGTTTGTGGGTTTTTTTCCTTTTATTCAACAGAAGCAGAACTGGGCCCGTTTCAGTTATTTATGAGCCATCTTCATTCGTGATAAATAACCATAATATGTATTTATGCAGTGCCTGCCAAGGCCCCTCTGCTCCTATTGACTCATGAGTCACTAAAATACTTTTCTATGGTAGAAGTGGACAAGGGCTATTCAAGATAGGAGATAATACAACTTACGGGCTGTCAGATGTCTAGTAATTTTTCAGCAGTGCTTTGCAGATTGATGTTGAGTCAAGAAAGACCTAGAGCCTGACTCTCCTCAAACTCTATGAGATATCTCTTAGTCCTGTTAGAAATCTGCAAGGCATCAGACATTTGGATCCCCAAGCAGATATGCCAACATCCTCTTCCCCTTCCTTCCACAAAAGCACTCTGACCGGAAAAGCAGATCCAGGAGCAACAGGAAAGGTGAGTAGGGGAGGAAGCCAGAGCCCAGAGCTGGGGAACATCACTGACGGTGTGGGCAAAAAGCTGCACTCGTGAAAAGAGGAAAGAGGGCAAGCTGGGAGGGAAGGTGGACAAAAGAAAGAAACAATGGGCGGGGGCCCAGCAGGTAATGAAGATACTAAAGCATGTGACCCCATTTCCCTGAGGGTCACTCCTGCAAGGCAGTTAACTGTAACATCTGTTTAATTCTTCATTACAAAGGAAAGAGAATCCTTTCTGATGTTCTCACCCTGTGCCTCTGACCTTTAAGGTCTCACTCTGTTGCCCAGGCTGGAGTGCGGTGGCACGATCTCAGCTCACTGCAACCTCCGCCATCCAGGCTCAAGCAATCCTCCCACCTCAGCTTTCTGAGTAGCTGGGACCACAGACGCAAGTCGCCATGCCTGTCTAATTTTTGCTTTTTTTTTTTTTTTTTTTTTTTTTTGTGGAGATGGGGTTTTTGCATTTTGCCCAGGCTGGTCTCGAACTCCTGAACTTAAGCCATCTGCCCGCCTCGGCCTCCCACAGTGCTGGGATTACAGGAGTGAGCCACCACTCCCAGCCTGAAAGAACCTGATTTTTAGAGACATAATTTGGGTTTCTAATCTCTGAGGAGATGAGAGTTGCTTACTGTGAGCCCATATACTAGCCAGAGGTCTGGAAACCTGTCCCCATCCCTCAAGGTGATGCCTGTGTCCTGCCAGAATGGGGGGGGGGGGGGGCGTGCCTAAAGCCCCAGTTGCCCCCACTGCTGACCTCAGGGACGCTCCTTGAGGGTCCCACCACCCCTGTCAATCAGTTGGCTGCAGACTCCCGTGTCCTGTTCTTCCTGTTTCCCCCATGCTGCTCTTGCCTTCTCCCTTCCCTCCCACCCTGCCTCTGGACTCTCATTCTCTCCTCCCACATCCCCTCTCTAGCCTTTGTGACTCAAGTCTCAGTCACTTTAGGAAAGACAGGCTCACTGCCCTCTTTATAATCAACCTTCATCTGGTGTGAGGGGGAGGGAGAAGAGAGGGAGAAAGGAGGGAGGGAGAGGGAGAGAGAAACAGGAACCAGGTCTCCTGCGCTTCCTCCCAGAGATAAAGGCTATTCTTAGCAGTAACATAGGCTTGGCATTTGGGGAGACTTGTATTTCTCTCCCTCTCGCCCCAGGGGCTTTGCACATTGCAATTTCTCCTCTCCAAGCAGAGAAGAAAGAGAAGATGAATAGGGAGAGAGATAACGAAAGGAAAGAGGGAGGCGCGCCAGCTGGTGCCCTGAGAGGCTCTTCTGGGGATTTATTTTGGAAGGCTGCTCCGAAGGTCAGAACTGGGCGGGGAAGGGCTCTCACCCCGGCCCCAGAAGGGCAGTTTAATTCTAGCCTCCCTTTTGAGGCAAGAAGACGAAAAGCCAAATGAAATCCCTTTGGGCCTTTCCGCAGCACTTTGTATGTGGCACGTGTTTCATAAATGTTCAGCCAAGCCCCTGCGTGCACTCTCATTAGGCTGGGTCTCTCAGGACTGCCCTCACTGGGCCTTAGGACCTTGGCAGTCAGAGCATTCAAGCGCTGGCATTAGACAGTAGGCTTCAGTGAAGCCAGGAGCTTGGGAAAATACAAAAATAAATAAAAAATAAATAAAAATGTAAAAATGGGGTGTGCAAAGCTCGAGAAATTACGTAATTCGATTTCACCTTGGGCCCAGACGGTGAAGTTCTGCACAGTGGCCAGCAGGGGGCGCTCAGGCAGTGTGTCAGAACCCCAGCGCGCTGGTTGCCCGGAGCCCAACCAAGGGACAAACAAAACAATGCAGCTTTGCGGTTTCTGTTCGGTTTTCAGTTCGGGGAGGCTTAATCCAGGACCGCCTGATCTCTAACCTGGGGTAGCAACTAGCGTCTCGCAGGACACCGTCTTAATAGGCTTTCCTGAATCTCTTGACTAAATTGCTTCCTAGAACTCTGTGTTCCTCCGCACCTAGAAAACGGCTTTTCTCAGCATCTCCCTGTATCTTTCCCTATGTATCTTTTTGTCAGCCTGGTTTTTTTTCGTTATCTGTGTTTCTGGCGTGGTTCTTTCTTTTCTCTCTGTACTATCCTAGGCCTACTAGTAGATGTTAATGAAAAATATATGGAGCTGAACCCACCCACAGGCTGAGCTCTGAAATATTTCAAGATCTGGCAGAATATAACACTTTGAATAAAATTTAAAACATACTGCAAAAGTGGCTAACTCTGCCACATTTGGCTGTGCAGTCATGTCTTTCCTTTTCCCCGTCTCTGTTCTCGGAGTGGGCTGCCGTGCCACCCTACAGCTGCCTCTTCCCCTTGGCTGCCGCCGCTCTTGCCCACCTCCCCCAAACCCCTGACCTCCAATGGTCAGCTCCTCCCTGGCCAGCAGGACGGGTCTTCCAGGTCTTTTAGAGAAGATACCAACTCCAGAATGACCGTACCTCTGTTTACATGTTTTTGTTTCGTTTTGATTTTTGTTTTCTAATTGAGACCACCCCCCTCGTTTCCAGAACATACTGGAACTCTTAGGATTTGGGGTTGAGGGACTTCAGGTGAGAACTACAGAGACAGCCTCACGCTCTGCCTGGAACCTCTTGTCCTCCAAGATTCAGGTGCTCTGGTTGAGTCTGGTCCACTCTGCCACAGTATCTTTACTCACAGTGATTTTCTCTTGGGGACTTCATCACTGTCTTCCTCTCAAACTGACTTTTGCTTATAACACAGTTGGAAGAGAGAGTGAGAGAGACTGTGTGTGTGTGTGTGTGTGTGTGTGTGTGTGTGTACCCTTGGAAAATAGAGTTTAAATTTTATTTCTGGGGAATTGGGAATGTCACCAATCGTGGTGTTAAGGCACTAGAGCATGCCATGACAGTCAAAAGGCACCCCAGCAAATGATAGAAGGTGCTTCACCTGGAGCCCACAGAGGGCTCTGGGGCAGTGCTACTTATCAAGAGCCTATCTCAGTTCCAGCCCTAAATATTGCTACTATGGTGGTGGTGATGTACCCCCCTAATTTCTGCATTTCATGGTCCCTGTCTCCAAATCTATCTGGCTCTATTGGTTCAGATTCCTATCCCAATTCCTATTATGTTTCAGCTCCTAGTCCTGTGTGTCCCTGAGAGGAAGAGACTGATATCAGATCTGGTAGGACATGATACTCTTCAATCTTGTCACCATAACTTTCTCCTGGAGCCATGGAATGTAGCAGTGGTATGATCCGATCCCGCCTGTCCCTGTCCTGCCCAATACTTGATAGCTGTTCTTTCCTAGTTCCAGAACCTGATTGGACCAAGTTTAAGACCAAGGTAGGGAGTGGGAGGCAGATAGGCAATGCAATGCTATTCAACATTTAAGAATACTTCCCACTTACTTGTCCTTGTCAGGCCCTGGCCATACAGACAGGCTGTACAAGACATAGGCCCTGACCTCAGGGAGTAAATGTTTTTATTGAACTGACCCACTGTGTCTCTGAATGAGAACAAAAATGAAACTGCTGCAGAAAAACCCAGTGCTACAAAGTGCTAGCATCATCAGGAGGCAGGCTGCCTCTGCAGTGCAATCCATAATCTCTGTGACTTCCAGAACCAAAAAAAAAAAAAAAAAAAAAGTTAAATTACTTTCTAAAATTAAGCTTTGCATTACTTTGGAAACTAACAAAGCATTCCTTCCCACAGACACTGTTCCCAAATTAAGTATTTTGTGCTTATACAGCTGCTCAAATGTTGGTGCATTGAAGATGGAAAAATTTCTTAGGTAGGGAAGAGATGGGGTGCCTAGAAAGGAGAGGGGAGCTCTGTCGGGGGGAGAGCAGCTGTGGTCACTAGCAGAGATTATAGAATAGTTGGAAAAGATTATCAAGTAAATAAGTGTATAAAATGTTTCTAAAGTTATTAGGTCTAAATAAGTGTAGGTTAAGGGGGCCTGTTATGGTCAAGTATTTAAAAGCATCCTTTCAAGTGAAAACCTTGGTCAGTGGCTATTCCCCACCTGTAATCAATAGGAAATGGAATAAAAGTAAACTACCGAGGGGGCATCTTAAGGTCAATGTGAGGCCTATTGTTCAAGATTTCACAGCGATTAAACCCTAGAATGGGTCACAGAGAATAGGTGGGCACTTTCCTCTAGAGGCATTTATTGAAAGAACAGAACTGTCTTGTTATCACATGCTGCAGGTAACATCCAGTGTAGAGACAGAGGCATGACTTGGATGAGCTAACTTCCCAGGTTCTCTTCTATTAAATAGATTGGAAAGTCAAAGAACTCATACAGCATTAGAGGCCCCCCATAGCAGCTAGAGAGAAATGGACAGGTGAAAGGCCCATGGTCCTCACTTGTCCGCCTCCCACCGACAACATGCCAGGGCCTGCCATTGAGCTGCCTGTTTCATTTTGTAAGCTTGTGCCTAGATGTTTGCCTTGCAAACATGTGAGCTGTCTTGGCAAACGGTTTTGTAGAAAGCCCTCACTCACAAGAATTCCATCTGCAATATTTGGACTGGCTTCTAGGACTCCCTTTTCCGCACAAGCTGTTCCCTCCTTATCTCTGGGTCTCTTCCAGAAGGTCATCAATGTTCTGCTGTACAAGGGTCATCTGCTTGCCACACTATTCCCCAGCTCCTGGAACACAGCACTGTTTTCCATGGTGGCAGCAGCAGGAATATCTTCCTCCTCAGCATGATTTTCCAGGCCCAAGATAAGCTCACAAGCACCAAAAGACACAAGGCCATGGCCTCATGGACCTCACACCCAGTAGCCTGATCTGAGTTTAAAAAGGCAGACCTGCTGTCTTAGCTGGGGGAGTAGAGGAGAGTTAGTGGGAGGGGCTACTATGGGTTTAAGTTGACAGAGAGAGGTGGTGCAGGAGCAGAGAGCAGCCAGGAGCACCTGAGGAAGGCTGCGAAGGTCATCTGGGTGGGGGCGGGTTCCAGGGGAGGAGCACTTTCTGGCAGGGTGAGGTGGGGGCGGTCCTGGAGAATGTACCCATAAGGCCAAGTCCAAGGCCTGGGTGGGGTCTCTGACACTTGTAGACACTTGGCACCAAGCCTCAGTGTAATCTTGCTTCATCTCCCTGGATTTCTACCATCATTAATGACTGTGACTTCAGTCAGGGACTACAGAAAGGGAACACTCAGTGATAATCTAGAGGCAAGGACAATTGACCAAATAATCAGATATGGCTCCAGTTTAAGTCCTTTGCCCCATTATTACCCTGCCCTCTCTTCATTATCCTATATCCCAAGTCCTTACTTTCCCAGATGTGGTGGAGAAGGTAAAGAATTCCAAGTTGTTGTAAGCAGGGTCACTCCCCATAAAATGAGATCATCTCACACCCTAGGGACTGACTCAATTGAGCTCCACTGGCCAGAGTTCTGATTGCATCTCCCCAACCGAAAGAATATTAATTCCAGGCAAAGGAGGTCTCTGTCTCCTGCATAGTAGATACTAATGACTCCACTATGAGAAAAATCCTAGAGTGATAGAGTATGAGAGTCAGCAGGGACTGTAGAGATTACATATTGATCCAACACATTCATGATAGATGAGGGAACTGAAGATTAGGGAGATGACATAAGGTCCAAGGCCACCCAGGAAGTTGTTGAAAAAATCTGGACTAGAACCCAGAAGTCTTTGGCCCAGTAACACACTAGCTCTTCCTCCTATCTTACCTGGCCCTGGCCCTCTCGGATGCCAAAGGTTTCCACCCAGGGGAAAATTAAGCAGCAAGGAAGGAAGGTCTGAATTTGCAAAACTTCTTTGTGGAAGCAACTGCGCTTCAGGAGATCCCTTTGTATCATAGCCAGCCCTGGGGACTCTGTCTCTGCCATTCTGCATCTGGTTAAATTGCTCTTCTAAGAGCCCATCTGGCTGCCAAATCTCTCCCTCTGGCCAGAAACAGCACCTGATCTCATCCTGGTGGATTTCCACTAGTCAGACAGTTCTAGTGCTTCCAAGATGGAAATGGAACATCTTACATAGAAACATAAATATTTTACAAGCAAATAACAATGTTTCTAACTCCTCTAGTCTCCCTTTAGCTAACCACTTCCAAAGGCATCTGGCAATCTTGCATTCAACCTGTGAATCAAATAAGTCAAATAAACAGATATTTATTGAGCCACTATTGGAAAGGCAATATACCAGGTATACAAAGACAGGCCTGAGTCCTTGCTTCCAATAATTCACAGGCCAGTTGGTAGGGGACAAGGCAAAATTACATTCCCAGTTAACATACAAGGTGGCAATACAAAAAGTTCCATGATGCAACAAATGATTATTTGCAAAATTTGTGGAATAGATCATAAGAACAATAAACAGAAAAGAACACTGTAAATTGAACAGTTCAGGGAAGTTTGTGCAAGAAAAATTCGATCAGGACTTTAAAGGATGGAAAGTATTTAGAGGAGTGGAGAGAAGGGAAGAGCATTTCAAAAATTGGTAACTGTGAAAAAATGTTCAAAGATAGAAAAGTGCAAGTGGGTTGAGAGTAGTACATTGATACATTATGATCAGGCCCTGCTCTCAGCCCACAAACATTTATCAGTTCTCTTGGTTTGCACACAACTCAAATTACTACTATTATTATTCCATCTTTACAGTTGAGGAAACTGAGGCATAGACAGGTTTAAGCAACTCACCTGAGGACACAGCTCACAAGTGGCTGTGCTGGGATTGGACTGCAGAGGCTACACGTTCAGCACTGAATTATACAGACTCTCACTCTGGCTAGAGGAGTTGATTTGTTGGAAATGCATGTGAGGGGGCAAATCACAGAGGATCTTGAATGCTATGCTGACAAACTTGGACTTGATTTTTTTAGGCAATAGGTAACCATTAAGGGTTTCTGGGCAGGGAAGTATATCTTGATTAAAATGAGATACACACAGGAAGAAAATCCAAAGGACACAGAAGAAAAGCAGAGATAAATATATTAGCATATATGTAGATCCCCTTCCTTTTCATAGAATGCTTTGTTCAGAGGAACTTCTAGTGGTGTCTCAGATCTTAAACTACCAGGGGATCAAATCGTTGCTCTGTGGTACTGAGGGAAAAACCCAAAAGATAAGTAGCCTTCAAATCTACTCAGGCATGTGCTCAAGAGGTAGGGGCAGAGCCAGGTTTGGAGAAAGCTGTCCATAGGGAGATAGGAGACCCCAGGAGAGAATGGGAAAGAGTAGAGGGACAGAAGATGTCAGAGAGACCAGCACAATGACTTGGGACTTCAGGAGTATAATTCTGCAATATCTTAAGCATGATTGAATCAAAGCTTATGGGAATGGGAGGGAAGACAAGTCAGCTATCTCCTTGATTGTTCTGTAATTGCAGATAATTTCTTCTTTAGTTCCTTCCCTCTTTTCATATGCTAAAATGGAAAATCTTTCTTAATGTACAGAATGCTTCTCTCTTTTTTTTAAACTCAATTTTGCTAATAGATTTCATTAAGGACTATAAAGCTGAACTTGTTCTTCTCATGACCATCTACTATAGTGAATGTGGGACAGATGAAGTAATAGGACCTCATAATTGAGATAAGAGCTTTTTTTATTATTGTTTTGCAGGATCTGTATCCACAAAGGAGCCTGCTCAATGGAATAAAAACATTAAGTAGTTTGAATCCTGAGCAGAGATTAGACGGTTGTCTTGGATATGCTTTGGGATCAGAAGCACAGGAGATGAGGCATCATCCTGTTCAGATGGTCTTCAGGGAATATCAGGTTTATGGAAGTGCTTTTTGGCTTCTGAGTTACAAAGCATGGATCGTGGTGCCTGGACTCAGCCTGGGCTCTCAGCATAATTATCTACTTACCCTTGTAAATTGTGGTATTCAGTATAAGCATTGCCTCAATTGATGGCCACACCTTCATGACCCTACTTGTGGAAATGAACTCCAAATCTGAGTTCCAAGCAGCTGTTTTGTGTCCATCCAGAGGAAACCAACAGAGTTGGACAGGGGTGGAGTGAGGCATGGTTGCTAACACCATTCAACCCTTGTTCTTTTGAGCACATGTTTTTGTTTGAATAATGAGTTGATTCGTTTCTGTTAAAATGAGGACAAAGAATACTCTGATGTAAGAAAATCAGATGGTGTGGTATAGGCATCCCCTTTTCAGTCACATGCTTGGTACTGATAAATGGAGGCTGTTGTCTCTCTGGCCTCTGCTTTCTTCTCTGCTGCTACTACTTGAGAAGACTTAAGTTCATACAAGACATCGGGGCATTTCTGAGTGGGGCTGTGCATAAGGAATCTGGAAATAAGTCATATCCCTAGACTCAAATTTTAGGAAGAAAGCCAATGCTTCCAGGCTCCTGCACTGACCCCTAATCCTTCCTTTTCAGCCAGATCTGGGATCTCAGGCACCGAGGACAAACCTGGGTATCCATGTGGCCCAGAGCCACAGTTCTTTCTATGTTGGCCCCACTCATACGCTGGCCAAAGTCCCAGAGGTGAAGTGTTATCCTGGTTTCCCCTCCTAAGTTCTGACATATTGTCATGCCTGGAATGTTGCTTCCCCCTCTAGACCTAACACTTGGCCCCATTCTCATGCAGCCTTTGCCTTCTTTCTGCTACCCAGGGTTTTCCATCATGCCAGGCCATGGAATGATTGTGCTGTGGGAAATAGCATATTTGCATTATTGGACCCTCATTTTGATTCCTGTTCACTTAATTCAGTGTCTCTCAACAGCAGTGGTACCACCACCTAGGGGATGTATCAGACACTTGAACGGACATTTTTGGCTGTCAGAATTATTGGAATAGTACTGGTGGCATTTGCTGAGAGGGAACCAAGGATGCTAGCTATCCAGTCATGTGCAGCACAGGTACAACAACCAAGAAATATTCTTGTGCCCTATAAAACCTTCAGAAGTCACACTGAACATTTGTGTGAAAAACCTGTTTATAATTATCTGGGTATGAAATGGAATTCCATTTTACTTAGAAACACAGATTACCTTTGCAAAGTTTTAATGTACACTGAATTTTCCATACATGCTCTCTCTGCATTTTTTTTTTTTTTTTTTTTTTGAGACTGTCTTGCTCTGTTACCCAGGCTGGAGTGCAATGGTGCGATGTTGGCTTACTGCAACCTCCGCCTCCCGGGTTCAAGCAATTCTCATGCCTCAACCTCCAGAGTAGCTGAGACTACAGGCGCACACCATCATGCCCGGCTAACTTTTGTATTTTTAGTAGAGACGGGGTTTCACCATGTTGCCCAGGCTGGTCTCGAACTCCTGACCTCAAGTGATCCACCCGCCTCGGCCTCCCAAAGTGCTGGGATTACAGACATGAGCCACCGCGCCCAGCTAATTTTTGTATTTTTCATAGAGATGGGGTTTCACCATGTTGCCCAGGCTGGTCTTGAACTCCTGACCTCAAGTGATCCACTTGCCTCAGCCTCCCAAAGTGTTGGGATTACAGGCATGAGCCACCGTGATTGGCCCTCTCTGCATTTTTAAAGCAAGTAAGACTGTACTTTGGTTTGGAACTCTACCAACAGTAGTCACAATTTCAGAAACACACTTCACTGACAGCAACATTACTCTTGGTATTTGAGTTGCCAGCACACCTGTCTCTATCTACACTTGCCTCCGCCACCTTCACTCTGATCTCAAAGCAACTACTTCGTTAGGTCTTCCAATGAGTCATCCCCAACATTAGAATTTGCTAATACATACAATTTTATTACAAAGTATTTCTCTTTACCAGTTTTTTAATAATGACTTTTTTAAAAAAATATATGAGTAGGAGGTTGTATTACTGTGAATTTCTTTTTTTTAAAGATAGAGTCTCACTCTGTCACCCAGGCTGGATCTTGCAGTGGCAAGATCATAGCTTACTGCAGCCTCAAACTCTTGGACTCAAGTGATTCTCCTGCCTTGGCCTACTTGTGAATTTCTTTTCAGAATAGTAAAGAGAACATAATAAAACATTCATTTAAAAATAGGCTTTTGAGTCTGATAGGGTTGACAGTCATTGACCTAAGTAGATAGTGTCTGTTGAAGGCAGAAAGAGACTGATGATGAGATCAGCATGTTCTGAGAGAAGGCTATGCTGCCAACCACAAGGTCTCATGGGAACTGACCACTTTCCAAATTCCACAATTTACCCTCGTCAAGATCTCAGAAGTTTTCAGAATCTGAGGTCACTCAAGTTAATCAAATCCATGAGTCTAACCTCATGACCAACTGATAAACTCACAGTGGGGGACATTTCTTCCCAGGGACTGAAAAGCTTATGTCCACCATCCAGGGCAGCCTGTCCTAGGATCAGAATGCCTGGAAAACCAGCGACAGGTGAACAAGGCACTTGTACTCATTATGTTCATTGCAGCATTATTCATAATAACAAAGACCAGGAATCAACCTAGGTGCTGTACAAAGGGCACCCAGAGTGCTGAGGAGAGAAGAGGCACTACTGTCCCCAAGTAGAGCAACTTCTCCAGCAACCATAAGGGCACAGAGGACAGGGTCTCTCCTCTACAACATGCTTGATTGGACACTGCCTAGTTATGATTCCTTGGGATTTCCATAGCCGAAGCTGACCAATTCCCTTTCTGTCCAACCTTCCCCCACACCAACACCTTACAACACAATTAATTAAATGCCTTCTATTAAATGAAGTTCATATTCTGGACCTGCCTTCCTCTGATTACACCCAAATCATTTGCCTTGATTGCAGTCTTCTGAGGTCCAACCATTTCAGATATTCTCTAGCTTTACTCCAAAAGGTGACTAATCACATCCATTGCATGTGAGTTTTACTAGTTCAACTCAGAAGATGACCTTTTCTTTTTCTTAGCTCCAAATTAATGGAGAGGGAGGCTTTCCACTGTTGCTTCCATGTCCTGCCAAAATTAATGTTAGAAATGAGGGCTGAGACAGTGTTAGACTCCTTTCTTGCTCTGCACCAGCATCGACAGCTGGGATAGTTTTCCTGATTCTTATCTCAGTTTGGTAAAGCAGGTTTCTGCCTCACTCCATCTCCCCACTAACCCCCACCCACCCACCCTGGGAGGCAATGTACCAGTATAGATCAAGTTGGAGACCATGCAAATTTTGACAGTACCTCATATGGTTTGGAGGAGATAATGCAGGCTTCAGGGTATTTGTGTTGTTGTTTATTTTTCCTCCAGGCTGTAATGCAGTGGCACCATCACAGCTCACTGCAGCTTCCACCTCCCGGGCTCCAGTGATGCTCCCACCTCAGCTTCCTGAGCATCTGAGACCACAGGTGCATGCCACCATACCTGGAAAATTTTCTTTTTAAATTTTTTGTAGAAACAGGGGTCTCTCTATGTTGCCCAGGTTAGTCTCAAACTCCTGTGCTCAAGCGATCCTCCCACCTCGGCTTCCCAAAATGCTAGGATTACAGGTGTGAGCCACTGCACCTGGCCTGGGTTTTTTGTTTGTTTTTCAATGTACAGTGACTTCCACTTTTATAGACTGGTTAGAGATGGAGTGATAAGCTGGTTAATTGAATACGTTTATTAAGAATTATCTTCAGGCCGGGCATGGTGGCTCACGCCTTTAATCCCAGCACTTTGGGACACCGAGGCAGGTGGATCACCTGAGGTGAGGAGTTCGAGACCAGCCTGACCAACATGGTGACATTCAGTTTCTACTAAAAATACAAAAACTAGCTGGGAGTGGTGGCAGGCACTGTAATCCCAGCTATTCAGGAGGCTGAGGCATGAGAATTGCTTGAACCAGGGAGGCAGAAGTTGCAGTGAGCCAAGATCGCGCCATTGCACTCCAGCCTGGGTGACAGAGCAAGACTCCATCTCAAAAAAACAAACAAACAAAAAAAGAATTATCTTCAAACTATACTAGAAGGCTGCAGTAACCAAAGCAGCATAGTACTTGTACAAAAACAGACACAGACCAATGGAACAGAAGAGAGAACCCAG
Organism: Homo sapiens; assembly: GCF_000001405.40. Taxonomy (NCBI): domain Eukaryota; kingdom Metazoa; phylum Chordata; class Mammalia; order Primates; family Hominidae; genus Homo; species Homo sapiens. Next base: position 120,548,900 of record NC_000003.12, on the reverse strand, counting down.
AAATAAAGCTGCACAACTACAACCATCTGACCTTTGACAAAGTCAACAAAAACAATGGGGAAAGGATACCCTTGTTCAATAAATGGTGCTAGGATAACTGGCTAGGTGTATGCCGAAGAATAAAACTGGAGCCCTACCTTTAACTCGGTACAATAATTAACTCAAGATGGACTAAAGATTTGAATGTAAGACCTCAAACTATAAAACTCCTAGAAGAAAACCTAGGAAAGTCTTTTTGACATCAGCTTTGGCAAAAAAAATTATAGCTAAGTTCCCAAAAGCAACTGCAATCATAACAACAATTGACAATTGGAATAGAATTAAACTAAAGAGCTTCTGCACAGCAAAATAAATTAAAAGAGTAAACAGACAATCTACAGAATGGGAGAAAATATTTACAAATTATGCACCTGACAAAGGTCTAATATCCAAAATCTACAAGGCACTTACACAAATCAACAAACAAAAACCAAATAATCCAATTTAAAATGGGCAAATGAATGAACAGCCACGTCTCAAAAGAAGACATACATGCTGCCAACAAATACCAAAAAATGCTCATCATCACTAATCATCAGAGAAATGCAAATTAAAACCACAATGAGACACCATATCACACAATTCAGAATGCCTATTATTAAAAAGTCAAAAAATAACAGATGCTAATGAAACTGTGGAGAAAAGGAAACACTTATATACATTGTTGGTGGGAATGAAACTTAGTTCAGCTGCTGTGGAAAGCAGTTTGGAGATTTCTCAAACAATTTGGAACTACCATTTGACCCAGTAGTCCCATTACTTGGTATATACTCAAAGGAAAATAAATCATTCTACCAAAAAGACACCTGAATTCATATGTTCATTGCAGCACTATTCACAATAGCAAAGGCAAGGAATCAGCCTAGATGCCCATCAACAGTGGATTGGATAAGTAAAATCTGGTACATATAGACTATGGAATACTGCACAGCCATAAAAAAGAACTAACTTATATCCTTTGCAGAAACATGGATGCAGCTGGAGGCCATTATCCTCCAGCTGCATCCATGGCAGCTATGCGGTGTTTGGTTTTTTGTTCTTGCGATAGTTTACTGATGCATATCTGATTGCTTCCTCTGCCCTGTTGTTTATGTGAAAATGCAGATTCACTGAGCCAGAGTAAGTTGTGTATTCAGTAGAAGGCTGAAAAGAATTCAACCTTTTTCTCTTTTCTACTTCTGACCTGGAAGCCCGAGCTGTCCCACCTTAGCAGACAGAAACAATGTATATTTTACACATATTGATTGATGTCTCATGGCTCCCTGAAATGTATAAAAGCAAGCTGTACCCTGACCACCTTGGGCACATGTCCTCAGGACCTCCTGAGGCTGTGTCGCAGGTGTGTCATTAACCCGGGAGTCATGATAAAGATAGACAGATGATAGATAGGTAGATAGATAGATAGATAGATAGATAGATAGATAGATAGATAGATAAGATGCAATTTATTGGGATAATTGGCTCACATGATTATGGAGGTGAGAAGTTCCGTAATTTGCAGTCTGCAAGCTGGAGACCCTGGGATGCTGGTAGCATGGCTCAGTCCAAGTCCAAAAGCCTCAGAACCAGGGAAGCCAATGATGTAACTCTCAATTTGAGGCTGAAGGCCTGAGAACCCAGGGAGCCACTCGTGCAAGTCTCAGAGTCCAAAGGCCAGAAAACCTGGAGGTCTGATATCTGGTAGCAAAAGAAGAGTGTCCCAGCTCTGAGAGAGAAAGTGAATTTGCCTTTTCCTCTACCTTTTTTTCTATCTGGGACCCCAGCTGATTGGATGGTGCCTGTTCACATTGAGAGCAGATCTGCTCCACTCAGTCCACCAACTCCACCAATTTCCTCTGGAAACACCCTCACCAACACACCCAGAAATAATGCTTTACCAGCACCTAGGTATCCTTTAGTACAGTCGACACCTAAAATTAATCGTAACAGATGATTTTTAAGATGGTGTCTCACTAGGTGGCCCAGGCTGGTTTTGAACTCCTGGGCTCAAGGAATCCTCCCACCTCAGCCCTCCAAGTAACTGTGACTACAGGCATGTGCCAAGACAGCTGGAAACAATATCTCTTTGACAGGAGGAGAGAAAGGATGTCTGTTTATTTAAAACAAGAGGGAAGACACATGAATAGACACATCTACAGGTGAGCAGTAAGAAGCTGCTTAGTAGCTACATTTTCTCTGAGAAGCAGGCAGTAAAGACATTTTCTGAAAGAGTGAGAGGATGGTAGTAAGGGTCTTGAGGAGCAATACAAACATTAACAGGCACTTCTGTGAAGAATGGGGGAGGAGCTATGTAGAGATATTTAACAAGTAAAAGACCACCAGCCCACACAGTTGGATGAATTTTTTCCAGTCCGGCACATCATCCTGAGTATAGCGGGCAGGAAGGCGGGTTCTAGGATTGATCCAGGGCTAAAAGAGTGCAGAGCAGATGCAGTGCAAGTGCTATGGTTTGATTGTTTGTCCTCTCCAAATCTCATGTTGAAACCTAATCTCTAATGTGGCAGTATTGAGAAGTAGAGCCTTTAAGAGGTAGCTGGATCATGAGGGTTCTGCCTTCATCAATGGATTAATCCACTCATGGATTAGTGAGTAAATAGATTGTCATGGGTGTGGCATTAGTGGCTTTATAAGCAACAGAAGAGAGACCTAACCTACCATGCTCAGCTCCCTCACCACGTGATGCCCTGCACCATCTTGGGGCTCTGCAGAGAATCTCCACTAGCAAGAATTTCCTCATCCTTTACCTTGGAATTCTCAGCCTCCATAACTGTAAGAAATACATTTCTTTCCTTTATAAATTACCCAGTTTCAGGTATTCTAAGCAACAAAAAATGGACTAAGACAGCAAGACCAAAGAGAAGGGGAATCAACTCAATAAGTTAGAATGAGCCTAGCTGGCATAACAACAACAACAAAAAACCAGCAATAATTCAGTAGTGAGCGATGGGGAAGATGGCAGATAGGAGACAGAGCTAACATGCAGCTTCCATTGGGATGTACAGAACAGCGTGTGGAGACTCACACCACAAGCTTTTGTTCTAAGAACCACCGCAGGACTATACCAGGAAAACTGAAAGAATTCACAGATTCTTTGAAATAAGTGACATGCCACTGCAAATTCCACGAGACAGGCAAAAAAACTGTGAGTTCCCAAACTGTTAGGGGGGAAAACTGCCTCTGAACACACATCCCCACTAGGGAATCTGAAAATACAGATCACAGGAGAAAGATTTAACCTTACCTAGAGCTGGAATGGATGTAGGGAGCTGTGCCAAATATAAAAGTAAAAGCAACAGCAGGAAGAGTCTTATAGGCACTGCCATTCTCCTGCTCAAGCCCAGGGACACCATCTCTGACTATATCTCACAGGAGCCCTCAGGGAAGGCAGCCAGTGGGATTAGGGAGAGGTCACAGGGTGTAAGAAGCTTCCGACTGGATTTTGGCATAATTTGGACTGGGAACTAACTTTTTTGAGCAGAATCCAGGGGGCAAATAGGAACTGCTGCAGATATGAGGGCAGGAGCTGCAGCTGACATTGTGGGTAGATGGGGAAGAGTGAGGCCTGAAAGCCAAGCTTGCTTGCTCAGTGGGGTAGCTTATGGCCTGGGGAAAGGTCTGAGTTCCACATGCACAGGCTGCCTGGATCTGAACTTGGCACTGTTAGTGGGGCACTGAGGCAGCAAAGCCGGCCTCACCAACTGCATGGGAGGTGGGTGAGGCCTTGCACTACCGGCTATCACCAACTTTCCTGGCAAGCAATACTGCTAAGCAGAGGCAGCCATTCTCCCCTCTGGAACATAACCCCATTGGCCTGAGAACCAACCCTTATCCCCCACAGTGGCCGCAGCAAGCCCTGCCCAAGGAGAGTCTGAGTCAAGACCCGCCTAATCCTGCCCCAACCTGATGGTTTTTCTCTACCTGCCCTGGTAGCTGAACACAAAAGACATAAACTCTTGGAGGCTTTATGGCCCCGCCCATTATGTGGGTAACCAGAATACCTCCCCTGGCCAACTTAGGGCAAGCTCAAATCCCACTAATACTGCAGCGGGTGCTCTCTTGAAAGTGCCACCTCCAGGCTAGAGGCCAACCAACTCAGGCCATTACAGCAACTCATAGCAGATCAACCCTGCTCCCAGGAAGGAGAAAATGACACTTAATACCACTGCCTGCATTTTCCTGGCTAACCAGAGGCCCTGAGTCTGTCCATGTGACAAATACATAACCAGCACGTCACAAAGCCAGCACACTAAGCATATCTACAACCAAGGATTCTCACAGAGTCTACTTCACTCCCCTGCCACCTCCACTAGAACAAGTGTTGGTATTCATGGCTCATCACAGGGCTCTGCAGACAATCCCAGGCACCAGCCCAGAGCCTGATGGCCCCACTGGGTGGCTAAAACCAAAAGAACAATAACAATCACTGCAGTCCAGTTCGCAGGAAGGCCCTTCCCTAGGGGAAAGGAGAAAGCACCACATCAAGGGGACTACCCCATGGGACAAAAGAATCAGCAGGCCTTGAGTTTTTGTTTTTTCCACTGGTGGATATTTCCTCACAGCAGAGACACAATTGCAGTGCTGGGTACAGTACCTATACCCCAAGTCTGAACCTATACCCCAACAGGCAGGTGGCCTCTGTGATCATGAAGGGCCTTGAGAAGAGGTCCTTGTTCCCCTCTGGCACTCCACTGCAGACACAGCTGAGGCTTCCCCAACAGGAATGCAACATGGAGGCACCTATAGACAGCATTTCTGGAACAATCCAGAGTGAGTGCAGCCCCACAGGAGGACCACACTCCAGATTCAGGCCTACATGAGTCACAATTCCTACCTACCTACAGATGAAAAGAGGTACCTGTCCAATCTGAATAGCTGAAACACCAAGACAGGAGTGAGGCTGTGAGGTGAACAGTTTTCTTGATGACCTGGCAAGGGAACTGAAGTAACTCCCACTCTTCATCTTGATAAAACCCCAGTACATCTAATTCAGAGCTCCCTCAGCCACCCTCATCAAGGCTGGGACCTTGGCCCTTCATTGGATATTACATCTACCTACCCACCTTAGTCATAACTGTTGCATAGCCAGGGTTACCTCCCTGATGGCCTTAAGCCTGAATCATCAATTCAGTAAATAAAACACCAGGAAAAAATTAAATAAATAAATAAATAAAGTGTACAACACAAGAGAACAAGATAAGTTTCAGGAGATCCCTCCCATTCCAACTCCATAGGAGACAGTGAACTTGCCCACACACCAAAAATATAATTACTACAACCAGCATTGGGGAAATTCAGCACACAAAAACTCTCTCTAACTAAGGATCTCATACAGAGTCTTCACCCCTACAAGCACCAAGAATCAAATTCTCACCAACAACCACAAAACAAAAAACGAAAACCACAATCCATTCAAAAATAAATCCAAGAAAAATTTTAGGAAATAGTGTAACCAAATGAGAAGGAATCAGAAAAGTAATTCTGGTAGTATGACAAATCATGGTTTTATAACACCCCCAAAAGATCACACTAGCTCCCCAGCAAGAGATCAAAACCAAGAAGAAATCTCTGAATTGCCAAATAAAGAATTCAGCAGGTTGATTATTAAGCTACTCAAGGAAATACCAGAGAAAGGTGAAAACCAACTTAGAGAAAATTTTTTTTAAATACAGGATATAGATAAAAATTCTCCAGAGAAACAGATATCATAAAGAAAAAACCAATCACAACTTCTAGAAATCAAAGATACACTTAGAGAAATACAAAATGTACTGGAAAGTTGCAACAATAGACTAGAACAAGCAGAAGAAAGAACTTCACAGCTTGAAGACAAGGCTTTCAAATTTACCCAACAGACAAAGAAAAAAGAATTTAAAAAAGTGAATGAAACCTCCAAGAAATTTGGGATTATGTTAAATAGCCAGACCTAAGAATAATTGGTGTTCCTGTGGAAGAAGAGAAATCTGAAAGTTTGGAAAACTTATTTGAGGGAATAATTGAGGAAAACTTCCTGGCCTTGCTAGAGATCTAGACATCCAAATACAAGAACCTCAAAGAACGCCTGGAAAATTTACCCAAAAAGATTTATCATGTAGGCACAGAGTCATCAGGTTATCTAAAGTCAAGACAAAGGGAAGAATCAAGAACTGTGAGATGAAAGCACCAGGTAACCTATAAAGGAAAACCTTTCAGATTTACAGCTGATTTCTCAGCAGAAATCTTACAAGCCAGAAGGGATTGGGGTTCTATCTTTACCCTCCTTAAACAAAATAATTGTCAGCTAAGAATTTTGTATCCAGCAAAACTAAGCTTCATAAATGAAGGAGAGATAAAGTCTTCTTCAGACAAATAAGTGCTGAGAGATTTGCCACTACCAAGCCTGTGCTACAAGAAATGCTAAAAGGAGTTATAAATCTTGAAACATAACCTCAAAGTACACAAAAACAGAATGACCTTAAAGCATGAGTCTCACAGAGCCTATAAAACAATAACACAATGAAAAAAAAACTGAAGTATTTAGGCAGTAACTAGCATGATGAATAGAACAGTACCTCACATCTCAATACTAACACTGAATGTAAGTGGCCTAAATGTTCTACTTAAAAGATACAGAGTAGCAAAATGAATAAAAATCCACCAACCAAGTATCTGCTGTCTCCAAGAGACTCACCTAACACATAAGGATTCACATAAACTTAAGGTAAAGGGGTGGAAACAAAATTCCACGCAAATGGAAACCAAAAATGGGCAGGAGAAGCTATTCTTATATCAGACAAAACTGACTTTAAAGCAACAATAGTAAAAAAAAAAAAAAGACAAAGAGGGGCATTATATAATGATAAAAGGATTAGTCAAGCAGGAAGATATCACAATCCTAAATATATATATGCACCTAACACTGAAGGTCCCAAATTCATAAAACAATTACTAGTAGACCTAATAAATGAGATAGATGGGAACAATAACAGAGGTAGGATGGGGAGGACTTCAATACTACACTGACAGCAGTAGACAGGACATCAAGACAGAAACTCAACAAAGAAACAATGGACTTAAAGTATACCCTAGAACAAATGGACTTAACAGATATTTACAGAACATTCTACCCAACAACTACAGAATATACTTTCTTTTCTTCAGCACATACAACATTCTCCAAGATGGACCATATGATAGGCCACAAAACAAGGCTCAATAAATTTAAGAAAATCACAATCATATCAAGTATCCTCTCAGACCACAGTGGAATAAAACTGGAAATTAACTCCAAAAGGAAACCTCAAAACTATACAAATACATGGAAATTCAATAATCTGCTCTTGAATGATCTTTGGGTCAAAAATGAAATCAAGACAGAATTTTAAAATTCTTTGAACTGAATGATAATAGTGACACAACTAGCTTATCAAAACTTCTGGAATACAGCAAATGTGATGCTAAGAGGAAAGTTCATTAGCATTAAATACCTACATCAAAAAGTCTGAAAGAGCACAAATAGACAGTCTAATGTCACAGCTTAAGCAACTAGAGAAACAAGAACAAAACAAACCCAAACCCAGCAGAAGAAAAGAAATAACAAAGAACAGAGCAGAAATAAATGAAACTGAAACAAACAAAATACAAAAGACAAATAAAATAAAAAGGTGATTCTTTGAAAAGATAAACAGAATTGATAGACCATTAGCGAGACTAACCAAAAAAAAGAAGAGAGAAGATCCAAATAAGCATAATTAGAAACTAAACAGGAGATATACTACCAATACCACAGAAATAAAAAAGATCATTCAAGGCTACTGTGAACACCTTTAGGCACACAAACTGGAAAATCTAGAGAAGATTAATAAATTCCTGGAAATATACAACGCTCCTAGATTAAATCAGGAAGAAATAGAAACCCTGAACGGACCGATAACAAGTAGCAAGATCAAAACAGTAATTTAAAAACTGCCAACAAAAAAAGTCCAAGACCAGATGGATTCATAGCTGAATCTATCAGATGTTCAAAGAAGAATTGGAACCAATCTTACTGAAAGTACTCCAAAAGATAGAGAAAGAGGGAATCCTCCCTGAATTATTCTATGAAGCCAGTATCACCTAATACCAAAACCAAGAAAGGACATAAAGAAAAAAGAAAACAGACCAATATCCCTGATGAACATAGATGCAAAAATCCTCAACAAAATACTAGCTAGCTGAATCCAACAACATATCAAAAAGAAATACATCATGATTAAGTGGTTTTCTACCAGGCATGCAAGGATGGTTTAACATCTGCAAGTTGATAAATGTAATACACCACATAAACAGAATTAAAAACAAAAATTATATGATCATCTCAATAAGTGCAGAAAAAACATTTGACAAAATCTAGCATCGTTTTATGATAAAAACCTTCAGCAAAATTGACATAGAAGGGACATACCTCAATGTAATAACAGCCATCTATGACAAACCCACAGCCCACATAATACTGAATGGGGAAAAGTTGAAAGCATTCCCTCTGAGAACTGGAACAAGACAAGGATACCCACTCTCACTGCTCCTTTCAAACACAGTACTGGAAGTCCTAGCCAGAGCAATCCGACAAGAGAAAGAAATAAAGGTATCCAAATCAGTAAAGAGGAAGTCAAACTGTCACTGTTTGCTGACAATATGATCATTTACCTTGAAAACCCTAAGGACTCATCCAAAAAGCTCCTAGATCTGATAAATGAATTCAGTAAAGTTTCAGGATACAAAAATCAATGTACACAAATCAGTGGTACTGCCATGCACCAGCAATGACCAAGCTGAGAATCAAATAAAGAACTCAGTCTCCTTTGCAACAGCTGCAAATAAAATAAAATAAAATAAAATAAAATAAAATAAACTGCTTAGGAATATACCTAACCAAGGAAGTGAAAGATCTCTACAAGGAAAACTACAAAACACTGCTGAAAGAAATTATTGATGACACAAACAAATGGAAACACATTTCATGTTCATAAATGGGTAGAATCACTATTGTGAAAATGACTATACACCAAAAGCAATCTTCAGATTCAATGTAATTCCCATAAAAATACCATCATCATTCTTTACAGAACTAGAAAAAACAATCATTAATTCCATATAGAACAAAAAAGAGCCCACATAGCCAAAGCCAGACTAAGTAAAAATAACAAATCTGGAGGCATCACATTGCCTGACTTCAAACTATACTACAAGGCTATACTTACTAAAACAGCATGGTACTGCTATAAAAATAGGCACATAGATCAATAGGACAGAGTAGAGAACCCAGAAAAAAGCCAAATAACAGCCAACTGATCTTTGACAAAGCAAACAAAAACATAAAGTGGGAAAGGACATCCTATTCAACAAATGGTGCTGGGATAATTGGCAAGCCACATGTAGAAGAATGAAACTGGATTCTCATTTCTCACATTATACAAAAATCAACTCAAGATGGATCAAAGACTTAAATCTAAGACCTGAAACTATAAAAACTCTAGAAGATAACATCAGAAAAACTCTTCTAGACATTGGCTTAGGCAAAGAGTTTATGACCAAGAACCCAAAATCAAATGCAACAAAAACAAAAATAGATGGGACCTAATTAAACTAAGAAGCTCTGCACAGTAAAAGACATAATCAGCTGACTAAACCCACAGAGTCCAAGAAAATATTTGTAAACTATGTATCTGACAAAGAACTAATATCGAGAATCTACAAGGAACTCAAACAAATCAGCAAGAAAAAGACAAATAGTACTATCAAAAAGTTGGCAAAGGACATGAATAGACAATTCTCAAAGGAAGGTATACAAATGGCCAAGAAACTTATGAAAAAATGCTCAACATCACTAATGCAGGGAACTGTATCACAAATGCAGGGAAATGCAAATTAAAACAACAATGAGATGCCACCTTACTCCCGCAAGAATGGCCATAATTTAAAAGTCAAAAAATAATAGATGTTGGTGCGGATGTGGTGAAAAGGGAACATTTTACACTGCTGGTGGGAATGTAAATTAGTACAACCATTATGGAAAACAGTACGGAGATTCCTTGAAGAAATAAAAGTAGAACTACCATTTGATCCAATAATCCCACTACTAGGTATCTACCCAGAGGAAAAGAAGTTATTATATAAAAAAAGACACTTGCACCCACATTTATAGCTGCACAATTTGCAATTGCAAAAATATGGAACCAGCCTAAATGCCCATCAACCAACAAGTGAATAAAGAAAATGTGGTATATATACACCATGGAATGCTACTCAGCCATAAAAAGGAATGAAACGATGGCATTTGCAGTAACCTGGATGAAGTTGGAGAGCATTATTCTAAGTGAAGTAACTCAGGAATGGAAAACCAAATATCATATGTTCTCACTTTTAAGTGGGAACTAAGCTATGAGGATGCAAAGGCATGAGAATGATACAATGGACTTTAGAAACTCACGAGCAGAGTGAGGGCAGGCAGGGTGGGAAGGGGATGAGCGATAAAAGAGTACACATTGGAGCTGGGTGTGGTAGCTATTGCCTATAATCCCAGCAGTTTGGGAGGCCAAGGTGGGTGGATCAATTAAGGCCAGGAGTTCAAGACCAGCTTGGCCAACTTGGTGAGACCCCATCTCTACTAAAAATACAAAAATGAGGAGGGTGTGTTGATGCAACCCTGTAATCCTAGCTACTTGGGAGGCTGAGGCATGAGAATCACTTGAACTTGGGAGGTGGAGGTTGCAGTGAACCAAGATAGTGCCACTGCACTCCAGCCTGGGTGACAGAGTGAGACTCTGTCTCAAAAAAAAAAACAAAAACAAAAAAACAAAAAAAAATTAGGTCCAGTGTACACAGCTCATGTGATGTGTTCACCAAAATCTCAGAAATCACCACTAAAAAAAGTATCCATGTAGCCAAAAACCATTTGTTCCCCCAAAAACTATAGAAATAAAAATTTAAAAATAATAATAATAATTCAGTGGCTCAAACAAGATAAAGGTTTCTGATTCTGGGGAAAATGGAGTAAACATACCTTATGCTGAATACGGCTATTTGAGGACTCCAAAAATTATATGGTAGCTGGTGACTGGCAAAGAAGAGCGGAATTTAAAGTACCATAAAACTTATGGTGGGTTTACCATTTTTTCCCTTTTACATACTCAGGCTGAACTCTAAGCAACACAAAATTTATTTATTTATTTATTTGTTTATTTATTTACTGATGTATTTTGAGACAGAGTCTCTCTCTGTTGCTCAGGCTGGAGTGCAGTGGCATGATCTCGGCTCACTGCAACCTCCACCTCCCAGGTTCAAGTGATTCTCCTGCCTCAGCCTCCTGAGTAGCTGGGACTACAGGCGCCCGCCACCATGCTTTGCTAATTTTCGTATTTTCAGTAGAGATAGGTTTCCCCAGGTTGGCCAGGCTGGTCTAGAACTCCTGACCTTAGGTGATCCGCCCGCCTTGGCCCAAAGTGCTGGGATTAGAGGCGTGAGCCACATGCCCGGCCAAAGCAACACAAAATCTAAATGTGGGCATTTGCATGGGCAGAGGGATCTCCAGGACAAGCCCTCTAGTCCTGGCTCAAGGAGCAGGAGGGTCTCCTAAGGCTCAGAAAGTGTGGGAAAAGCACGTTTTTCTTTTTTTCTTTTCTCCACTCTCTCATACTCAACTCCTAGGAAATTCCATGGTGGCATGGCAGTGTCAGCAATAGTGGTGACAGCGGGGCCTACAAGAGTCTAAAATGCTAAGAGAGGGAAACTTTCCTCTGATAGAAGAGCTGTGATCCTCAGAGGGTGAGACAAACCTCCATCTCTTTTTTCTTCTTTCTGTCTTTCTGTGCTTGGCTCTGGATATCAGTGTAGTTGCAAAAAGTTCATGTACCATTGAGTGAATAAAAATAACCCCAACTTTCTGGTTGCAGAACCAAAAAGGGAGCCCCAGATAATCAGAAAGTACTAGGGAGATTTCTATAAAGGAGGAGATCAGGAAACAGCTCTACAAAATTGCTCCTGGGCTCACTTCCAAGTGGCACATGCACGGATCTGACCCTAAACAGCATACCATTGATTTTAAGAACTGAAGTACAGATACAGTATAAAACATTGCCAAGGTCCCAGACTAGCCACTGTGTGGTACGAATGCAAGACAGATTTGAATAGCACTGAAAAGGCTCTGAAATAAGAAATTACATTGAAACCACAGAAAGCTGGCTGGAACTTGTACCTGAACCCATCGGTTGATTGTCTGTTAAAACAAAACAAATACCCAGAATTCTATATCATAATATTCAAAATGTCCAGGATACAATTCAAAAGCAATCAGCATATGAAGAACCAGGGAAATCTCCATCTTGCATGGGAAAAGATAATCATCAGATACCAATGCCAAGATGACATACATGTAGGATTTATCTGATAAAGTTTTTTGTTGTTGTTTTGTTTTTAGATTTAGGGAGTACAAGTGCAGGTTTGTTACATGGATATATTGCATGATGCTGACACTGAGGTTTGGGGTTCTAATGATCCCATAGCCCAAATACTGAGCACAATAACCAATAGGTGGTTTTTAATCTTTTATCCCTCCCTACTCCCCTTTTGGAATATCCAGTGTTTAGTATGCCCATCTTTGTGTCCATGTGTACCCAAGGTTAACTTCCACTTATAAGGTATTTGATTTTCTCTCTGTCTTTTTTTTTAAATGGAGTCTCATTCTGTCACCCAGGCTGGAGTGCAGTGATGCAATCTCGGCTCACCGCGGCTTCCACTACCTCCTGGGTTCAGGTGATTCTCCTACCTCAGGCTCCTGAGTAGCTGGGACTACAGGTGCGTACCACCACACCTGGCTAATTTTTGGATTTTTAGTAGGACAGGGTTTTGCCATATTGGCCAGGCTGATCTTGAACTCCTGACCTCAAGTGATCTGCCTGCTTCTGCCTCCCAAAGTACTGGGATTAAAGGCTTGAGCCACCACTCCCAGCCTGGTTTTCTATTTCTGCATTAGTTCACTTAGGATAATGGCTTCCAGCTACATCCATGTTGCTGCAAAGGACATACGTTGATTTTTTATTATGGTGTGCATTATTCCGTGGTGCATATGTACCACATTTTCTTTATCCAACCCACTATTGATGGACACTTAGGTTATGTGTCTTTGCCATTATAAGTAGCACTGCAATGAGCATAAAAGTGCAAATGCCTTTTTGGTAGAACGATTTATATTCCTTTGAGTATGTACCCAGTAATGGGATTGCTGGGTTGAATGGTAGTTCTGTTTTAAGTTCTTTGAGAAATCTCCAAACTCCTTTCCACAGTGGCTGAACTAATTTGCATTCCTATCAACAGTGTGTAAGTGTTCCATTTTCTCTGCAACCTGGCCAACATCTGTTATTTTTTGACTTTTTAATCATAGCCATTCTGACTGGTTTAAGACAGCATCTCATTGTGGTTTTGATTTGCATCTCACTGATGCTTAGTGATTTGAGCATTTTTTCATATTTGTTGGCCACTTGTATGTCTTCTTTCAAGAAGTATCCGTTCTTGTTCTCTGCCCACTTTTTTAATGGGATTATTTTTTCCCTGCTGATTTATTTGAGTTCCTTATAGATTCTGATATTAGTCCTTTTTCAGATGCATAGTTTGCAAGTATTTTCTTCCATTCTGTATGTTGTTTACTCTGTTGATAATTTATTTTGCTGTGCAGAAGTTCTCTAGTTTAATTAGGTCCCAATTTTCCATTTTTTTGGTTGCATTTGCTTTTGAAGATTTAGTCATAAATTCTTTGCCTAAGCCGATGTCTAGAAGAGTATTTCCTAGGTTTTCTTCTAGGATTTTTATAGTTTGAGGTCTTATCCTAGGTTTTCTTCTAGGATTTTTATAGTTTGAGGTCTTATGTTTAAGTCTTTAATCCATCTTGAGTTAATTTTTGTATGCAGTGAGAGGTAATGATCCAATTTCATTCTTCTGCATATGGTTAGCCAATTTTCCCAGCACCATTTATTGAATAGGTTATCCTTTGCCCACTACTTTTGTCAAGCATGTTGAAGATAAGTTGGTTGTAGGTGTGTGGCTTTATTTCAGGGGTCCCTATTTCTATACCATTTGTCTATATGTTTGTTTTGTTTTGTTTTTAACAAGTACCATGCTGTTTTGGTTACTATAGCCTTGAAGTATAGTTGGAAGTCAGGTAATGTGATGTCTCTGGCTTTATTTTTTAAATTAGGCTTGCCTTGGCTATTCAGGCTGTTTTTTGGTTCCACATGAATTTCAGAATAGTTTTTTCTAAATCTGTAAAATATGACATTGGTAATTTGATAGGAACACATTGAATCTGTAGACTGCTTTGGGGAGTATAAACATTTTAACAATATTGATCTCCAATTCATGAGCATAGAATGCTTTTCATTTGTTTGTATCATCTATGATTTATTTCAGCAATGTTTTGTAGTTCTCCTTGTAGAGATCTCTCACCTCCATGGTTAGATGTATTCCTAGATATTTTATTTGTGTGTGTGTGTGTGTGTGGCCATTGTAAATCAAACTTCATTCTTTAAAAAAAAAGAAGAAGAAGAAGAAGTAGAGATGGGGTCTTGTTATGTTGCCCAGGCTAATTTCAAACTCCTAGGCTCAAGTGATCCTCCCATTGTGGCTTCCCCAAGTGCTGGGATTACAGGTGTGTGCCACTGTGCCTGGCCTTGGATCATGTTCTTGATTTGGTTCTCAGCTTGAACATTACTGGTGTATAGAAATGTTACTGATTTTCGTATGTTGATTTTGTATCATAAGACTTTGCACATCAAAAAGTTAATTCACTGTGATCAAGTGAATTTATTCCTGGGATGTAAGGAAACAAACACAGACCCATAAATGTGATTCACCACATAAATAAAATTAAAAAATGATATGATCATCTTAATAGATGTAGAAAAATGTTCAATAAAATCCAACATCCCTTCATGATATTTAAAAAAACCCTCAACAAATTAGGCTTCAAAGGAATATATCTCAAAATTATAAGAGCTACCTATGACAAACCCACAGCCAACATCATACTGAATGGGCAAAAGCTGGAAATATTCCTCCTAAGAACTGGAAAAAGGCAAGGACGTACACTCTCACCACTTCTTTTCAATACAGTGCTAGAAGTCCTAGCCAGAACAATCAGGCAAGAGAAAGACATAAAAGGCATCCAAATAGGAAAAGAGGACGTCAAGTTATCTCTCTTTGCTGATGCTATGATGTTATACTTGGAAAACTCTAAAGAGTTCACCAAAAGATTACTAGACCTGATAAAGATTTTTAAAGTAGCAATTATGAAAATGCTCCAAGAAGTAAGAGTAGATACTCTCAAAATGTAAAAAAATCATAAAGTCTCAGCAAAGAAATTGAAGATATAAAGAAGAAATAAATGAAAAATTTAGAACTAAAACACACAAAACTGAAAAAGAAAGCGATCAGTGGGCTCAACAGATAAAACTTACACTTTTTTCTAACTTAGATGACCTGAAGACACATCAATAAAATTTACCCAAAGTGAACAACAGAGAAGAATTGTTTTAAAAAATGAATAGAGCGTCAGGGATCTGTGGGATGATACCAAAAGATCTAGCATTTATGTTGTCAGAGTTCCAAAAAGGGAGGATAAAGAGAGCAGCACAAAAAAAAGTATTTAAAGATATAATGGCTTAGAAATCTCCAAATTTGGTGAAAGACATAAATCTACAGACTCAAGAAGCTCAGCAAACTACAATTGGATAAACTCAAAGAAATCCATGCCCAGACACATTGTAAGCAAACTTATAAATCAACAACCACAACAAAACTCATCTGAAGTTGACCAGAAGAAAATGACACATTATTTATAGACTGCAACAATTCAAATGGCTGTGGAATTCTCGTTAGTAACTATAGAAGACAAAGGGAAGTGAAACATTTTAGTGCAACAAGGAAAAACACTGTGAAACCACAATTTTATATCCAGTAAAAATATCCTTCAAGAAAGCAGGCAAAATAAATTTAAAAAATTCTGATGAAGTAAAACTAAGAGCCAGAAGAACTGCTTTAAAATTATTGTTAAAGAAAGTCCTTCAGACAGAAGGAAAATGCTACCAGAAGGAAACTTGAGACATTAGTAATGAAGAGAGAGCAACAAAAATGGTAAATATATAGGTAAATACAAGAGACTATTCTTCTCCTCTTGAGTTCTTAAAAAGTTTTTGACTACTGAAAGTAAAAAATGAGAAAATATCTAGAACTGAACAAGAATGAAAAATACAACATATCAAAATTTTTAGATACACTGAAAGCATTGCTTAGAGAGATTTATAGTATTAAATGCTTATATTAGCTAAGAAGAAAGTTCTCAAATTAATAATCTAAATTTTCACTTTGAGAAACCCAAAAAAGATGAGCCAAATAAACCAAAACCTAGCACAAGGAAGAAAAAAATAAAGATAAGAGCAAAAATCAATGAAACTGAAAATTGAAAACCAATAGAAAAAAATCAACAAAATCAAAAGCTCAATAAAACTTATAAGCCTTTATTTAGTCAGACTGGCAGTACAAGAGAGAGAGAAAATAAGGGAAAGAGAAATTACCAATATCATAAATGAATATAAAGGATGGAATATGACTATAGACCTTGTAGACATGAAAATGATAATAAAGGAATACTACAAACAATAAAACCCTACACACAAAAATTCAACAACTTAGATGAAATGGACTAATTTCTCAAAATTCACAAACTACAAAACTCATCCAAAATGAAATAAATAACTGGATTGTACTATAGCTATTAAAGAGACTAAATTTACAGTTTAAAGTCTTGCAAAAAAGGAAGCCCCAAGCCCAGATGGTTCCACTGGCTAATCTGCAAAATGTTTAAAGGAGAAATAACATCGTTTCTACGCAATTTCTTTCAGAAAATAGAAGATGAGGGAATACTTTCCAACTTACTTTATGAGGCCAGCATTATCCTGATAAAAAAAGCAGACAAAAATAGTACTAGACAAGAAAACTTGAGACCAATATAGCCCATAAATAGAAACACAAAAACCCCAGCAAAATGTTAGCAAATTGAATCCAGCAATATATTAAAAAAAAATAGGCACTACAATCAAAGGAGTTTATCCTGGTAATTGCAGTGTTGGTTCAATATTTGAAAATGGTTCGATATAATCCTTCATGTTAATACCAAAAACAGCCTTAAGAAAATGAAAAGACCTTGAAAACGATTCACATGTTTTTAAAAGAAAAGAAAATGAAAGGGCAAACAAACCACAGACAGAAAGAAAACATGTGCAAAACAAAACATATATCTGACAAAAAAATTGCATTCAGAATATATAAAGAATTCTCAAGACTTTACAAAGAGAAATTGGACGAAAGATTTGAACAGATATTTTACCAAAGAAGATATATTGATGGCCCACAAGCACATGAAAAGATGCCCTAAATTCTTAGTCATTAGGGAAATTATAACTACAATTTACCCGCTAGGTGGGCTGAAATTAAAAAGGTTGACAATACTAAGCCTTGGTGAATGTGGAGCAACTAGAATTGTCACACATTGTTAGCAGCAATACAAAATGATATAGCCACTTTGAGAATCAGTTTGGCAGTTATTTAAACAGTTAAATATACACTTACCATATGGGCTGGCAATTTCACTCCCAGATATTTACCCAAGAAAAACAAAAACATGTCCACACAAAACTTGTATGCCATGAATATTTATGGCATAAGCATTCATAATAGCCAAAAATGTTAACAATGCAAATGTCCACCATCTAATGAACAGATCATCAAAATATAGTACATCCATGTAATGGAATACGACTCAGCAATTAAGATGAATGGACTAATGATACATGTAATAATGTGGATGAATCTCAAATATATCATGCAAAACGAAAGGAACTAGTCACAGAAGACAACATACTGTGTAATTCCATATATAAGAAATTCTAGAAAAGCAAAGACTATAGCAACCTGAAGCAGCTCAGTGGCTCCCTGTGGGAAAGGATGGACTGCAAAAGGGCAGAAGGGAAATTTTTGAGGGTGATAGAAGTGTTTTAAAACTGGAGGCCAGGTGCAGTGGCTCACGCCTGTAATCCCAGAACTTTGGGAGGCCGAGGCAGGTAGATCACTTAAGGTCAGGCATTCGAGACCAACCTGGCCAACATGGTGAAATCCTGTTTCTATTAAAAATACAAAAAAATTAGCTGGGCATGGTGGTGCACGCCTGTAGGTCCCATATACTCGGGAGGCTGAGGCAGGAGAATTGCTTGAACTCAGGAGGTGGAGGTTGCAGTGAGCCAAGATCACACCACTGCACTCCAGCTTGGGTGACAGAGTGAGACTCAGTCTCAAAAAAAAGCAAAGGTGTTTTAAAACTGGATTGTGGGATGTGGTTGCAAGATTATATACATTTACTACAACTCATTCACTTATAAACTTAAAATGGGCCAGGCGCAGTGGCTCACACCTGTAATTCTAGCACTTTGGGAGGTCAAGGTGGGTGGATCATCTGAGGTCATGAGTTTGAGACCAGTCTGTCCAACGCAATGAAACCCCATCTCTACTAAAAATACAAAACAAATTAGCCAGGTGTGGTGGCACACACCTGTAGTCCCAGCTACTCAGGAGGCTGAGGTGGGAGAATCGCTTGAACTTAGGAGGCGGAAGTTGCAGTGAGCCAAGATCCCACCACTGCATTGCAGCCTGGGAGACAGAGTGAGACTGTCTCAAAACAACAAAAAACAAAAACTTAAAGTGGGTGCATTTATTACATGTAAATCATGCCACAATACAGATGTAAACATCAAAATGAAGATTAACTGAAGATATTTTCAGAGAGAATGCAATGCCAGCTGCTGTGAACTGAGAAAAACTCTGGGGAGTTCTTGACACTAAGGGAGGGGAATCTCAGATGAAGCATAGGCATGCACGAAAGAATGGAGAGCACTGGAAAGCGTAAATATGGGGTTCAGTATAAAAGAATATTGACTGTTTAAAACAAGACCAATGCATACGTAGGAATAAAATACATGGTAACAATAGCACAAACTGTGGGAGTGAGGTAAATGCAGTTAAACTGCTGGAAAGGTACTTGCCTTATTTAGGAAGTGGTAAACCCAAAAGTACTCATTTAAATTAGACTTAATACATGAAGGACGCATATTGTTATCTCTAGCATAACTACTGTAAGAATTATGGAAGAATGTATAACTGAAAATCAAATGAAAGAGAAAAATGGAATATTAAATAACGTTTTCATAATCCAGAAGGCGGCAAGAAATGAGAAATAAAGGAACCAAGTACAAGAGGACAAATAGAAAACAAATAGCAAGATGTTATACCATTAAAATTAATTATTTTAAATGTAAATGGTCTACGATTCAATTAAAAGACAAAGTTGACCAGACTGAATAAAAAAACAAAACCCAGATGTATGCAATTTCACGGTCACAGATTAAATAGAGAAATGTTGAAAATGGAAGGTTAAATGTCATTTAACACTAATCAAAGTAAATCTGGTGTAGTTATATTAATATTAAAGTAGATACTGAGGCAAGAAGTATTGCCAGAGATTTAAAGGGACATTTCATAAAGGGGCATTTTATAATTTCATAATGATAGAAAGATATTAAAATATTACTCATTTCTATCTTCCTTTCTTGTGTTACGTACTACAATTATCTAACAATAGAATAACTACCTTCAGGTAAGATGATTATTCCAAAGTGCCTTGTCATTCAAATGCAAAGACATGATGAAACCAATTTTTAAAAAATTGTTACATATCCATGCCTCCCATTAGACCTTTAAGAAGGACACCTTTGAAAATGTTAGGACTATACTGAAAAGGTTAGGACCTTTGCTGATCACCAAAGATTTTAATTGTGCTTACAGAATTAACATGTGTAAAATACTCATTGTATCTGTTCTGCTTAATATTCTGTTTCTCTTTCTTCTTCATCCTCCTGAAATCATGGGCAGTGAATTCACTCAGAAAACAGGAGTTAGGTAGCACTGCCAAAACAGACCAGTATCATTAGCTTAGTGAAATAGTTCAGGGGTGAGACTTTTATCAGCTATTAAATGTCTTGATAGGAGTTCAGTCATTACCAGTCTTTTAAAAAATAACTTTGCTGTACCTTCATGTTCAGCTAATTTTTTTCTGTAGGCACAGCTAGATCCTAACATATGTTTAAATAGAAAGTAATCAATGTAAAGCTATAGAACATCACATAAATGTCAGGTTCTGTTACTATTCACCGAACTCTGAATGTCATCATTCAGAAACCACATATGGCTCAGTGAGGTGCTTTTGCTCATAAAAACCCTTTTGTTTTTCTCAGGGAGCAGAAGCCGGAGGAAGAGACACTCTCTAAGCATTGAACCAAAAGCTATCCAGATAGAACACTGTGAAGGATAAGCAGAAAGAGTCCGTCGTTCAATGACTTCATTTGAATCAGAACTAACAACCACCACAACAAAGTAGGGGGACAGTCATTTCTAAGCCTTGATGTCTTATAAGCTGGGCAAACTAAAGTGTACCGTAACCGTATGTCACACTGAAACTGGGTGATTTGAGATGTGGCAGGGTGCAGGGCCCTCAGAGGAGGGAGTGGTCAGCAAAACCCAGAGGAAGGCTTCTGTGTGGAGAGGATAGGCTGAAGGGAGCTAAAACTTTTGGTCAGCGGAGCAAGAGAAAGCTGGGAAAGCTAGGAAAGAGAGCATAAATACCCTGGCCTCACTTTTCTTTTTTTTTCTTTTCTTTTTTTTTTTTTTGAGATGGAGTCTCGCTCTGTGGTCCAGGCTGGAGTGCAATGGCACGTTCTCTGCTCACTGCAACCTCCACCTCCCGGGTTCGAGCAATTCTCCCGCCTCAGCCTTCCGAGTAGCTGGGACTACAGGCGCCTGTCACCATGCCCGGCTAATTTTTGTATTTTTAGTAGAGATGGAGATTTTACCATGTTGGCCAGGCTAGTCTGGAACTCCTGACCTCAGGTGATCTGCCCACCTCGGCCTCCTAAAGTGCTGGGATTATAGGCATGTGCCACCGCGCCCAGCCAGGAAATAGATTTTCAATTAGTTGGGCCTGGCTCTTTTCCCTCCTTCTTTTTCCTTCTGCCAGGAGTCCCCATTGGCTGAATACAACTGGAAACCGGAAGTCAAGTTGGGCTAGCCTCCATACACACAAAGTAAGATTGAAAAGGCTAGTCTCTGCCAGAGGGGACCTGGAGGAGCATAGGGAAGCTATCTAGCACAGGATTGTTGCTGCAATGTTTAGGAAAAAAGACACCACCATCTGAGCTTAAATCACAGCTTGTGATAAACTGTGTGCTGTATGACTTTGTGGAAGCCACCTGGCTGCTCTAAGCCATGACAATGTCTTATTCTGTTAAAATGAGGGAAATAATATCTCTGTGAGATTCACAGAGTTATTGTGAGGATAAGGTCAGTATGTGTAACATTTAGCCCAGTGCCTGGCACACAGTAAGTGCTAGATACCTGGTAAATTACTTTCCCTCCTCCATAAAACCTATTCCCTGCTTGCCTTTTTTAAACCAAGCCTAGATATCGACTTTCTTTTTCAGTGTTAGCATGCATTAGAGAAATCCTCTTATTTCTACAAGCCCTGGGCAAGTTTCAGGATCATTTCTATATCAGATATAGCACAGTAATAATTGCCTTAAGTCAGGATATTACTTAGGCAGAAAGCGTTTATTTTTTAATTCTTCAGAAATGCTGCACATACTGCAGGGACTAATTTGACTCTTAGCAAATAATTCAGCATAAATTGCCACTTATGTACCAGAAGCCACATTTTATTTCCTAGGACATCTAGACATTAGACATCAGCTGTGCCCTATATGTTTGTTTCAGGTAATGCGATTCCCCCAGCATGCAGAAAATTTTCACTGCTTTGCCATTTGGGGAAGCTCAAAAGATTTACTATAAGTCAGTTGCTCGTTCCAAGGATTAGAGCATTTTTACTTGTAAAACTGCACACCAATTTACAATGTCATTTCCAAGTTCTGATGGAAAGTCTCTAATGTATTTCTCTTCTCATTTAATGTTTTTATCCATTATCCTCTAGGCTGGAATATTTTCTGTTATCCTATTCACCCAGAGTAATTCCAAAACAATGGAGGCAAGGCCTCTAGAGGCATCTGGACCGTGTCCAGGATGCAGGCTTTCTCTGTGGTGCTCTGATGACAAGGGGAAAAAATCAAGGACGTTGAGCGCAGTTTTGAAAAAGGCTCACAAAATGATCATAATGCTTAAATGTGTATCCACTTTCTACTTTACTAAGTAACTTCATAGCCATTATGTCAACTGAGGTGGGACAGGAAAAATTACCTGCTTGCTCTTAACAGATGAGTAAACCAGTTCTACAAGATGTTAAGTAGTTTGCCCAGGGCCTTCCAATAATTTGGGTTGGCAAAGGATGAGAATATAGGTCTTGAAATTATTCTAAAGTGCTTATCCAGGAATGAAAAAGTAAACTTACTAAATTGACATCCTAGAGTCACTTGCTGACTGCCTGTTGTCTGTAAAAGAATAAAATAAAGACTACCTACCAGAGCTTTAACATCAAAAAAGAAAGCAGAGCACCTGTAGTCCCAGATACTTGAGAGGATCACATGAGCCAGGAGTTGGAGGCTGCAGTGAGCAGTGACCACAACACAGCATTTCAGCCTGGGTGACAGAGCAAGACCCTGTCATCAGTTAAAAAACAAAAACAAAACAAAACAAAAAAATCACTGACTAGTTTGCTGAGGGGGAAAGTCAGAATTTTGTAAATGCTGTAGAAGTGGAGGGGATTCAAGGTGGTTATGCTAATTAAGCCCTGAAAACTAATGTTCTGAAGAGGACAGACCCAGACCATAAGTCTTACATGACTGGTTAAAACAAGACCCATTGCTCTTCGGATGGGGGAATCTTCAGTTAGGCCCAGTGAGGGTCTCTGTGAGGGCAGGTGGGTCACTAAAAGTTGACATTCCTTTATCAGCTTCAGCAGGTTGCAATAGTTAAGCACAGGATTCACTTTTGACATCTTCACAAACTCTCAAACTTCTCAAACGTTCATCAGAATCCCCTGGAGGGTTTCCTGGGCCCAACCCGAGAGTTTCTAATTCAGCAGGTCTGGAGTAAAACCTCAGAATCTGCAGTTTTGTCAAGCACCCAAATGGTGCTTTGCAGCTGGTTCAGGGTCCATGCTTTGAGAACCACTATCCTAGACACATGATGCTCTAAATAGAGTTTTAATTTGATACCAACCTCCTCTTTAGGATCTAACTACTAAATGACTCCCTCACACCCAGGAAGGACAGTGATTTCTCCTCATAATAGCCTTCATATCCACTTATGGAAGACTTGGCTTTTCTTGCAACAGTAGCTCTCGGAGCACGGAACTATTGTATGGGGGAGTAGGGAAGGCATAAAGAAATTGCTAATAGGATCTAAAGTCAACGCAACTTCATACATTTATCCGTTCATTTCCCTTCCTTGGGAGGAATCAGTACTGAATGACTTGATTTGCCTTTTTAAAAAATAGCATCATATCCATTGATTCAATCTCATTACATTTAGAATTTGCTTCTATTGCCTTACCCTCCCAGATCAATAACCATATTTTTCCGTGCTCATAACTTTCTCCTATCTTATTTTTGTCAGTTTACAATCTGCTCTATTTTTTACTATGACTCAGCTTTACAGTTCTCCACACTGAGAATTCTCCTAGTAAAAATCCAGCGTTCTTCACTTAGACCCTCTTTGCTCCTTTTCTGAGCGCATATCCCTCACTGCCTCATATTAGTTATTTGTGTGCCTGCTTGTGTCTTCCAGTGGATTGGTGTCTATGAGGAGAAGGAGCTTACTGTGAGGTGTTGTTTTCTTCCCAACACCAGTCCAGGCCCTGCTCATAATAGACAATAAACATTGGTTTTGGTCTCTTGGCAGTTTTGAATCAGATATGCCTCAGCTGATTATTTTTAAAATTTTTATTTAGAATCTCATAAGTAAAATTCATATTTTTTGACTTGTAGTTCTGAGTCATGACAAACACATAGTGATGTAATCAAACCACAATTAAGACTTGAAACAGCTCCATTATTCCCTGCATACATGCTGCCCTTTTGTGGTTAAAAACAAAAACAAAACAAAAAAAACTCCCCTTTCCCTGAGTTCCTGGAAACCACTGATCAGTTCTCTGTCCCTGTAGTTTATCCTTTCCTTAATGTCATGTAATAGGAATCCTATAGTATGTATCCACTGGCTTGTTTCACTTAGAAAAATGCATTTGAGAGTCATTTATTTTGGTGCATATACAATAGTTCATTCTTTATTGCTGAATAGTGTTCCACTGAATGGATACACAATCTGTTTATACATTCGCCAGTTGTAAGACGTTCGGGTTGTTGCCAGTTTGGGGCATTTATGAGTAAAGCTTTTATAAATATTCACTTGTAGGTTTCTGTGTGAACATAAATTTTCATTTGTATTGGATAAACACCTACGGGTGTGATTGCTGAGTGATACTGTAAGTGTATGTTTAACTAAGAAACTGCCAACGTTTTCTAAGAATACAATATGACTGTATCATTTGATCTTTTTATCAGCAATATGAGTTCCAGTTACTCCACATCATCCCCATAAGCTCTTGGAATTATCAGTTTGTTTCATTCTGTTTTGTTTTGCTTTGTTTTGCTTTAGTCATCCTAATAAGTGTACAGTGTTATCTCATTATGGTTTTAATTTGCATTTTCCTAATAAATAGTGATGTTGAGCATCTTTCCATGTATTTTTTTTTTTTTTGCCATCATGTATTAACTTCTTGTTTTTGGGGGGTTTTTTTGTTTTTGTTTTTGTTTTTGTTTGTTTTTGAGACAGAGTTTCCCTCTGTCACCCAGGCTGGAGTGCAGTGGCATGATCTCGGCTCACAGCAACCTCTGCCTCCTGGATTCAAGCAGTTCTCCTGCCTCAACCTCCTGAGTAGCTGGGATTACAGGCGCCCCCCACCACACCCGGCTAATTTGTGTATTTTTGGTAGAGACGGGGTTTCACCATGTTGGCCAGGCTGGTCTCGAACTCCTGACCTCAAGTGATCTGCCCACCTTGGTCTCCCAAAGTGTTGGGACAACAGGCATAAGCCACCGTGCCCGGCTGTATTACCTTCTTTGACAAAGTATCTGTTCAAACCTTTTCCTCATTTTTTTATTGGGTTGTTTTCTTACTGTTGAGTTTTTTGAAAGTTCTTTATATATTTTTGAATAAAAGGCCTTTGTCATATATGTGATATGCAAATAGTTTCTCCCAATGTGTAGCTTTTCATTCATTCTCTTAGTGATGTCCATGCAATGTAAAACTAAGTTTTAATGAAGTCCCCATTTATCAATTTTTTTTTCTTTTAGGGATTATACTTTTGCTGTTCTAAGAACTCTGTCTAGCTCCAGTTCACAAAGATTTTCTCCTGTTTTCTTCTAAAAGTTTTATAGTTTTACATTTATATTTAGTTACACGACCCATTTTGAGTTAATTTTTATATAAAGCTTGGGATATAGTTTGTGGTTCACTTTTATGCATATGGACATCCAATTGTTCCTGCACCATTTGTTACAAAGACTGTCCCTTCTCCTTTAAATTTAATTTGCACTTTGTCAAAATTCAATTGACCATATTTGAGTGTCTATTTCTGGATTCTCTATTCTGTTCCCCTGATCTCTCTGCCTATCTTTTGCCAATACCACACAGTCTTGATTCCTATAGCTTTTTAGTAAGTCTTGAAACCAGGTGATATGAATCCTCCAACCATGTTATTATTTTTCAAAATTCTTTTGACTATTCTAATTCCTTTGTCTTTCCATATAAATTTTAGAACCAGCTTGTGAATATCTACAAAAAAATAGTACCTTCAGCTGATTCTGTTTTTTTTTTGTTTGTTTTTTGTTTTTTGTTTTTGAGACAGAGTCTCACTCTGTCACCCAGGCTGGTGTACTGTGGCACGATCTCGGCTCACCACAACCTCCGCCTCCCGGGTTCAAGCAATTCTCCTTCCTCAGCCTCCTGAGTAGCTGAGATTACAGGCACCTGCCACCATGCCCAGCTAATTTCTGTATTTTTAGTAGAGACAAGGTTTCACCATGTTGGCCAGGCTGGTCTTGAACTCCTGACCTCAGGTGATCCACCCACCTTGGCCTCCCAGAGTGCTGGGATTACAGGCGTGAGCCACCGTGCCCAGCCACCTTCAGCTGATTTTTAACTTGCACCATTTACTTTGGCTAGCTTATGGGCCTCAAACTTCAATGTGCTTAAGAATTTTAAAAACACCCATGTCTGGGCCTGATCTGAATATTCTCATGCAGTAGAGAATGAGAATGCTGCCAGGGGCTGAGGCATTTCCATTTTAACACTGTCCCTAAGTTGATCTGATGTTGTTGGCGATGGACCATGATTTGAGAAACATGGACCTTGCTTCACTGGAACCTAGAAAATGCTCCACAGGCTTTGATGAATCTTACATATATGACATCCACAAACCTGGTGAAAGGACATGATTCTGGGTTCAATTAATTCTAAAAGCTGGCAAGTAATACGCATTACACAATATATGGCCAATCACTAGTGTCCAGCTGGTGCTGGAACCCAAACTGGAGCCTCACAGATGACAAGCTGCTCTGCTTTAGGTGATAAGAAAAATGATGTGGAGTCCCAGGTCCCATGAATAGCTCTGTGATATTTATCCCATCTACCAATTCCATGAACATTTTCTTATAGTAAGGGCAGAATTCTCAAACTATTCTCAAACAAGGAAATATTAGATTGGAAAGATTCACAAGGTGAGAGAGTTACAAGGAAAAAATATTAATCAAATGAATATGTTCTCTAGAGAAAAATCAAATTAATGGCCAAAAATATTAACTTTGTTTTACATTGAAATATTGATTAACCAACTTGCCCAGGGAATTGGACATTCTTTTTAATTTAATTTCCTGGGTAATGGGAGATAGAAGGTTAACTGGAAAAAAATCTCCCGTAGAAAAATCTTTCTAAAATGGATTATGTTCTGCCTTAATTTATTACTAAGCACTCATTGCTTTGCTTGTTTCCTAAGGGTAAAAAATAACAACTTAAAAAAGACCAAAGTGAATTTAAAAGGCTTCTCACAGGTTCCTAAACTAAGAAGCTAACCGAATAGTCTTGGCAAACAGGTGGGAAGAGATCAACTAATTATTGTAGAGTGCTGCTGGGGAAGTGATCTTTCCAGGTGTTAATTGCTTTGCTAATAGGCCAAGGCTGCTTAGAAAGAGGGAGACCAACCTACAGACTTAAAAGAGCCTTCTCAGAAGCCCTAGAGTCAGCAGTGAAGTGAATCAGGCCCTTAGTACAGAGGCCCGGCATATGGTGACAATGTTGGTTCCCAAGGGGAGAAATAACTGGGAGAGCCCACCTAAAAAAGGACTCTTCTTTGGCTTAAATTTTTTCAAATAACCACCTACTTTCAAATCTTTCTGTAACATTTCTTGAGACACCATAAGGAGGCTTGATGAATATTTTAAAGGGCAATGTAGTCTAGGGGTTCCTACGTGTACATGCGCTCATTTACTGCCTGCTGCTTATTGTGACCTTGGAAAAGTCACTCCACCTCTCTATGCCACAGCTTCACCATCTGCAAAATGGGGGAAATAACACCACCTACCTCATGGAGTTTATTGTTGTGAAAATCAAATGGTTAGGCTGGGAGCAGTGGCTCACACCTGTAATCCCAGCACTTTGGGAGGCCAAGGTGGGCGGATCACATGAGGTCAGGAGTTCGAGACCAGTGTGGCCAACATGGTGAAACCTTGTCTCTACTAAAAATACAAAACAAAATTATTTGGGCATGGTGGTGCATGCCTGTAATCCCAGCTATTCAGGAGGCTGAGGCAGGAGAATTGCTTGAACCCAGGAGGTGGAGGTTGCAGTGAGCCAAGATCGTGCCACTGCACTCCAGCCTGGGCGACAGAGCGAGACTCTGTCTCAAAAACAAAAGAAAAGAAAAGAAAGAAAATGGGTTAATATGTAATTATAACATGCTCAGAACATTCCCTGAATAGCCGTCGCTACTCCGGTGTCAGACATTACTATTACTAAAAAGTTATTTCTTTATGAGAGAGGAATTAAGACCTAGAAAGCATACTCTCTGGGGAAGATGTTATAGGACTTGAGCGTGGGTGCTGTTTCTCTTTTTGCTTGAGTTTCCAATCAAATATTTATTGTGTATATGCAAGGTGGTCACCTTCTTAGAAGACAGAACACTAAGATTTGATGAGCACCCCTGTAAAAAATGTACCATCCTCAAGGTTGACCAAAGAGAACGTGCTGGTGAGAGTCACTTGTCTTTATGGTTTGCCCCTTTAATACTGAGCACCTCCTTCCTAAAGGCTCTAATTAAAACATAGATGAATGGTCCTTCCCTTGAAAACTATAGCACAGCCTCTACGAGGCTAGATTTTTCCAAAACGGCTGAGCTCCAAACTGGGATCATAACCAATGGGAAAATAAACACAGAGAATACCACTGATTGAGACAATCTAAATCACAAGCATGGCTTATTCTCCAGACATTTAAATCTGTCCCATTCCCTTGGACCTTGGAGTAAATGAGGTCTTGCCCGGGCCCCTCTACTCAGAGAATGAAATATTTAACCACATCCAACCTACTGTCTACTCAGAGACAGTGAGGCCCCTGCATGTGTAACTGAGGATGAGCTGGGCTCCCTCTGGCCTACCTACGGCCCACCCTCTCATTGAAGGCTTCCATGCTGAATGTCCTGCCACATTAGAAATGGATAACTGTTTTCAGCTGTCTCAGAAACCAACACAGTATCACTCAACATTCATGTTAGCCGCAGAACTAACATTTCCTTGCTATCTCTCTGGTGCTGCAATTTACCATGAGAAAGGGAGAGGATTTTCAGAGAGTCTTTAAGAAATTATACTGGAAAAAAAATAAATAAAAAAGATCCCGAAGAGGCAGAGATAATTCAAAATAATTATCAAGAGGCCGAAAAGTAGAAAGAGTGCCTAGAGGAACCAGAGTATCCATGGGGCTTTTGGGATGAAGGTAGATCCAGGAATACAGAAGCAGTAGCAGCACATCCTGCTCCACCAGGTGCTGAGAAGCACGTGTTCTCCTAGCATCCTAGAGAGATAGATAACGTCCCCATAGGATGAAATGCTTTATTTTACAGACATAGGCTTCCTTCCTCCACCTCAAACTAGACTTCTAGGCCCCTCGATGATAGGTCACCTTGTAAGTCATGGTCAGGCCAGGATATGAGACTGTGTCATGAAAGGGAATGAAACCTGGTTCCCTAATGCCGTCGAATCTGAGTTGGCATGCTCAAGCAAGATATGGCAGCATAGAGGTCTCCCTTCAAGGCAGAGCTTGCTGCTCAGCTGCAAAGATCCAGTTAGCTAACAGCCTGAAGCTGCAATGCCAAGACCATGCTCTTCCCATGCAGCCTCCAGTCAGGAGCTAAGCATGGTGGGGGCCTGGGCGTGGTCATTTCTACCCAATGTGGGACTCTTCTAACAGACCATCTTTAATCCAGAATTCTCCACTGGGTCGACCAAGACTGTCAGATCTGCATTGCAGTTTGATGGTCTTCCTTCACAATTCTACTTTCTTCCCCTCTTTCTTTTCACAGATGTCATATCTGCATTATGGTCTAAAGCCTTCCCCACTCTGTCCTGCTTCCTTCCCTTGTCTTTCACAGGTGTCATCCCTACCCATACATCCCCACCCCCAATAAATGTCTCACACTCCCTACTGTGTCTCAGCATCTGCTTCCTGGAGGACCCAACTGACACAGTTGCTATAGACCATGATTCAAGAAAGCAGGTGACAAGATGAGCTGCTGGGCCTTATCCCTCCTGCCCTACTAACAATGAGAAATCTCATTCTGGATGGTTTTGTGAGTGATAGGGGATATAGTTCATCCCACTAACCTTCCTCTTCTAAGATTTTCCTCAGGGAGATGGGCCCAGTAGAATCCTAGAGGAGCTGCTCCCTGAAAGTGTACAGGGAAGGAGAACCACATGGCACACAGGAGGACTGTGGCAGCCATGGAGGTGCCCCACTTGACCCTTCAAGAAAGGACTAAACATTTAGCTGCCAGGATCTACCTCAACTTTCAAGCCCAAGCCATGCTTTTCCCAGGCAGCCCCTAGTCAATGGCCAAATAGGGATGGTAGGCCTGGCCATTTCTGATCATTGCTAGACACCTCTAATAGGCAGTCTTCGCTCTAGATCTTCTCATTGGCTTGGCCGAGACTCTGTTAGATCTGCAGCATGGTCCGAAGTTCTCCCTGCCCAGTTCTGCTTCCTTCTCACTTTCCTTTCATCACTGTCAGATTCACATCACAGTCTGAAATCTTTCCCTGCCCCAGCCTGCTTTCTCCCCCTTTATTTTAACTCTTAAACTCTTGACTCTGTCCCATCACATTCTCAGAGGAGCCAAACTAATACACAGGGCTCATTGGCCCTTGAGAACTCCTCCAAGAATATGAGCCCACTGTGCCCTCCCTCAGGAGACAATGCCTCCCACTGAATCCCCACCACAAAAGGCTCTCAGGGTCACAGGCAGAAGCTTAATGTACCAGCACTATCTGGGCTCTTCTAGTCAAAAATTGTGCCTTTGGAGGATTAAGACTGCTGCAAGTGAAAAGGGTCTCAGAAGATGATGTCAATATTTTTTCTTCTCAACTCTGGTTTACAATACCAAAATAACAGATTCCTGATAAACAAGGCAAGAGATGCCTGTTGAGAAGATTAGAAAAAATGTTTCAGAAACAAAGCTCACTAGTCAAAGGGATTTGCTTGCATGAAGTTTGGAGGAAAAGAAGAGAAAGGGTGAGAAGAAATTTCTAAATCATGTAAATAGAAGTTAACATGTATGGCATGAAAAGAAGATTCATAGAGGGAGGAAGAAAAGCTCAGAAATTCTCAGTAATTCCAAGAAAATAGCAGAAGACCAGATTGGGAATAATACTGAAGGCTCAATTATTGATATTGCAATGCATAAGATAATATAATATACCTGAAACTTTAAAACAAACAAATTCTCCCTAATTGGGTTTCCCAGGAAGCAGATCCTGAGATGGAGATGGCATTTAGGGAGTTTATTAGGGAGTGGTCTTGGAACTAATGCCCGTGGAACAGAAGCAGCAAGATTGAGCAGAGGGAGAAGTAGAGCTCCAATGCAATCTTAGTGAACTGTGTCAGCCAGCGCTGCTGAGGAATTCTGAAGACGTGACCACCCTCAGAGCTGTCCTGAATTGAGCATGAGAGACCACTGAATGGGTGCAGGCTACCCTGGAAGGGGCATATTTGTGAGGGATGAGGCCACTTTCCTCTGCTGAGGCAGTCCCCAAAGGGACTGACAGTTGAAGACCAGCTTCAGTGGCACTCCCAGTCGCTGGAGTAATAATTCCTTTATTCCTGAAGGGGAATGAGGGGTGCATCATAGCATCTAACACTCACATAAATATGACGTCCTAAATGTTACTGACACTTGAGGAAATGGAACTGGTTTCAGTAATGGAATGGCGCATGTTTTTCAATATAAAGAAGTCTGATAAACATGGATACACAATACCCCCATGCATCAAAATTGCAAATATATGGAATCCACACGTACAGCTTACAGTACGTGGAGAGGATTAAATGAGGGGAAGAGAGTAGTGTTATTTGTGAGAGCGAGAACATGCTAAGAATGTCAGGCTAAATGGAAGAGTTGGAGGATGGATGCTTTCCTAAATTAAATGATAAAACTGTCACAGAGACAAGGTGTAATATTGATGGGCACTAGAACTATTTAGACATCTGTTCTAAATCTCTACAACAAGCTTAGAATTTAATGCATTCTTGACTTGCTTTCCTGATAATTTCATCTTTCAAAAGGGACGAGAAGGAATGACAGGAACTGCTACTCTACACTCAATTCTGACCAGCAAGGAAGGACTTGTTGGTGATGTTTATATGATAGAAATCTTCGCTTCAACAAATATACAACATAAAATGCAGTCTTTGCCTTCCTGAAGATGAAAGAAAGGAGTCATGTCTTCCCAGATTCTGTAATATAGAAAAAAAGAAAGAACCTCTGGTTATAGTAGACATGTAATTGAGGCTTTAGGAAAGCAAACTTCAAAAAGTTCACAGAAATATAATTATAACCCCAAGGTCAGAGGCAATAGAAAGCAATACATTTTTAAAATTTTGAACTCTGAAAAATAAAACTTTATACTGCAGAAACCAATATGATCCAACGTGGCGTCCTTTGATGAGTCTGTTTTGAAATGGCGTGTACCAAAAAATGAGAGAAAGGGCACAAACCAAGGAGAGTGAGACAATGGGTGATACGAACCCGGGAAGAAAGCGATAGAAGGAAAACTCCAGAAGAGGCTGAGCAGTGCTAAGTGAGGAGGACCACAGAAAGGGCTTTAAAAACATACACAGTTTGAAGCCAGCAGATAAGGGAAAGGATAAGCTGACTGCCAAGAGAAGAACCTGTTAAGTGATAACAGAGAAAAGGCAGAGGCACTCAATTTCTCCTTTCTTCTCCAGCAAGGAACATAGTCTTCATACTGAGAAGGGTAGAACCAATATCACAGAGAGGGAATTGAGGCACAACCCAAATGAGGAGAGAGTCAGAGACGACCTGGAATATAGGCTTTGCAGACCGAATGAAAGATTATAGGTCTCAGAACCACTGCCTCTTATCTCTGGAAAATAGAAAATGGGCCAGGTGCCAGAAATCTAAGCAAGGCAAAACTAGTTTTTTTAAAAGGAGGAAAAAATGGATTATGGAATTTATAGTGTGAGCTTAGCATTACTTTCAGCAATACTCTAGAATGCATATTAAGAAACATTTGTAAGCTAATAATTAAGACAAGCTAAACAGCCTTCATATTATTTTCTGGAAGAGCTAAAAGATGGACTATGGGAATACCAGGCATGACTAATCTTTTTTTCAGCACAATGCTTTGCAAAGATGCTCATAATATTCATTTGAACATGATGGAGGGATGTTACTCGGTTTGTAAACTAGTTGGGGGAATCCACTGCTGATCAACTGCATTAAAATGTTTACTAGTAGATTTGTATCTCTCATAGAGGAAGGTCCCTAAGGCGGTTTGTAGTTTTCTACATGTTTCTGTCTTACTCAACACTGCTTTTGGGGATCCATATGAAGACAATATAAGTAATAGTAGAGAGGCTATTATAAGAATAAGCAATTAATAGAAAAGGAAATATGAGATACTCAAACTCATTAGTAATTGGAGAAATTCAGATTAATAAAAACTGTAACAATTAGCACTAATCATTATTACTGAAAGTGTGAGAAAATACCACCCTCATATGTCTCGATGGGAATATACATTGATATAACCTTTCTGGAAGACAATGTTGGCATTTGTTACCAAGATTTTAAATATACATACTTTTCAAGTGACAATTCCACCCAGGTATCCAGCCTAGAGAATTCTTCACACATGTGCCCAGTGAGTCATGTACACTTTTTTAGCAATAAAACTGAAAACATTCTTAATGTTTATCAACAGGGAAAAGTTAAATTATATACATTCCTGTAATGGAACACTATGCATCAGATAAAAAGATAAATAATATATGTAAATGAGGACATGGAAAGAGCTCTAAGATATATTATGAAGTGAAAAAGGCAAGTTTAGACAAACAAGTACAACGTCCCACAGAATGAACTATTTCCAGAAATGAAGAAGTATATGGGGAAAGGTCTTGAAGAATACACTCCAAATTGAGTTGAGTGAGTACCTTTGGAGAGGGATGTGGGGTTGGAAGAGGGGCCAAAGGGGATGTTCAGTATCTGTAGTATCTGAGTTTATGCATTGTTAACATATTCAACATGTGATCTTTAAAATTAAAAATAAACAAAAATATTCCTTTGAAAAAATGTAATATTTTGGCTGGGCATAGTGATTCATGCCTGTAATCCCAGCACTTCAGGAAGACAAGGCAGGAGGATAACTTTGGTCCAGGAGTTTGAGACCAGCCTGGGCAACATAGGGAGACCCTATCTCTACAAAAAGATTTAAAAATTAGCAGGCATGGCAGTGCACCTCTAGGGCCTCAGCTACTCAGGAGGCTAAGATGGGAGGATCTCTTGAGCCCAGAAGGTCAAGGCTGCAGTGAGCTGTGATTGTGCCACTGCACTCTAGCCTGGACACAGAGCAAGACTCTGTAAAGAAGAAGGAGAGGGAGGGGGGAGGGGGAGGGGGAGGATATATATATATATATATATATATATAGTATTTTAAATAAAGAAAGGGTACCAAGGCACTAGTCTCGAATACATGACATGAATACTAGACATGAATCCTTGTCCTAGCTCTGCACTTGCTAGTAAGTCACCTCACTGCCCTGAGCTTCAGTGGCCACCTGTAAGAAAGGGAATAATCACTGCCCAGAGACTTAGATCATAAAATGAGATAATATATAGGACAATTTTTCAAAAACTTCACAGTGCACTAAAATTCCTTATAATTAAGATATATCCAAGTTGAATCAGGTGACTAAAGTTGGGAGGGAAAGCTAATAAATTGAATGATACAACCAGGGTCCAAATTATTTTAATGAATTAGATCAATGAGCATCAACCAATCAGAATAATTGAATAAGGATAAATATAAATTTTATTTATAGCTTCAAAAAATGAACTGCACAAGAGTAGGATATTAAAAAACAGTGTTAGAAGCATTATTGTGAAACAGTTTTAGAAGTAGTTTATAATGTAGATGCTGAAAATAAAACACAATTTCAAGCCATATTAAGAGAAAGCTTGGAGAGGTGCTCACAGTCACCGACTGGGTCATCCACCAAGATTCACTCATCCAAACTGGTTGACCAGTTAGAAACACTGAAATATGCATCATACAGTCTTACCTGAACTTCTCTACATTGAATGCCATACAACTTTGCATTTAATATGATTTAAATAATTTTCCCTGTTTTTTCCATTATACTGTAAGCTGCTTGAGGACAGGTGCCATGTATCATATTTCTTCATTCCCCATAAAATTTAGAGGAGATCTGGGCTCATAAAAGACATTTAGTAAATTGTAAACTTAATAAAACAATTTTTAAAGACTGATGATAATGCAGTTCCCATGCATCATTCTGAAGATCAGTAATTATATACATGGTTCCAAGAGTAGATTTGGAGGAGTTGAACCTGTACTGCCAGTTAATTTTGATTTTGATTTTTTTAGAGACAGGGTTTCACTCCGTTGCCCAGACTGGAGTGCAGTGGCATGATGATAGCTCACTCACTGCAGCCTCGAACTCCCAGGCTCAAGCAATCCTCCCACCTCAGCTTCCTGAGTATCTGTGGGCCACCATGCCCAGGTAATTTTTTTTCTAGAGATGGGCTCTCCCTATGTTTCCCAGACTGGTCTCAAACTCCTGGGTTCAAGTGATCCTCCTACCTCAGCCTCCCAAGTGCTGAGATTACAGGAATGAGCCACCATGCTTGGCCCCCAGTTCGTTTGTTTTGTTTTTGTTTTTGTTTTTTCACTCAGTTACCTCATTTTGACCTTGTCTTGTTGCTGCTGTTGCCTTTTGATTTTTTTATAACCAAAAAAGCTTCATTTTTTAAATTTAGCTTTCTTACTTTCTTGTGCCTTCAACACCTTTGAAACAATTTTCTCCTTCTTGATAAGGAAAGCACCTTTCAACTTGTCACAGGCACATTTGGCACACATGGGACACCTTAGGCCCTGCTGACATGTTTTTTCATACTGGCCAATCATAAGAACTTTAGGTCTCACAGCAGAAATCCCTCAAAGTCGGCCTGGGCACACACCACATGCAGATTTTGGTGCTTTTCCATCCTTCTTGGTGTAAAGGTAAACAATTCTATTACTAGGGGTTCAGTACAGCAGAGTTCTGTTAGAGGCTGTTGTAGGAAGCCTAAGACAATATGTCAAACACTGACATTCTGAGCGCTTCCAGACAGCATCCCTGGAAGAGCTGACCTTGTTTTCTTGAGATGTCTTTTCTTTAAAGCAGAGTGCAGTAATATTTCTATTGATTCATTACTGTATTATATTAGTAAAAGTGTTATGTGCAGAATATTTTCTGCTACAGGTGGCAGAAATGGCTGAGACATCTGTTAGAATGTGAGAAAATTATCCATCAATCAAAAGCTACTAGAGGAAATAGCTATTTAAGCATGGAAGCCCTTTATAGAGTTTTATAAGAATTCAGGCACATACAATCTTATTCTGCATTAAAAAAAATCCACTCAGGTAATTAATTTTTGCCCTCTCAGAGGTGTGGTATTGAGAAGGCAATATGTCAGCTGGAATATGTGCAAAGGTGGGACCGGTATCTATCATTTCCTCTTTCATTTCTATGAATCATTTCTATGATACCATTTCTATGAATTTCTATGAATCCTTTTGTTACCAGTGGCAAGTATCCGAGTTACTGGCAGTGAATCTGTATGGGTCTGAAGCAACCTCAATACTTGCCTCCTGAGAAGAAAGAATTCAACTGAGGGGCATAAGGCAGAAGGAGAGACTGAGGCAAGTCTTAGAGCAGGAGTAAAAGTTTATTTAAAAGCTTTACGGCCAGGCGAGGTGGCTCACACCTGTAATCCCAGCACTTTGGGAGGCCAAGGCAGGTGGATCACCTGAGGTCAGGAGTTCGAGACCAGCTTGGCCAACATCGTGAAAACCCTTCTCTACTAAAAATACAAAAATTAGCTGGGCTTGGTGGCACGTGCCTGTAATTCCAGCTACTCGGGAGGTAGAGACAGGAGAATTGCTTGAACCAAGCAGGCGGAGGTTGTGGTGAGCTGAGATCATGCCACTGCACTCCAGCTTGGGTGACAGAGTGAGACTCTGTCTCAAAAATAAAATAAAATAAAATAAAAAAGCTTTACAAAAGAAATGAAAGGAAAAAAGCACACTTGGAAGAGGGCCAAGTGGGCAATCTGCAACACAAGTGCACACTTGTTTTTCATGGTGCATGGTTTGACCTTTGAATTGGGGTTTTTACATGCTGGCATACTTTGGGGGTTTTGTGTTCCTTCTCCCTTAATTCTTCTCTTGGGGTGAGCTGTCCACATGTGCAATGGCCTGCTAGCACTTGGGAGAGGAACATGCACAATGTGTTTATTGGAATTGTACGCATGCTCACTTGGGGCATTCTTCCCTTACCAATCTAGCATTCCTAGAGGAAGGTTATATACCAGTTAAACTCCATCATGGCATGCTCGAGCTCACTCACCCAACTCCTGAGATCTTATTGGGAAGCTACTGATCACCAGTTTCAGGTTTTTTCTATCTATAGGGAGACTGCCTTTCCCTGGCACTGGCTGCAACCAATTATTATTTTAGAGATACAGTTAACAACCACCTGACCCTCATCTGATGGTCGCCTGAGCTTCCTAGTTGGGTTTGGCGGGGAGCCCTCTCCCGCTCTGCTCATGTCTTACTAGCTACCTACTATAGCATTTCCCCCCTCAAGAGTCCAAGACCCCAGTTATTTGGAGAAAATGGATGAAGGTGAGCCTTCTGTAATGGCTTCCTGCTGACAGAGGTTGGGGGGTTGTAGGTGGTTCTGTGAGTCTTGGCCTCTTGCTAGTTGTCAGAGCAGGAGGCTGTTTCCATGGATTGGGGAAACTGGTATCCAGCCAGGTCCAAGGGAGAGAGGGGCAGGATTTTGCCTCTGTTGTGTCTCACTGATGGGCAGTCTAGGGGGTCCCCCATAGAAGGGTAACTCTTGAATATTGAGAGGACACTATCCCTCACTGAGGTTCATCTGGAGCTCAATGGCCTAAAGGCTAGAGGAGACAAATCAGGTTATTAGAATTAGAGGAATGTTAAAACAAAATAATGGGGTGAGGACAGCCCCAAAAAAGAACCCTGAGGCTGCCTACACACCCAGGTAACTGGTGGCTATAGTCATGCCTACTAAGACTTGGGTACATGGGGTTGATAGCAGATTCCAATATGTGCTCAGAATTAGAATACTGATCCAGATTTTTACATTACCCATCCCTTTTGTTTCTTCTGAGCTGCAGCCAGAGATCACTGGCTGGTTCACAGGAATAAGCAGGATTACTCTAAAATGCAGGCAAAAACTTAAAAATAACTGATGAGACTAGCATCTATTAATAGAAAAATAACAGGTGTATCATAATTTTTGAAACACACTTTTTCTCTTTCCAGTCCTCATTTTTATAAAAAATCATGATAAAACTGATTTGTTTGCAAAATAAACTTTAGTTGTCTTATACTTGGCCTGATTATTTGCATAAAGCACAGCAAGAATAATTATTTGCCTAATAGGCTCCTGTTTAAATTGGCTTTGATGGAACTTCATTCCATAAGGAATCTCAGACAAGACTTTTTTTAAGGCTTAAACCCAGCCACAGTTTTATACCATCAAATACCTGAATGAGTTGGTAAATTCCTCTCCCTTGAGGTCCCAAGATAACCTGGGGCTCCTGAGCCTGTTAGAAAGTGGCATTCTTTACAGACCACAGGTTGGGAACCCTGTACAGGGACTGTGTAGACAAGGTATGAAGCCAGTTTTCACAAGGGGCTTTTATTGGCTATATAAGTCAAATTTGATTCCTTAAAGGAATGCATATCATTCCAGTCAAAGCCTTCGTAAAATAACCAGCTTCTCCAGTTGTGTTCTGTTGCAAAAGACAACAGATTCTTATTGTACTTATGCAAATAACTATACTGCCATAAGTTAAGAATACTCACAAGTAGTTTCCAAATTTTGAAGAAAGCAGGTA
This sequence comes from Homo sapiens, assembly GCF_000001405.40. Classification (NCBI taxonomy): domain Eukaryota; kingdom Metazoa; phylum Chordata; class Mammalia; order Primates; family Hominidae; genus Homo; species Homo sapiens. The sequence continues at coordinate 120,510,031 of NC_000003.12, read as the reverse complement.
GAGAGAAACAAATATGCTCGAATTTTGTTTACAGGAGTACTCAATTATTAAAAGCTGTAAATAGCTCAAAAGAAAAGTTTTCTTGGTTTTGGAAAACAAAGGATTAGCAACATTTTAAGCAAAAAGTCATAAAAGGATTATTTCAATCTTCTATTAGTTTAGTCCATGCAGTTAACTTTTGTTCTGCTTGATATTCATGAACATTTTAGCTCTCCAATAAGAGTCCTGAAAGTTTTTTCTCTATTCTAATGTCTCAATCTTCAAAGTTATCAGAAGCCTGTATTTAGGAGCACCTGTTAGAGTTCTATAGCTGATTATAAAACCACCTTTTAAAGAGGGTTAAAACAAGACAACAATTATCTGTTAATGACAAAAAGTCTTAGGGTAGCCACAATCAAAGACACAATTGACAAAGAAATTTATTACCCCTGAGGCACAAAACAATTAAACATAATTATAATTATTCCTAATAATGTATACTATGTTACATTAGAATTATAGGAGTTTCACATAATTTTGGAACATGTACTGATAACACTTTAATCAAAAGCAGATTAATACTTTAATAAAACTATGTTGTGCTTTAATTCCAGTGTTTATGAATAAACTGAATAAAAGTCCTTTAATTTTGGGTAATTTTCACACATAGAATTTCTTTTATAGGATTAATTTTTCACAAACCTTCCACAACTTGCTCAAACCTTCAGCTTTATCCTATCTAACATAAAACAATCCTTTAACCCTCCAAACTAGGCAAAACTTACATTCCCATACCTTCTTACAATCTTTTAACAAAAGCACATTCTACTTTCCTTGCGTACCTTACATGTAAGACTGCTTTTCCAGTAGTCTCAAGAACATGTTACATGGCTAACTGTTCACAACTTTTACTTTTGCGAAAAACCTGATAAGTAAGCGATTCACTAGACAGAAGTGCATATAAGGTCTCTTTCCAGCATACCTGGGGGAATGGCTAACTCTGTAAGTCCCCAGGCCATGCCTAGCTTTAAAATAGTCAAGTTGTACAGTTAAAAGTCAAAGTGGCAGTCTATAAAGCATTTATTTAGTAGGTCTAAAAACCTTTAAAATTGCAGAACATTTCTTTCATAAATTCCCTTTCACAAATTTTTCACAATTTACACAGATCATCTATGACAGGCTTGGACTTTCTGACTTGTCCTAAATATCCCTCTTTTTAAAGAACCAGTCATTTTACTTTAGGACAATAATTTACCATGCAAGATCCTTTCTCATATGAAATCTCTTTTCTTTATCATCTTCCTTATGAAAAGTACCTCTTTACAACCTTTGAATTAGACAAAAGTCATATTCCTTCTGTTAGAAAGTTAAGATTTGTACTGAAAGTTGCTGTGCAAGTTCTGTGACGGGGAAGCAAATGAGGTTATTTACATACTATAGAAGTTATCTCCCCCTCAAGAAATTGCTCAGTTATATTTTTGCTAGGACTTGCCCAAATAATGGTGAGCTATTTCTAAACTCCTGAGGTAAGACCATCCAGGTTGAAGTTGCTGGTTAAAGATTTAGGTAGGTTTCCCAGGAGAAATATAGCTATTAGAGAGAAAAACAAATTCAGATTTCAGGTAAGTATTAAGCAGGCACCCATTTGAAAAGTATATTTTTGCCCAAAGGGATGTGAATCTCTTGGAGGGGGTGCCATTGGCCCCATTACCCAACAGGATTTGGAGGGGAGTTGCTTAGAGAAGGAGATTAGCACACAGTAGGCAGCTCTTGAAAGCAAAAGGGAAATTTATAATTTTACTTGCCGCCTCCATAGGTGACCTTGGCTTTGTCCTGTATGAGTGTTCTTAGGGCAACCTAGAGGGGGTTGGAGAACTCGTAAAGCAGCCAATAGTTGAGCCTGCTTCTTGTCCTACATGTCTCCTTTTTCTTAGCCCTGTCCTCCTTATTCTACTCTCACTTATAAAAGACTGAGGAGGCTAATCTGAGGACCTCCTGCACAGGGGAACTGGGTTCCAAGGCTGACTTTTGTAATTTCCTCCCAGTTTATTTTTAAGCCAAACAGTATTACAAAGGAAAACTGGTTTTTTTTTGTTTTGTTTTAACATTTGGTAGAATCAAACTTTTCCTAGTTTTGGGGGATGCATCCCAGGGGCATGTCCTGTGGTATGGGAATGTGATTACCCATCTGCAAAGAGAGAACAGGAGAGAAAAAAAGGAAAAAGAAAAAAGAAGGCATTCCCTCTACATTCCTATTATCCTGAATGGAGCATCCCCCATTGTCCTTTGGGTTCCGGAATTAACCAGCCTTACTGTGTACTCTTGGTCCCATCTCATCACAATTACCCACTTGAGAACAGAGGAGATACTGGAGTGAACAGTGGATCGCCTGTTCATCCTTGAGGTTCCAGAATAACTGATCTTACTGCATATCCCTAACCTTTCATCTCTGTTCTAATGATAATCTGTTAGCCTGGGAGCACCCTTCATCTCTGTCCTGTGGGTACTTTTGTCTCTTGCACCTGTAGCCTTGGGCTGGCCTATACCCTTATCTCCATGACTTTATAGTGACTCTTGCTTGGAGCATTCTAGCAATAAAAATGATGACCTTTTTTCTCAGATTCCCATTTCCCATGTTAAGCAGACAAAAGCCTGTTTTTCAGCTAACTGCCACAAGGGGGCTAGACTTCCCTCCCCACTCCTTTTGAATATGACCCCGAAGGTCCTAATTCATGTTGAGAAGAATGTGGAAGTAATTAGAGAAATGAAGTCTACGGGAAGAAGTGGGAGGAAGTGAGAGGAATACTCATGGAAAGCCTTCATATGCTTGCAAAAATAGCAGCCCTTGGATTCAAGAGGACAACGTTTATTTGCCCTGTTGACGTAAAGTAGTAACCTCCGGAGGACTTGGGGCTTGGGCTAATAACTGGCAGAGGAGGGCAAATTCTTCCTTTGCCCACGAATGGGGCAAAGGAAGAGGGGTGGCTTTTGAAGCAGTTTGTCTGCCTGCATGGGGCCTTACCCTGCCCTTTAAGCATCCCACCTATTTGCAAAAGCCACCAGGAAACCCAGCCCTGGGGTGTAACAGGAAGGAAAAGCATATAGTAAGTCATAAGGAGCTGGCAGAGCCGGAGTTCCAATTAGTGTTTGTCCCGGCAATGTGTCAGCAGACAGGGTTGAAAGGGTTGAAAGTCATCCAAGCTGGTAAGGTAAGAACAAGAACAAGTATAAATCTCAGGAGATATCCACAAGGAAGCCCATGTCTTTGCTGCCTCTCAAATGCATAAGAGCTGCGGGAGTGTGTGTTTAAGAGGTCACGTGGCATGCAAAGTAAGAGCAAAGAGACAGACTTGCCCCTGTGGCAGATGGTCCAGAGGGTGCACAAGTCCTTTTCAGAACATACACACAGAGAAAACAAGAGAATAGGCAGTGCAGGTTCTTGGGAAAGAGCCAATTTTAGTTGAAAAAGCAGAGGAAACCCCAGACATTGCACAGTTTTAGGCTTCAGCCCTACCATTCTGGTGAACCTCCTGTCCAGGAGGGCCATTCATGCCTCAGATCTACTCGGTGCAGATGCCACAGTCCTTCCCACCCCTGGAAGCCATCCATCAGAGTGAACTGAGAAATCAGCCAAGAGGAGCAGAGTCACTTATGGCTGAAGGACTTATTCTGGGGGTTGGTTAGCAAGCAGGAGAGAGAAAAGGAGAAGACCATGTACAAGGATTGAATGCCTCCAGCCAAAGAAGGTGTGGTAGAGGGGTCTCTTACCACTAGGGAACATATCTGAGTCATGCAGCATCAAAGTATGTTAGTGGCAGAAGTTATCCAAGTCCCACGGCACCAAAATATGTTACCAGTGGCCAGTATCCAAGTTACTGGGGCGAATCTGTATGAGTCTGCAGCAACCTCAATTCTTGCCTCCTCAGAAGAAAGAATTCAACTGAGGGACATAAGGCAGAAGGAGAGACTGAGGCAAGTTTTAGAGCAGGAGTAAAACTATATTAAAAGTTTTAGAGCAGAAACAAAAGGAAGAGAAATACACTTGAAGAGAGCCAAGTGGGTGACTTGCAAGACAAGTGGGTAATTTGACTTTGGGGTTTTATAAGTTGACATACTTCTGGGGTCTTTTATCCCTTTTCCCCGATTCTTCCCTTGGGATGGGCTGTCCACATGCGCAATGGCCTGCTAGCACCTGGGATGGGGACATGCGCCATGTGTTTACTGAAGTTGTATGCATGCTCACTTGGGGCATTCTTTCCTTACCAATCTTGCATTTCTAGAGGAAGGTCATATACCAGTTAAACTCCACCATTTTGCTTCTTAATGCTCATGCTCGAGCTCACTCACCCAGCTCCTGAAATCTTATTGGGAAGCTGCTGGTCACCAGTTTCAGGTTTTTTCTATCTATAGGGGGACTGCCTTTCCCTGGCACTGTCTGTGACCAATTATTATTTTAGAGAGACAGTTGACAACTGCCTGACCCTCACCTGTCACCTGACATTCCTGGTGTGTGTGTGTGGTGGAAGGGGGGGTGTAGTGGGGGGGGGGGGAACAAGGAGAAACCCTCTCCTGCTCTGCTCATGTCTGACTAGCTACCTACTGTAACACTTTTTCCTTACCATATATCTGTGGTTTGCTTGAGAACCAGCAGGAGAACTTTTTCTTTTTCTTTTAAGATATATTGAGCTGGGCATGGTAGCTCACATCTGTAATACCAGCACTTTGGGAGGCCAAGGTGGGCAGATCACTTGAGGACAGGAATTCGAGACCAGCTGGCCCACATGGCAAAATCCCGTCTGTACTAAAAATACAAAAATTAACCGGGTGTTGTGGCATGCACCTGTAATCCCAGCTACTCAGGAGGCTGAGGCAGGAGAATTGCTTGAACCCAGGAGGCGGAGGTTGCAGTGAGCCAAGGTCATGCCACTGCACTCCAGCCTGAGTGTCAGAGTGAGACTCTGTCTCAAGAAAAAAAAAAAAAAAATGAAAGATGTATATGCCATAGTCTCTCCTGGACTGAAATAGAGTCCCAAATTCATGCTTTTTTAGAGCTTTTTATATCGCATGCCCAGGACTGAAAATAACTTGGCTAGAGATATATAAAATAAATTCCAAAACTTTAAAATGATTTCTCCTACTATCATATTTTAAAATATTATCTTCTTCTAATTCAATTAATCAGTGATCTGCGTTTGAGAAGAAAACAAAAGGAAATATATTCCAGTACTTTAATTGAGGACAGGAGAAAATAAGATCTGAGCATTTGTCACAGTGAAGGTGAATATACTCCAGCATTCTGGCAGGGAACTGATAGTACATGCAAATGGGATTATTGAGAGAATTTAAAATAAACTATTTACCAGGTGTAGTGAAGGGTAAGGGAAAACCCAAGGGATGGGGTAAGTGTCCCAGGGTTTCCTAGTGGGAACCACCGGGCCTGAAGGGCAGGAGAGAGGAGGGGCAGCTGTAGGAGGGGGCCACCAAATAGGGGCTGTCAGGAGAGAAACAACCTGCAACCCAGCCAGGAGGAAACTAAATGCCCAAACCTCATCCTTCTGCCACCTTCCCAGCTCCTGCCAGCCCCTCCCACTGGCCAAACCCAGCTGGAGGCAGAGGGCAAGAAAGCTGGTTGATGCAGACCATGTAGTCAGCCTTCAGCCTTCAAGGGCATTGTGTAGAGTGGAGAAGGGTGGAGCAAGGGTTTAGAAGGGTAAATGGAGACTGTCTAGCTCAGTAGATGATCTTACCTCCGTTCATGGACACCTTAACTCCTTTATGTGCTTGGCAATTCATTGGTAACCTTCCTAGTTGCTTGGTACATGAACATTGTTGCTGCATTTGGGTAAATCTCCATATTTAAAGCCCTGTTTTTCCCAGATAGAAAATTTGTTTCCCCAGCCCCTCAATTGCAGCTAGCTCATTAGCTTGTGAATGAGAGTCCCCCAATTAGCATTATCCAAGCACAGCAGAGCCTTGCTTGAAGAAAGAAGCTTTAGGCAGAATTCATTGTGCTGCTGAGGATTGTGAGAGGGGTGACTGGCTTTCAGGGTCAGCAGAGGTAAGACTGAAACAGCACCTACATACTGCGGAGGGTGTCTTCACATCAGAAATGGCGGTGATGCTGGGGCAGTCGTAGCTTCAGTAAAGTCAAATTGCTGCAAGCATCTAGTTCATGTATCATCTAGTGGTCAGTGCTTGGAGCAGTACTGATTTTTCTCAACAGGCCAGTTCTAAAGTTTTGAGCCATTTCCGAAAGTTTGTCCTCAGGTCTGGTTCTCTGGCCTTCCCAACAAGTTTGTGAGCTACACAAAATCCTTGTAATAAATTACTTTTTTGACTAATCAGCCGGAGTCAGCTTTTGATGCTTGTGTCTATGGACCCTGAAATACATAATACTTCTATTATTTTATCTACTCTTATTTTTTTAAATCTCTTACATTTATCTAAATTAGACACTTAATAGGTTACTGCCATGTGATAGATGGACTAAGGAGCATACTGGCTAAATTCAGCTTTCTATCTGGAGCAAAAAAATGCTGGTATGCACATATTTTTATTTAAAAAACACAGCAGATTGAAACTGAGACCTTAAGGAACCTGGGTGTAAAATACCTTTGCTTTGTAAATAATTAAACATTAAGTAGAAATCATTTATCAAGCCTCCTAGTTATATCACTTTTGATATATGCTGTGGATGATTTTGTTGGAGAAATACCAATCTAGAAGAACCCAACCAGCTCTAGCTTTGCTACCAGTATACCATGAAGCTTGGAGCAAGACCTTTAATTTCTGTTTCTTCTTGCAGATCCAGAAATGAGGGGCCTATAATATAAGACCTTTGATATTCCTTTGAGCTCTAAAATCCCGTGATTACATATCTTTTTAAAAATCTTGAGGGAATATACTTGGCTTTTTCTGTATGTAAATCTTGAGGAACCACAGAATTTGCAACTCAATTCAGAGAGCTCTTGTTCAGTAAGAACAGTTTGACCCTTGACAGGGAAAACCATGACCTATTATTATTATTTTTATTGTTTAATATAGAGATGGGGTCTTACTATGTTGATCAGGCTTGTCTCAAATTCCTGGCCTCAAGCAATCCTCCTGCCTCAGCCTCCCAAAGTGCTGGGACTATAGGTGTGAACCATTGTGCCCGGCTCCTATTATTTTTATAATCAGCCAGTCGTCCTAACACTGCTAAAGACAAAATTCCCATTCAGTTTTTAAGCATGACAGCCCATGGCCTATGTACTAATTAACAGTCACAGAAAAGGGAAAGCATGGCAAGGTAGATTTTTTTTTTTTTTTTTTTTTTGAGATGGAGTCTCCCTTTGTTGCCCAGGCTGGAGTGCAGTGGCGCGATCTCGGCTCACTGCAAGCTCTGCCTCCCGGATTCACGCCATTCTCCGGCCTCAGCCTCCCAAGTAGCTGGGACTACAGGTGCCCGCCACCACGCCTGGCTAATTTTTTGTATTTTTTAGTAGAGACGGGGTTTCACCATGTTAGCCAGGATGGTCTCGATCTCCTGACCTTGTGATCCGCCCTCCTCAGCCTCCAAAAGTGCTGGGATTACAGGTGTGAGCCACTGCACCCAGCCGGAAAGGTAGATTTTTTAAAAACAGCTGTGGGCTTCTAATAAGCTGGGACGGGAAGCTCACACTTTCGCATTGCCATTCTTCCCCAAGCACATGGCAAAGATGGATAAACTAGAAAAAAAAAACAAAAAAATGATGACATTGCAGAGTTCAAGACAAAAAAAAAAAGATGATTATTTCCATGATGAGAATAAGCAATAGAATACAAAAGAGTGAGTTGGGCTGAAGCCACGGGCCTGCTGGCTCCAGGTCCAGAATCAGGTGGCGGTGGCTGGGTGACGGGAAGTCTACTACTCCACCTGAGAAAAGGGACCTGAATTTGAAGCATTGCTCTTAGACCGAGCTATGACTTATGGAATCTGTGGGCCCAGGGAGGTGTGAGGATACAGATGCAGTCTTGAAACCAGAAAAAGACCCAAGCCACATGTTGGCTTGGTGACTGGACCTGAGATATCTGTGACATTGTCATGACCTAGAGCCTTGAGCTGCATTTATAGCACCTGGTTCTGACATGGAATTCCAGAAAGCCGGGTGAAAAGACACCCACAAAACCACTGGATTTAGAGAAACAGTCACAGGGACAGAGGAGAGACAAAAAGACTGAAAACAACAAAAAACATTTTAAAATAAACCTGCAAATCAAAATTGCAAAATTCACGAAATCTAATCCTGAAAAAAATATACTCAATAAAATATGAAATCAGAACATGAATTCAGAACACAAATTCATTCAGAACATGAACTCACTCCAGAAGGAAATTAACTTTAATGAACAGTGTGACATATTGGTTAAAACAAGGAAGCTTAAAGAAACCCATAAGAGAATAACGATTATAAAAAGAACTAGCCGTCATGGAACTAAAATAGGCAAAAATAAAGCGAGAAGAGATAAATATGCAAAAATAACCAAATAGAAATATAGCCCTTGATATTTTAAAAAATACTTAATAGATGGAATGAACTCTAGACTCAGTAAGGGAAGTTCTGGTGAATGGGAAGATCATAAGGAGGAGTTCACACCAAATTCAACACAGAAAGACAAAGAGTTCAAATATATGAATGAGTGGTTACATGCATATGGATCCAGAAAAAGAGAATGAAAAGAATGACAGAGAAGGAACATAAGATGCTTAACATGAGAGCTTTTGTCCTAAGAATTATCCAGTTCAAAAGACATAAATCTCAGATTGAAAGTTCTCTCTTGATACCAGAAGAATAAATAAAAATAAATTCCCACCTAGGAGCATTGTAATGAGACTTAGAACATAAAGAGTACGAGGAAATCTTACATGTGACAGGAAGAAAACTCAGATTATCAAAAAGAATAACACTATGAGACTTCTCAGCAGCAACTCTAAATGCTACAAAGCAATGGAGAAAGCAGTCTTTAAAGTCGTGAAGGAAAAAAAACTTCCAACTTAGACTGTTATATCCAGCTGATCTTGCTCACGTTATTAACCTTTTCTCTCCCATCCCTACTCTTCCTCACTTTACTCTTCCCTCACTGACCTGGGGCTCCTTAACTCCATGATATGGGCACCAAGCACCTGCAGTCTCTTGTATCTCACCACCCTAGAGCAGCCAGCCACACCTCTGTGGCCTAGAGTTTCTGCTGCCTCCTTCCCTATACCATGCAACCTGGGCAACCAGGACCAGAAGCAGAAAGAAATGCTGCCCCCTTATCCTTCATGCAATCAAATTTGTGCAGCGGGTGGGGAGGAGGTAAGAAATATGAATGCCTGGGAAAAGGAGGAGCTCCAGGTAATGGGAAGAAAGATGTGACAGGACATTTTTGAAAGTTCAAATACATCCACATTCTGTTGAAACCTTGAAACTTTAAATATTTAGGCTCTTGTCATTATCTTAAGTTCTTCATGCTACTCTTGACGTCCCAAAAAGCAGTCTCTAAGTCACATAGATGATCTCTTGGGCATTTTCTCTCTCAGCCATGGAGAGCTATGAAAGGAAGAATCGCTGCTTTTCTCAAGCAAATCAGTTTCTTGATGTCTTTTGGTTCTCACTCCTTCCCTGCTCCTGATGCTTTGACCCCTTTTATAGATCAGAGGGCTCTAGGGTAATGAATGGTCTTGGGTGGTGAATAAAGGTGGATAAATAGGGACAGGGACAGTTAAATTGGGAGCCTTTTTTACAACCTTAATGGGTTTTTCCCCACCCCAAGTTTCCTTCTCCACTGAAATGCCACACCAATGCTTGTGGGATTTATGAGGTGGCCAGACCAATGCGTTGTTTTTTCTTTTTCTTTTTCTTTTTTTTTTTTAAGCTTCCCTTGAGAGAATAAATGGTAATGGAGAGAACTATTTAACAAGGTCCTGGTTTCTCTTGCAACACAGTAGCTAAACTTGCCTGCTTTTATGTGCGTTTTTGTAGGGATCAGCTTGGTAGACAGTATTAGCAGAGAAATGACACCTTGATCTTGGTTTGCAAGCACTTCTCCCATCAGTCCTAGATTAGGCCCTGTTCAGCCATGCAGGGGTGTTGGTTTATGTGTGCTGCAGCAGTGGGCATAATGAATATAATTTACCTGGTGGACAAAGGTGTGTACCAAGTGAATTTAAATAATTGGGGTGGATTGGCTAGTAGGTAAGAAGTGGGCTTTTAAAGAGATACTGAAGATTGAAAGATTTTTTTTTAAAGAAAAAAAACATTGATTGTAGGTAATGAAAAACTAGGGTTTGCCCTCTTCATATCTACTCTCCTTCCAAATAGTTGTATCCAAAACTGTTTTTCCCTCTCCCCTACCTTGCCCCCCTGTTAAAATAGAAATGGGGATTGATTAATGACCCAGCTCCTGAATACCTGTATAATTTGTACAAAAATATTTTCTATGAAAATGATTTGTAATCTGTAGACTTATTACCTGGGAGATGTCTTGAGATGTGAAATCCCATCCTTTGGGTTGTGGGTTTTTTGTTTTCTCCAAATACATCTGATCTTTAAAAAAAAAGAAAAGAAAAGAATGATGTGACAGGAGAGAATACTGAGAATTCAGCTATTGCCATAATAATCTATGATCTTAAAATGTTTCTCTTTCCCCTGTCATGTGTGTACATACGTGCATGCATGTTTGTGTGTATATGTGTGTGTGTGTGTGTAGTAGAAAGAGGGATGAGATGAGATCACTGAGATTTTGTAGTCTTTAAAATGTGGTTTCCCTCAACATATGTGTCTGAAATCTGGGGCAGCTAGTATAATAACACTGTTTCCTGACATTCTTGCATAACAGAGTTTAATGGAATTTCCCATCTAACCAAGAGTCATTCTCATTTGTGCTGTGAAATTGCAGTGGACAGGGCTCCTCCTACACAGGAATGTATTGACCTAAGGCCTGCTCTTTCCCCAGCACACAGTCTTACTGATGGAATCCTCTCTTCTGCATCTTCAGTCAAGTAATTTGATCTGTGTTCTGCATGCAGGAGGTCCCTGGCTCAGCACTTGTGTCTTCTTTTCAGTTTCTGGGGTTTTCATGTTGCTTTGAGGATGGAGTTTGTCCATGAAGATTTTTGCGTAATAAAGAGGTGTTTTATTGCAGGCCTTGTGACCTCTTGACCAATTAAACAGCTTATTGACACCACCTAACAACTTTTAAAGATACTTCACTGAAACAAAATTAAGGCCATTTTGACAACTTTGGCACAATCAAATTTAACTTCCCCAAAGTATTGCCTAAGTAGAAAGCAGAAGCCTTCCAAATATGATAGGAAGTGACAGATATTTTTTTAATTGATGAGAAATGTAGGAAGTAGATGTATTTCTGAAAAGCCAAGTAATTTAAGTTCTAGTCGAAAAATAAGGAATTAAAATATGTGCTATCTCTCAGCAGACTTGCAAATGAAGTGTCTTTTTATGACATTTATTGCTCCTTCTTTAATTACTAAGAAAAATATAGGAAGGGTAAAGGAGAAAAAAAAATCAGGTATTTTGGCCCTGCCTTAGAGATAGCCACTATTAAATTTTGGAGTCTACTATTTTATAGCCTGCTTTTTTCTCTTTGTATATAATAATTAACTTAATATATTATAACATTTTCTTATGAACTTTAATATGACTGCAGCATAACATTATTTTATGATTGCATAGTATTCAATTATGTGAATGTATCATAATTTGTTTAACCAGTCCTCTACTTTCTATTTGGCTGTTTCTGATTTCTCACTCTAATAAGTAATGCTGCACTGAACTCCTTTCTACAAAAATCTTTTTTGTATATCTTGGATCCTCTTTTAAAGTGACTTCTGAAACATTTTTTTTTTTCATCCTGAAGGCAAGAGTAACTACCTTGAGGGATAACTTTTAAGTGACTATTTTCTTCTAGCACAGGCTCTCCCAGGAGTGCTGACTTTCTGGTTCACAGTGATGTCAGTTACTGGATGGCTTGATGTTAGTTGCTAAGACGGCTGCATCCATTCTTAATGGACAGGCTCTCAATTAGTAAACTCTTCATTTCCTTTTTGAAACTCTAGAATTTCAAAGATGAATGGAATGCTTTTGTCATTCCATTCAAACCCATTTTAAAAAAACTGAAATGGCTCTCATGTCACCTTCCTGAAACAGCTAAAATTAATTTTGATGTATTTAATTTGAGATTGAGAACTGTTCTCCGAGAACTGTTCTCCAAGAACTGTTATTTTTGGAATTTTAGTAGCTGTTCCTGTTCTTTCACAATGCCAATTCATTAAATCTATCAGATCCATAATGTACATTTTAATTACCCCATCGTTGGCCAAGTAGAGTTCTGCAATACTTAATTGAAATTTTGGAGAAATTTGATGGGCATCTTAACACACGCTTCAGTCCTATTTAATATGAGTCAGAAAAAAAAGACATCTTTGGCTCACAAAGCTGCAGCCCTTACATTAAGTCTCTGTTAAATCCCAGCAACCAGAAAATGAAGTCACTTTGGACCACAGCCTAAGAACACAATGACTTCAGAACACAAAATCTTCAGTTAGGGAGAAGTTCATAATAGTCACCCTAACAAGAAGTAAAATTTAAACTCTCCTGGACAATAGTGAAACTGCTTATGCTCAAATAGCCAGAAAAGGGGGAAGGTGAGTGGCAGAGGAAGAAGAGAGTTTTCTCGGATTTGTCCATTTCATTTCATTGTTTTTTCTTAATTTGGTGTTTTTTGATAGTATAATATCTGAATGCATAATTATGGGACACAGTAGTTCTCATTTCACCACCACTAAAAATGTTAAGAAAATGCAGATTTGTTCCAGCTGACCTAATTACTGCTAAAGTAAATCTGATTGATTAAAAGAAAATCTTTTTCTCTCAATATAAATAACAATGTTCTGAGTATCTTGGGTTTCCAGGGTGCAGCAACTGAAAATAAAGTTTATGAACTATGGCAAATGCAACATATCTTCAGATATATCAAATTATCTGGCTGAAAACAAATAACTGGGGAAAACAGGCATCATGAAAGTACAGAATTTCCAGGTCAATTTTTAATACTTTTAGCAGCACTGACCCCAGAAGAATTATAATCAGTTTTTAATAAAGGCCAATTCAAAAGCAGCAGTGCAGAACTTAATATTCTTGGCACTTTTCATAATCATGGCTGTTTTCTCATAAACCGCTATCATTCAATTTATAAAAATTGGATAACGCTGCCTGGCTCATTAAATAGCTTACATGAGTTCATACTAACAGGATGTCAGAGAAAGAAAGAGAAGCCTTTAGAAGGGCTGGAAGAGGAGAGCCGAGGAGAAACAGAGGCTGCCCTGAGAACTTGGGGGGACTTGAGGCATGATTCCAACCACACCCTCCTCTCCCATACCTGAGCCAGAGCAACATTTGAGGAGCACAGAGTGACTGCAAGAATAAATGCTCCCTCATTTTTCCTCTTTATAATAAAACAAAAATTATGTGACCTTCCATCATCCATTTGTAACTCAAGATGACTCAGAGGTGGAAAATTAGAGGAGTTGCCTGGGGCAGTGTGTATGGCTGTTGATATGACTAAGGGGAGGAAGAGCAGAACTAGGACCTAATGAATCTAGAAGGATGGGGTTGGGCTTCTCCTGGGGAAATATAAGCATGTAAGTCACCAAGTGACAAAGCCCTATTCCCTGACTCAATGCATAGGAAAGAGAAGCACTGAGGGAGGGTCTATGGCATTTTAGATACCAATAATGATAATAAACAACATTAGCATTTAGAGTTTACAAAGAACTTTAATTCTTCTCTCATTTCTATTCCATGGACTCCCTTACATTTCTAACCATGGGTAAACTCAACAGGAATGATGCCTGAAATAGTATAACATTCCTGTTGTAAACAAGTGCTCGGCATAGCCAAAAGAAACCCACACTTAGAAAATTTCTCAGCAAGGCACCTTTACTTCTGCAGAAGGGTGCTGCTTGTGCCTGTTACAATCACAAGAGCACACCAAACAAAGGAGGGAAGGGGGTTTTTAACCCTAACACAGTTCCTGTTTCTGTGTCCTTCCCCTATTGGCTGAGGTTGGACCACACAATCTAAGCTGACCTGACTAAGACTTAAACCTTTCCAAATAGGGTTAACACGTAATTTGCAGGAAGGGAGTAGAGTTTATTCACAGGTGGCAGGAAGTTAAGTCTTTGAAGAGGAATGTAGTTGTCCTAACAATTTCCCCTCTTCTATTTTACAGTTCTTCCTCTTCAAATTTCTTCAATAGGATTCGGCCTTGTTGTTGTTCTTGATTATCTAGGAGCAAGAGCTTATCTGAGTACGTAGTGGGAGAGGTGGGGAAGGTTTTTGTGAGAGCTGCTTCTATGAGCCTTTGGGTTAACCCACGAATACAAGGTATGATACAGCAGCCCACAGAATGAGTACACCTGTAACAATTGGAAGAGAGGTAAAGATTGAGGTCATGAGTCCCCTCCATTTTCCAAACCACCTTTCCATCAGGCCCATAAGGGGTCGTCTATTCCAGAGTTTTCGGCTAATTCATTTGGTAGGGTGATAAGGCCTTGTAAGGCTTTTGTGATTGTCCCATCAGGGGCTGTATTATTAGGAATAAAGGTACAGTGCTGGACCCCAATCATGACACAGACTCCACCTTTTTTGGCCAACATCATGTCAAGGGCTATTCTATTTTCCCAGGCCATCTGGCTGGTAGGGCCTAACTATTCAGTTATTCCTTTTATGGCATCTCTGGTATAATTGACAAATTGCTGCTGACTGTAGTATATATAATTTATCCAGTCTACACTTTTGTTTATAGTGGACCACCAGAATAAGATAGACTCAAACCCAGCAGCTATTTGGTTTTGAGCTTTGAATTTATTTTGTACCCCCTGCAGGACCCCAATACTGTCTATGTAAACGTGGGGGTCAAAGGACCCATGAGGGGTTTCTCATTTTTTTTCAGGTTACCTGTTTTTTGTCTGGTTGATGAAATGCCAAGGTGAAAGGGATGGCCAATTGGATTAGGGTGCAAGCGCTGTTCCAACTGCTTGGCAGTGTACCCAGTATTGGTCTCCCACAATACCACCACACATCCACTTGGCGATGGACTAGGGCTGACTGATTGGTGAGCTCTTGAAAACATTAAGGCCCACTACATCCTGTCAGGTTTCCAAGGAATGTCAAATTTTCCCCTTGCCGTGAGAGACATGAGGTAAAATTGGCATTGTGAGCTGGAAGTCAAATGGGCCTTGGGGGCTGTCCCATAGGGCTCCTGACCTTTGGGAAAATTAGTAAAAGAGCGGCACATGACTTGTTTCCCCAGGCTTTGGAGTGCTGGAAGAGAGCTACTATACAGTCCATACCTGGTTGGTTGGCCCATCTGAGTGGGAAGGGAACAGTTTCCGTCTCTGGCCTGCCCATTGCACAAGCGTAACAATTGCTGTTATTTAGGGTGGGACTGGAATATTTAATCCATTCCAGCCAGGCGTTTACATCTTGATACCCGGTTTCTATGGCTAGGGTTTGCTTTAAGTCTTTGAATTCTACTACAGCTACTTTGGTTTTGTCCTTGGGCATGAAGCAAGAAATGGTTTAATTTTGTGGGTTTGGGGAAGGAGCAATGGTGGGAGATGGAGGAGAAGAAACAAAGCGCATTTGAAAGAAGCCCATAGGGTCCTTTCCAGTGATGTCCACTCCCAGGCCATAAAAGCACTTTAAAGTGGGTGTAGGGTTGGTGGAGGTAGGGATATTAATAGAGATAAGTACTGGTTTGCAAAGATAAGACCGACAATTGGGGGAGAAGTTCCTTTGATGAAGTGGAGGTAGGGTTTTAGTTCGGTGCAACCCACTGAGGAGGTCCAGCCCTGATATTTAGTGGTCCAGAGAACATCGCCCCACTGATAACATAATCCCCAACTTCAGGTGTGTCCCCACCAATTGCAAGAGGTGGGGGTGTCAGTTTCTCTGGAGGGGCAAAGGTATTTTTCTGAGGAAGCTAGGTGTCTTTGACTTTGGAGATCCCCACAAGGCATGACAAGACAAGCATCAAATGTAATTGTTTGGGGAAAGGGTGAGCGGGTTACATTCATGATAAGATGTCCTCCTGTAGCTAAAGGAAGAAGGAAAAGACAGATTAAACCCTTTTGAATGTTAGTTTGGAGAGCGTTGGTCCTGGAGTGATGGTCCATGACTTTGCAGAGGGTGGGGCCCTTTTTACTCGAGTGTGGTGGGTCCACCCTTTCTCGGCCATTGGATTGCTGTCTCAGTGGTTAGGAGTACTAGATAAGGTCCTTCCCAGGTTGGTTTGAGCTTTCCCTCTTTCCAACTTTTGATAAAGACATAATCTCTGCGCTGGTGTTGGTGAACTGGGAATTCGAGGGGTGGAGTTTGCGCTAGGAGGCCTTGAGTCCTGATGGAGGAAAGGGTGGAAGACAGACCAAATACATATTTTTTTTGAGAAAATGATTTTTTTGTTTGCTTTAAATGTAGGAAGGTCAGTAATGGAATTTAGATAAGGCAGCCTGTAGAGCATTTCATAAGGGAACAGGCCAAGATATTTTCAAGGGGCAGTTCGGATTCTTAGTAAGGCAATGGGAAAGCATTTAGTCCAGGGTAACCGGGTTTCAAAGATTAATTTGGTTAGGTGATTTTTTAGAGTTTGATTCATTCTTTATACCTTCCCTGGTGAGGGTGGATGCCACGGAGTATGATATTCCCATTTTATTCCTAGTGCTTGGGTTAGCCCCTTAATGATGTGTGCAGTGAAGTGGGTCCCATTGTCCGAATCAACGTTCTCTATTAGTCCAAACCTGGGTATGATATGTTCCAACAGTGCTTTGACTACGTTACTGGCCGTTGCACTTGGGAAGGGGATGGCTTCTACCCAGTGGGTGAGATAGTCTACTATTACTAGTAAATACGTGAGGTGGCCTATTGGGGGCATTTCAGTGTAATCAACTTAGACGCTTTGGAACAGCCTCAACCCTGGGTTTCTTCCCCCAAGAGATTGCTTCTTTAGGGTTTGCTTATTAGTTTTTCTGCACACTATGCAATCATCCGCCACTTGCCTAGTGAGGGTATATATCCCTACACACCCGTAGACTCTGAGGGCTGCATCGCACATAGCTTGTGGACCCCAGTGAGTTCCTTGATGAAGCTGTGACAATATTTCCCTTCCATCTGGTAGTACCCACTTTCCCTCTGGGCTCTCCTTAGCTCCTATTTTCTTTAGTTTCTCTTGGTCTGCAAGGGAGAAGATGGGGATCACAGCTGGATAGGAGGGACAAGGGGTTAGATGGCAAATGGGTGCCTCTTGGGAAGAGGCAGCTTGCTTAGCTATTTCATCAGCGAGGTTATTTCCCCGGCTTTCAAACGATGGGTTATTTTGTGTCCTGGGACATGCAATTTTTGTGTCCTGGGACACGCAATTTCTTCCAGCACCTGAAGATTTTCTAGTACTTGCATAATTAATTCCTTGTGGACCAAATCTTGGCCCTTACTATTGATGAGGCCTCATTTAGTCCATATCTTACCAAAGGTATGGACTACTCCGAAGGCATACTTGGAGTCAGTGTAAATAGTTCCTTCCTGATTCTGCAGGGATTTTAATGCTTGGTTTAATGCAGTTTACATATTTAGGCAGACCAGTTATTTGGCAGTCTTCCTGACTCTACCTTTGTAAGGGTTTCCCCATCAACTACAGAGTACCCGTTGTGCCCTTTTCCTCCAATGACCAGGGAGGAACCGTCTATAAAGAGGTGACGCCCTGTTTGGAAGGGGGTTTTGCTTAGATCCAGTCTGACTCTAGTTTGATAACTGATTAGATCTAAGCATTTATGCTCAGGTTCTTCCGGGTTTGGATTTCCTCTTAGGAAAGCAGCAGGGTTGAGTGAATTGTCAGTGGTTAGTGTCAGGTCATCTCTCTCTAGTAAGATAGCTTCATATTTTAAAATTCTTGAGTCAGTGAGCCATCTCTGATTTGGGTCCCACTGTAAAATTTATCAAGGGCTCTTGGTGGGACTCGAGATGGAAGATGTAGAGCCCCTGACCACTTATTCTTCTTCAAATGTCATGAGTGGAAGGACTTCCTTCTCTCTCTCCCATTCGGGACATTCCCTCTTAAAGTGTCCTGGCTTTCCATGCCTGAAACATCTGTTTTCCCCTCTCCCCCTTCCTGTTCCCTGACTGTCGGGTTTCATCCCTTTGCTTCCTGTATAGGGTCTGGCAGCCGGGTACTTGGAAGATTTACAAGTTCTATTTCCCTGGGCTCCCTGTTGAAGAGTTCCCTGTTGTAGGGTGGACAGCAAAATTTTTGCCTTTTGCTTCCACCTTTCCTCTTCCCTCTGTACATATACCTTTTCCCAATTTTCTATCTTTTATAATGTCTTGTAATGTCTGGCCAACTGTTGGTGACAAAGTGGAGTTTTAACATCCCTTATCCCAGTGGGTCCTCTATGTCTAAACCTCCATATTTTCTTATCTGTTCCTTAAGTTGGTTTAAGAATTCCATGGGCCCTTCATCTTTCCCTTGTTGTACGTTAAATGCTTGGGAAATATTTTGGGTTAGAGGAACTGATTCCTGAATCCCTTTAATTATCAAATCTCTGAGATCTCTCATGTTTTCTGAATGGGCCACGTTGTTGTTATCCCACTGAGGATCCGTGTCTGGTCATTTATGCTCCGCTGCAAGGACATTTTGACCAGGAGAGTGTTCGCACTCGCAGACTTTCATAGCAGCCCTGTGGTTTATGGTTCTTTCCTCTTCTGAGAAGAGAATACCTGGAACAGACATTAATTCAGCCCAAGTTTACAGTTGTGGCCCCAGAAATTGGTTAATTTGATCTGCAACTCCAAAAGGGTCATCTAACAGTGGCTTGACTTCCTTTTTTAGATTTATAAGCTCTAACTGCTTAAGGGGGTCATTTATGAAGCCAATAGCCAATATCCACTCCTCCTAGCAGTACTTCCCTTAAGGGAAAAAGGGATTGGGCAGACTTCTTTGAGGAAGAGGGGAAAGGAAAGTTTTGAATACCCCTTTGGCATTGTTCTATTTCTCACTGGAGCTTTCCTGAGGAAGAGGCATGTTCGAGTGGCTGTCCAGCAGGGATGTGGGGTGGCAAGGCCCATGGGGCAGGGTTATATGGGGGAGGGACTGAGTATTCAACTTGGGGCAGAGGAGTAGGCAGGGGAAGATGGACTAGAGGATCCTATGCCTCTTTAGATATAGAATTTGACTTAGCTAGGTCGTCCTTGTGGGGTACTGAGTTTGGTTTTGCTTTTTATCCTTTAGGGGATGAAGAAGGACAGGTCCTTGTCTCCAACATATAGCATAATCTATCTCCTCTGGAGAAACTGGACTTTTATCATTGACATACTGGATCAGGAGTTGGCATATCCAGTCCTTGTCTGACCCAAACTTTGGCCAAAAGACCGAAGGTCTGAGGATGGGTTCCTTAGTCCAAATAAAACAGCAATACTTTATCATTTGCTGCCTTTTCCTGTGTTTGGTCCTTTCATTATCCTTCCAGCATTTTAGCATAAGGCTTAGGGGACTGTCAGGCAGAATTTTATTGCCTGCTTGGCCTTTTGTAGTCCCTGTCTTACTTGGGGTATTTCCCATCCTGGAGGTTGGTGAGGCTCAATCTCTCATATTAGAGATTTCTTGCACCTCCGTGTCCCAGAGGCTCAACCTCCCCTTTTCCCACTGGAGGTTTCTTGCACTCTCGTGAGCACTCACCTGTCCTTATTGGCCACTTCCCTTGTGGGAATTTTAGATCCCTCTTAGCATTGGTGGGTCAATATAATCCCCCAACTGGAAAACCGCCCTAAGCCGTATGAGGTGACCACGGAACCAAGTCCAGACTCCACACTCGCTTCTCACCCAATGGCGAGTCTCACTCACACACTTTCAACCTCCAGAGATCCTGACCACCAAGGAATACTTTGTCGCCCCAATAGCGATGTTTCTTGCCTTGGTCTGTGCACAGAGTTACCTGGTCGCCGTAGAGTTCTTAAGGATCCTTCTATGCCCGCATTGCTCAGAGTCTGGATTTAGTCATCACTTTGGGCAGGACTTGATCCTCCGCTGCTTGGGCCACCACAACAAGGCAGTGGGACGCATCTCCCCATGCAAGATAATCGCTAGCCCCTCCCAAAGGAGAGTGGGATCTCAGATGAGCCCCCAGATTTGTTGGAAACAAGTGCTCAGTGTAGCCAAAAGAAACCTGCACTTAGACAGAAAATTTCTCAGCCAGGCACTTTTGCTTCTGCAGAAGGGTGCTGTTTGCACCTGTTACAATCACAAGAGCCCACTGAACAAAGGAGGGAAGGGGTTTTTAACCCTAATACAGTTCCTGTTTCTGTGTCCTTCCCCTATTGGCTGGGGTTGGACAGCACAATCTAAGCTGACCTAATTGGCTGAGACTTAAACCTTTCCAAATAGGGTAAATATGCAATTTGCAAGAAGCGGGTAGGATTTATTCACAGGTGGCAGGAAGTTAAGTCTTTGAAGAGGAATTTAGTTGTCCTAACATTCCCAAGTTGCCAGGGAAAGATTCAGTAGGTTTTAATTAAAATCGCAAGAGAACCAGATTCCAAGTGAGTATTCAGCACACAGCAGTGTTACACTGTGGACTTTGCTGCACAAGAGGATTCACTCAACAGGCTCTCTAGGGTCATTCAGAGAGATCGAATATCCCACTACTTACTGAGAAGGAAACTTGAGAAATGCTGTGTTGCTTTCTAGAATCACTGATTTGCAGGCAAGTCTTACCCTGAGTATGGTAAAGAGGCACTAGAAGGGACTGGGAAGACCTAGCTGCCTATAAGCCTTTACTCCCCTCTTAGGTGCACGTATGCCATTTTCAGAAAAAGAGAACAGTGTTCACCTATTCTCCAATCTAGTAAGGCTGGCAGTCCCAGATACTGAGTCAATGACCAAGACTGAACTCTCTCCCTCATTTCAGATTGCCAGTGCATAATTTGACCCTGGGAAAGAGAGTTCCATATTGATATTATACCCCTACTGAAGTTTACAAACAGCCCGCAACTTCCAATATCTGGTCTTGCCTTTGATATCATAACTTTTTGCATTGCTAACATAAATCTACTTCACCTAGGAAGAGCATTAACTCCCAGAGAACCATCGCAGTCAAAGCCAACAGCTCTTCTTTCAATGTTACCATCCATAGCAGGGCTCTAGCATTCCCTTGAGCCAGCTTTGGCCTTGTGATTTTTATGAAACCCTGTGTCCATGGTTTCAGCAGCACTAGCTATGGGACCAACAATCTGAGCTATCTTGACATTAACATTCACAGAAGCTCAGTAAAGTCTTTAGCTTTGGGAGATGAGGAAGGCATTCCATGGAAGTGCCTGATGTTTCTCTCTGCTCAAGCATAAGTAAGTCCACATTCAGCCTCATAGCCCTGGGGATCATTGAGGAAGCTCCCAGGGCTGTGGAAATGGATCAGGAATTCCCCAAGCCTTGGAGTTAGGCCTGCAAATTAGCCCGTTGAATGCTAATTTGAGGTCTGGTAGTAAGGGACCAACAGCTGTTGGGGACCCCAGAGAGGCAAGTGGATAGCAAGCAGGGCTTCAGATGGCTTCCTCTCAGGGCCTCCTAAGCAGCTGGGCCACAGAACAGAAATTCTCTGGAGCTTTTCACTGTTCTAGCTGCCACCTTCGTCATTCATGAGTTTTGGTAAAGGAAAGACACAAAGAAGATGATTCAGCACGAGAGAAGTAGCAAGGCAGGAGAAATAATGGCAGAAAAACTTGGAGAATGAACAATTTAAGAGAATACAGGCAAAAGCAGGAAGTAGGATTGAAAAAGAGCAGTTACTGAAACTGTAGCCCATCTGTAGCTGTCAGTGTCTGATACCCATGATTTGCACTTAGCTTTTGACCAAACCTCTTAACAGTTTTTTGCGTTAACAGGAGATGTCCTTATATGCGTTTTGTAGATGGAGATATGAAGGGTAGGGACTGAAGTATCTTTGGCCAAGAACACACAGTGAAGTAGTCAGATTTTCCCAGCCCCTCATTTATCATCTGGCCTTTGAGACTAAAATGCCTTATTATTTAAGGCTTAACCAGTGTATTTTCTTTGAAACCTCTTCCTCATTGGGTTCCAAGACACAATTTGCTGTTGCTATTCTGCACACTGCTTAAGGAGAGATGATTGTACCATCGTTTTTCCAGAATTGTAGTGAAGCATCAGAATGATGCAAATCAATTATACATGTAAGAGATGAAAGCAACTTTGGAGATCACTGAGCTCATCTCCTCATTTTCTAGATTAGAAACCTGAATATAATCCAGAGAGGTGAAGAGGTTTATCCAAAATCACATGGCTGTGCAGGGAAAGCTGGAACTGCAACATAGATATCTTGATTCCTAAGCAGTTATCTACCCAACAGTCTTACCAGACAAAGATTTGTTTCTTTTCTGAATATATCCAATCCAAAGTAGTTAGCGTTCCCAGAACATTCCAAGTGGGTGACCAATAGCAAACAACTCAGTGTGATCTAAAGCACTGATTTCTGGTGTTTTCTTCAAGGACGTTTTTGGTTTTCAATCTGTTAACCATAAGGAATATTGAATTTAGCAAAGTACATTGACGTTTTCTATGCAACATGTTAAGAACAGCTGAAACCAATTAAATGCTAATCAATTTTATTCTGTCTGATGTAGAGTGGAAAAAAATGTTCCAAAGGTCTCTCCACCCTGAGATGTTCTTGGCAACAGGTCTCTGTGCTGTGGGCCCCCTCCCATCTCTCTTAGTCATGTACCCTCAAGAAGAGGAGACCTGGCCAACTCCCTTCAGATCTAAGATGAGAGCAGAACTGAGTCCAGCATTTTCCCTTGAAATAAAAGTTTATCCTTCCAAAAGCACAGGCAACCAAAGTGAAAATAGACAAATGGGATTGCACCAAACTAAAAAGTTTCTGCACAGCAAAGCCAGCAATTAAGTGAAGAGACAACCCATGGACTGGGAGAAAATATTTGCAAACCATATGTCTGATAAGGGGCTAATATCCAAAATATATAAGAAACTCAATTGCAAGAAAACAAATAACTTGGTTTTAAAATGGGCAAAAGATCTGAACAGACAATTCTCAAAGAAAGATACAAGTGGCCAACAGATATATGAAAAAAATGTTCAGACATATCTAATTATCAGGGAGATGCAAATTAAAACCACAATGAGATATAGCCTTACATCTGTTAAAATGACTATTATCAAAAAGCTGAATGATTACAAGGGTTGGTAAGTATGTGAAGAAAAGGGAACCCTTGTATACTGTTGTTGGGAATGGAAATTAGTACAGCCATTTTGGAAAATAGTGTGGAGGTGCCTCAAGAAAACTAAAAATAAGGCTGGGAGCAGTGGCTCATGCCTGTAATTCCAGCACTTTGGGAGGCTGAGGCAGGCAGATCACCTGAGGCCAGGAGTTTGAGACCAGGCTGGCCAACATGGTGAAACTCAGTCTCTACTAAAAATACAAAAATCAGCCAGGCATGGTGTCAGGCACCTGTAATCCCAGCTACTCAGGAGGCTGAGGCAGGAGAATCTCTTGAACCCAGGAGGCAGAGATTGCAGTGAGCTGGGATCGCACCATTGCATTCCAGCCTGGGCGACAACAGTGAAATTCCATCTCAAAACAAAACAAAACAAAAAACAAACAAACAACAACAACAAAAAACACCTAAAAATAGAATGACCATACGATCCAGTCATCCTGTTTCCAAAGAAATTGAAATTTGAAATTAGTGTATCTAAGAGATACCTGCACTACCATATTCATTTCAGCATTATTCACAATAGCCAAGATATGGATTCAAATTAAGTGTCCATCAAAGGATGAATGGACACAGAAATGGTGGCATATATACACAATGCAATACTATACAACCTTCAAAAAGAAGGAACTTCTGTTCTTCACAGCAACATAGCTGGAACTGGAGGAATTTGTGTTAAGTGAAATGAGCCAGGCACAGAAAGACGAAATACTGTGATTTTACTTATATGGAAAATCAAAAAAAGTCAATCTCATAGAAACAAAGAGTAGAAGGTGGTTATCAGAGGCTGGGGCAGGAGAAGGGATAAGGAAAGGGACAATGTTAATCACCAAAAAGTACCAAGTTTCAGTTAGACTGGAGGGATAAGTTTTAGTGACCTATTGCACTGTATGATAGGTGACCACAGTTAATAATAATGTATCATATATTTCAAAATTGCTAAAAGAATAGATTTTTAACTATTCTTTTATTGTCTCTTCACTATTAATCTCCCAACAAAAAATTATGAGTTGGTGAGGTAGATATATTAATTAGCTTCATTAATCTTTCTCAAATGTGTATAAAACATAGATCAAAATATCACATGGTACCCTATAACTATTTGGTTATTAAAAGTATTTTTTGTTAATTAAATTTTTTTTTAAAATTCATCCTGGGAAGAAAGAAAGCTGCAACTCTGAGGCAATGTATATCACAACTATGAGAATAGGAGGGGTGGAGGAAGACAGTGAAATCCAGCCACATCCATCCTCTGTGGCCACCTCATGGACTTAACCAACCATCTCTATTACCTAATCTCCTAATGCCAGTTCCCCCAAGCTCCACCTTCTTCCATAAGAGACAGACAGCAAAGCCAAAGGTTTTCAAATCCAACAAATTAAAGTTTGAATTTGGGCTCTGCCAGTTATTAGACGTGACATTAGACAAACTATTTAATCTCCCTGAGCCTCAGTTTACTTATTTGTAAAAGGAGAGTAATAATACCAACTTGAAAAATTAAATGATTTGAGATCTATTTTACAACATGGTGACTAAATTTAAGACCAATGTATTGTATACTTGAAAAATGCTAATAGAGTAGATTTTAAGTGTTCTCACCACAAATAAAAGATAAGTACATGAGGTAACATGTAGGTTAATTAGCTTGACTTAGCCCTTTCACAATGTACATACTTCAAAATATGTTTTATACCATAAATGTATACAATTTTTATTTGTCCATGAAAAAAGAAAATAATTAAATGAAATAATGGGATATCTGACACATAGTGGGTGATCAATAAATGCTAGCTTTGTCCCACACCATTCCTTCTAATAAATTATTTTTGTACCCTTTCCTATATTCAATTCATTTCATTTTTCTATTAGCCTTGTTCAAATATGTTGGAGTGTGTGTGTGTGTGCATGTGTACATCTGTGTGTCTATCTGTCCTATTGTATCTTTCCTGGAGGACAGATGGATAAGAACGTGTATTAGGAAGCTACAAGCCAAAGTGTCCTGATATGCTGTGTGCACAACAGGGAACAGATCACTCTTGATCATATCTAGGGTTTTTAGCCTCTAATCCCAAAGCCCAAAATTCTCTGGGCTTCTGGAAGACAGCCACAGTTTTCAGCACCAGTCTGTGTGTGTGTGTGTCTGTGTGTGTGTGTGTGTGTGTGTGTGTGTGTGTGTGTGTGTATAAAAATCTGCTACTGGGAATGGAGATGAAAGAATGTCATACAAACTAAACTTGACCTTGAAAATGCCTACCACCTCCCTCAACTCAGCTGAGAGCTTGTCACCTTCCATGTCACCTTCTACCCATATGGTATTATTCTCACAGTACCACCAGCTGCTGAGTGACTATAGGCCACCATCCCTAGGCTACACCCAGGGAACTGGAAACAGCCAAGTGACCCCAAAGCAAATGTGCTAAACTGCTGGCTATCATCCAAGAGCTGAGGGAGTGATCAGATCCACCTGTACAGGGAGCAAGAGCACAATGAAGAGACCAAAACAAGTTATCACTCATGCTAAAGGACTAGTTTGGGAGTGCTTGGTTAAAACAGAATGGAATGCCAGATTCTAACCACCTTCATAGTTTTGCGAGGTATTCCATCTTTTTACAAGATAGGAAGTTACAGTTCATCTCCCCTGTCCAGATGAAACATGTTTTCAAAATGGTAATCATTTGGTTTTTCTTCCTGGTTTCTTTCCCGTGGCTCAGTAGGTTCTCAAACTAGCAAAGATCTTACAGTTGATTAGGATTTGCATTTTAAGTAGTTAGAGCTACTCAGATTTTTTAAAGCATTGATTTAAAAGATGCAGGTAAAAGTTTTTTGTCCTACAGCAAACTGTTGCTTGCCTCCAAGATACCAGTGTTGCACATTAATCTTCTCTTTTGAATACATTCATGCACCTAAATTGTTTTTTGTTCCATTCCATAAAGTAATACACCTCTATGAATTTTATTTTTGATGAATACTGACAGCACTCTTTACTTAGTAGCCAGTCCCTGGTTTGCCATACAGTATACATTCTCTATAAGTTCTTTTTTGCTTAAGTATTGCATCACTATCAATGCTTTGAAATTAAAGATGCACAAGTTATAAATACAGAATAAGGAGTAACCAACTAAACTTAACTATTTTTTACTAAGATTGTATGTAGATTTTAGTTCTATGTTTGCTGTAAGTTCATCAAAACATATTTCAAAATGACTAAAACTACTTGCAGATTTATATGTATTTATTATTTGATGTAATAAAGCTTATGTTCATTAACAATAAGTAAATAAAAATAAATAATTAG
Organism: Homo sapiens; assembly: GCF_000001405.40. Classification (NCBI taxonomy): domain Eukaryota; kingdom Metazoa; phylum Chordata; class Mammalia; order Primates; family Hominidae; genus Homo; species Homo sapiens. Next base: position 120,483,448 of record NC_000003.12, on the reverse strand, counting down.
ACCCTAACAGATGAACAATTACATTAAATGCAAATAGTCTAAATGCATTAACTAAAAGAGATTGGTAGATTGGTTTTAAAAACATGATCCAACTAAATGCTCTGTGCAAAAAACTTGCTTTAAATATAATGATATAGGCAGGTTGAAAGTAAAAGGATGGAAAAAGATATACCATGCAAACATTAATCAAAGGAAAGCAGAAATGGTCATATCAATCACATAGACTTAATATTAACAATATTCATAAAGTAGACTTCAGAACAAAGAAAATTACCAGAGAAGGATACTATGTAATAAAAGAGTCAATCTACCAATGACATATAGCAATCCTACATGTGCTTGTACCAAACAACAGAGCTGCAAACTATGTAAAGCAAAAATTGATAAAACTGAAAGGAGGCCAAGTGCAGTGGCTCACACCTATAATCCCAGCACTTTGGGAGGCCGAGGTGGGTGGATCACCTGAGGTCAGGAGTTTGAGATCAGCCAGGCCAACATAGTGAAACCCCATCTCTAACAAAAATACAAAAATTAGCCAGGCGTGGTGGTGGGCACCTGTGGTCCCAGCTACTCAGGAGGCTGAGGCATGAGAATCGCTTGAATCTGGGAGGTGGAGGCTGCAGTGAGCCGACATCATGCCACTTCACTCTGGCCTGGGCAACAGAGCAAGACTGTCTCCAAAAAAAAAAAAAAACTGCAAGGAGATATAGAGAAATCCTGAAGGAAAAGCAGATTTGAATCTGTTCAGAGGATTGGAACCCAGAGAACATGACAAGAATGGAAAACCATAGAGGCTTTACCCTCCAAAGAGGCAGTGGGCTGAGCTCAGTGAGAGACAGCATCTGCTAGGTAAAACAAGGCCTGAGGATGCTGGGAGAGTATAATATGCACGATGATGTCAGACACATATTGCTGAACCTTTTTTTGACTCAATAATTATTTTAATGTATATTACAGAAAAAATACATTGGGCACAGTAGGTAGAAACATGGTTACACAGACCATATAAATTAACAGACTCTGTCATGAATGTTTCAGACATTCATATACTGAACATTTCAGCATGACTTTTATTTTTATTTATTTATTTTTTTGGAGACAGTCTCGCTGTGTCACCCAAGCTGGAGTGCAGTGGTGCGATCTCAGCTCACTGCAACCTCCGACTCCCAGGTTCAAGCAATTCTCCTGCCTCAGCCTCCCAAGTAATGGACTAGAGGCGCCCGCCACCACACCCGGCTAATATTTGTATTTTTAGTAGAGACAGGGTTTCACCATGTTGGCCAGGCTGGTCTTGAACTCCTGACCTCAAGTGATCCACCCACCTTGGCCTCCCAAAGTGCTGGGATTACAGGCGTGAGCCACTGCGCCCAGCCTCAGTATGACTTTCTGGAAGCAGGGATGGTAAGAATGACTGCTCCCATCGTTTCACCCCTGGTAGTCTAGATGGGCTATCATTCCCATATTAAGATTGCATCCAAATGGCGGTGGACTGCCAAGGTGCCCCATCTGTATCACATCACCAAGCAGGGGCACCACTCATCCTGAATTAAGGAAGCATCTAGGTTTAATGCCAGCATTAGTCACCCAACTGGCCAATCTTAAGCCTAGATCAAGGAGTTCTTCACATGTTTAAATCATGCAGCTATTTTTTGTATGCATCTTATAAATATTTATTACTTGATTGTCATGGTTTTAAAAATTTTACCTTTTAAAAGTATAACTTTTTTGTTTTCATCATGTTTATAGAAGCAGTACATTGAACAAGTGTGACTGTGACACAATCAAAATCCAACTTCGTTTTCTGTTTCCTGTGTCAACTCTAAACTTTATCCAGTGGGGAAAGCTTTCTTTCTACCACTGGAAAATAACCCAGCAAGCCTGGTATATATGTGTGTGTGTGTGTATATATATATATATGTGTGTGTGTGTGTGTGTGTGTGTGTGTGTGTGTGTGTATATATATTTTACTAATGCTTAGATAAAAGACAGTCTTACAGACTTTTATGTGCAAACTCAGTCTTAATTTGGTAGTTTGAATATCAAGTCCTAGATATTAGTCAGCTCTTCCATTTTCTTCCTGTTCCCTAGGCAAGGCTTCTACTTGACAGCTGCCTGTTTTCCAGAAAGGGAGTGTGGTTGGTTTCTGCTCTCCCCACTCACTTCCTCCTTCACTTGTTAGCTGAAGTTTGACTTCTCTCAGGGACAGAAAGGGGCAGGCTGGAGGGACAAGAGGTATAGGTCAAAGGACAGTACTTGCTGGCTAGTGGCTGAGAGCTCTCTGGGTCAAGCAGAAAGTCGAACGTGGCTACCTGCCTGGGCACTTTCATGGAGATTTCCATCATTCCATGGTGCAGGGTACCTAATGATGTCTAGTTCAAGTGGTCATTGATAACTTCTTTGAAAGCCTCTAAAAAACAGCATTCCCCTCTGGCTTCTTCTTGCTAGAAGAAAGCAAGAATTCCTCCAGGTCACTCAATTAGGACGGCAGGTCAAGACTAACACAGTAACTTCTACATTTTCTTGGGTGGGAGTCAGGAGCCATTGTCCTATATCCCCTAAGTGCAGAGAGCACCTTCCATAGCTCTCCTTGTAGTTCCAAGGAAGCTTCTTGCACTAGGTTTCTTTTTTTGTTTGTTTGTTTTTATTATTGCACTACGTTTAAGGAGAAGGCAGTACCCCCTCTCTTGGGTCTCTAGCATAGCACCAGGTCCCTCCTAAAAGGTCTTCCACAAATCCTCCTCTCTCTTCACATTCTGACTTATTTTAAATATCTTTGATTGAGCTAAGATATCCAAAAATCGTAGAACAAGCTCTGCACAAATTCCTTCGTAAATTCACATGTGAGGAGCCTGTCTCACATGAACTTTGGTAATATACCTACTTTATTGAAGCCTCAGTCAAAAATGTGGTTGGAAACCTCATTCTAACATCCTGCTATATTTATTTGTTTGATTACCTTCTATTTTTAAAAAGTGGACCAGGCATGGTGGTTCATGCCTGTAATCCCAGCAATTTGGGAAGCTAAGGCAGGTGGATCATTTGAGGTCGGGAGTTTGAGACCAGCCTGGCCAACATGGTGAAACCCTGTCTCTCCTAAAAATACAAAAGTAGCTGGGTGTGGTGGCATACACTCCAGCCTGGGTGACAGAGTGAGACCCCATCTCAAAAGAAAAAAAAAATAATATCTTTTTTCCATTTATGATAGAGAACTTATTTTTTAAATTAATATACTTGATTATATAGTGAATCAATTTAAAGAATAAATATTAAATAATGAAATACAGGAGATACATATATAGGACTGAAAACATAGAGATGGTAGGCTGGGTGCGGTGGCTCACGCCTGTAATCCCAGCACTTTGGGAAGCTGAGGCGGGCGGATCATGAGGTCAGGAGATGGAGACCATCCTGGCTAATATGGTGAAACCCTATCTCTACTAAAAATACAAAAACAAAATTAGCCAGGTGTGGTGGCTGGCGCCTGTAGTCCCAGCTACTCAGGAGGCTGAGGCAGGAGAATGGCATGAACCCGGGAGCTTGCAGTGAGCCGAGATCATGCCGCTGCACTCCAGCCTGGGCGACAGAGCGAGACTCTGTCTCAGAAAAAAAAAAGAAAAGAAAATGTAGAGATTGTATATAAGTCATAGTCATAGTCATCATATATTATAAATCAAAGGTATTTTATAAAGATTAATTTAGTGCCAGGCACAGTGGCTCATGCCTGTAATTCCCAGCACTTTGGGAGGCCAAGGCAGGCAGATCACGAGGTCAGGAGTTCAAGACCAGCCTGGCCAACATGGTGAAACCTTGTCTCTACTAAAAATACAAAAATTAGCTGGACGTGGTGATGGTGGCGCGCGTCTGTAACCCCAGCTACTTGGGAGGCTGGAGCAGGAGAATTGCTTGAGCCCGGGAGGCCCCCCAAGGAGCTTGCAGTGAGCCGAGATCGTGTCATTGCACTCCAGCCTGGGCAGCAAGAGCAAGACTCACTCAGTCTCAAAAAAAAAAAAAAGAAAAAAAAAAAGAAAAAAAGATTAATTTAATAGAAGCAAGAAGAATATGTTGAAAGGAGGAGCAACTTTTTAAGTTGCTTTTTAAGTTTTAAGTTACCATTTTATGTTAACTTTTTATGTTAACATAACTTATGTTAACAGACCGTTTTATGTTAACTAGTTTAAGTTACCGTTTTATGAGTCCTGAAGACACACACAAATACAAGATTATGAAGAAGATTTAGTAGAGGTATGAGTGACACTTGGAAGTCGAATGCTTTCTGAAAGTTCAATTATAACACAGACTGCAGATTTGCTTGCCATATTCTCCAACTTATAAGGAAACTGGCCCATCCCTCCCAAATAAATCTTAAATAAAAGCAGTACATTCAAAGGGGCCTCATTCCCTATCATTCCCTAGCCACAGTTGATTGTTCCAGGATGGGAAATTGGTTTGAGTTTGGCCCATTAGACATCTTCATTAGGAATTTGGAATCATGACCAAGAGAATAAAACTCAGTTTGATTTCCCCCTTCAACAGTGAATGGATTCACTATTAGCGTGCCAGAAAATTATATTTCTGAACTTGTAGGATGGACAGTCCTCATCTCAGATCCTAATATGTGTCACTCAAACTTGTAGAAATGAATGAACAGAAAACCAGAATTCTGATTTCTAAATTTGTAATAATAAAATGATTTAATAAACTAGATACTTTGATGTACAGATCAGCATATTCTGTCACTGTAAGTGAATCTATATAAGCAGCCAAATCATCAGAAATTTTCATGAAATCAGAACAAGAGATGCTAGCTGAGTGATCGTGGCTGGTGGACCATGATAACCTGATGAACCCACCTCTTCCAAGCGGATCTACTAACCTTGAGAGCCAAATCCTTGTGTTCTTTAGTTCCGACTGCCTTTTATTTGACCCACTTACTGGTTCTAACTTTTTATTCTTCCACTAACAGCTAACCCACTTTTTAATTGAAACTTTGCTTTTTAAATATCTCAATAGCGGTAGCCTGAATAATGGCCCCCCAAAATATGTCTACATTCTTATCCTAGAACCTGTGAATGTTACCTTGTTGGACGAAAAAAAGGTCTTTGCAGGTGTGATTACATCAAAGACCTTGAGATGAATGGGAAGATTATCCTGGATTATCCATATGGTCCTAAATGCAACACAAGTGTCCCTCTAAGAGAGAAGGGGAGGCAATTTTAAAAAGTGGTGGTATATACCAGATGGTAGAAATCAGCTTTCTCACATTCTAGGGTGATTGGTAATGGCTTGGAGGAGAGATGTCCAGCAGGGACCTTTTGAAGGACGACCATCTGTACCTTTGTAATAAGGGAGATGCCTGGAAGGCAGCAGGAGCTTCTCAGGACTGCTTTGCTTTTTGTTGTTGCCAGTGTTGCCTAGGAAAGTTCTTCACCTTGTTGATAAAAACTGGTTCTGGTTTCCATCTTTTCCATACTTGTGAGCCGACCTCATAGTGTTCCCTTGGAGACACCAGCACTAGCCAGCTGTCCCCCCTCCTCAGAGATCTGAGTTTCAGCTACGTGGGTCCCTCCTCTGAGTTCAGAGGCACCAGCAGTGACAAAGAGCCCCCAGCCTGGCTTCAGCTCAGCAGGGCCTCTCTTCTAAGCTTCTAGATCCAGATCACGCTGCCTCTTCCCTTATTTCCCCTAGCCCTAGGAATGGTGGCTGCTTCTTGCAATTACGTTTTCACACTTTACCTGGACAGTCTTCCAATACCTGTTTAACCACTTTCTTAAGTTATTTCTGAAAAAATAACTAGTGTGGCTTTTGTTTTGTTTTATTTTGTTTTGAGACAGGGTCTTTCTCTTGTTGCCAAGGTTGGAGTGAATTGGCGTGATCTCGGCTCTCTGCAATCTTTGCCTTCTGGACTCAAGCAATCCTCCCACTTCTGCCTCCCGTGTAGCTGGGACTACAGTTTGCACCACCATGCACGGGTTTTGCCACGTTGCCCAGGCTGATCTTGAATTCCTGGGCTCAAGCAATCCTCCTGTCTCAGCCTCCCAAAGTGCTAGGATTACAAGTGTAAGCCACTGTGCCTGGCATGTTTTCTTGATTAAACCCTTTTTATTAGAGCCACAGACAGAAGATGAGAAGGCAGCATGAACACAGAGGCAGAGATTAGAGTGATACAGTCACAAGCAAAGGGATGGCAGCAGCCACCAGAGGCTGGAAGGGGCAAGGAACAAATTGCCCCCTCGAGTTTCTTCTTCTTTTTTTTTTTTTTGGAGACAGAGTTTCTCTCTTGTTGCCCAGGCTGGAGTGCAATGGCACGATCTCGGCTCACCACAACTTCTGCCTCCCAGGTTCAGGCAATTCTCCTGCCTCAGCCTCCTGAGTAGCTGGGATTACAGGCATGCACCACCATGCCCAGCTAATTTTGTATTTTTAGTAGACACGAGGTTTCTCCATGTTGGTCAGGCTGGTCCCCCTCCAGCTTCTGAAAGGAGAATGACCTGAAGGGAGCACAGCCCTGCTGACATCCTGATTCAGGCCTGGTGATACGGATTGCAGACTTCTGGCCTCCAGAACTGTGAAAGAGTAAACTTCCATTTTTTAACCACCCCATTTGTGGTCATTTTTTACAGCAGCCAACGGAAACTAATACACCAATGCTCACAATTTCAGCTTGAGAGCCACCCTTTCTCTTACAGGTGTCTTTACATGCCTGAATTCTAATTCATTGTATCTGTTAAGTAACTGGTATACAAGTAACAGCAACTGACTTTAGCTACCTCCTAAGCAAAAAAGGGAATTTGTAAATAGTGTACAGGGGAGTCTGATAGAGCCTGAGGTCAAGGATGCAGCTGGACCTCAAAAAAAAATGGATCCCTTGTAATCCCAGCACTTTGGGAGGCTGAGGTGGGAGGATGACTTGAACCCAGGAGTTTGAGATGAGCCTGGGCAACATAGTGAGACCCTGTCTCTACAAAAAATAAACAAAATTAGCTGGGTGTAATGGCATGCACATGTAGCCCCAGCTACTCAGAAGGCTGAGGCAGGAGATGGCTTAAACCTGGGAGGTCAAATCTGCATTGAGCTATAATTACACCACTGCACTCCAGCCTGGGTGACAGAGTGAGACCCTGTATCAAAAAACAAAAGCAAAAACGAAAACAAAAGCAAATGGATCCAGGCAACCTGGGGATCGTCTTTCACAATTGCTCTTCTCTGCTCCTTTCTGAGCATCTCTCTGCTTCATGGCCTCTCTTGCTGCTGCCTGGCTTCCTCTGTGACTCAGCCCGCATAGCAGATAATGGCTTCTACCAATGCTTTCAGCTGTAAATTGTGTTTCCTCAGCTGTTAAATGAAGAACTTGAATAATACACTCCGCAAGCTCCATCTGGCTCTGAAATTTGATGGAATTCTATTAGGAGTCCTGTGCAGTGGATGACAGGTGGGATCCTGAGGAATGGAGAGCAGGCCTGTGTGAGACCCAGCTGTGCAGGAGCAGGCGCACCTCAGGAAGGTGGCCCAGTCTGACCTTAGAGTGCCGAGTGGGGATCTCTTCAGGGGCCTAGTGAGATCATGGGCTCAGCCACACTGGAGAAGAGCTGGTGACACCTGGCATCAAGGTGGGGCATCCTGAGTCTGCACCTTTAGGCTGGCACTATCCACTTATATGCTGATGATTGGCAGAAACTCCAGGTTTGTCATTGCCTATCTCTAATTAGCATCAATAATTTATTCATTCCTTCCCCTGTTTTGATAGGAAGAAGCCCCACCCCCCGGCCTTTTTTTTTTGTTTAATAAAATGAGTTATCCTGCCAACCCCCACCTAACTATTCCCACAGAGCACCTGCTTGAGGTAGGTTCAAATCAGCCCTCAAGCCACAGTGTGACTAAACACATCTATGCCCACACAGAGAGTTCAGGAAATTCAACTCCACCACCTGCCAAGACACAAAACCTCACTGTAGGCCTCTTAGCTTCTTACTGATCCTGATTTGCATCTTCTTTCTGATCCCGGGATTTGGAGCCAGCAGAAAGCCCAGGGGATTTCTTGCAGAGGCTAAGGTGGGCTTCAATGGTGGGGATATCTGTGTTCCCGGACCTGGCCTCAAGCTGGCTCCTGGTCTTCATGAAACGAAACAGCCACCTTCCTTACATGGATTCCGCCATGCACATCCCACTTGACCTTGTCTACTCCAGCCAGACTAAATTGCTTCCTGTTCATGGCTTCTCTCTTCCCTCTGGGCTTCTAAATTGCCCTTAGCCAGAAATTCCCATTCCCACCCATCCCATCATCCAGGTCCTTCACCTGGATAGCTTTCATCTGCTTATAAGATACTTCCTTTGGGACATGCTCCCTGACCCCATCTCACTGAGGTTACCCCTATGTGTTCCCACAGCACCCCTTACTTGTCATTAAGCTTCTCACTCTGGCTGGCAGTCAGCTATTTACTTTTTTGCCTCCTTCCACCAACTGGTAATTCCAAACTTTATCTTTTTTACCTACATCTCCTGTACTTAGCACAGAGTCTGGAACATGGTGGAAGCCCCATAAATGTTCAGTGATGACAGGATCAAGTGCACATTTACTCACTTTCATCACCTTCCTAGGGACCACCAGCCCCTTCCATGTTTCCTACTTTCAAACTGTGGCCCCTTTCATATTATAATGAGTATTTCATCATGAGGCATAGTGAAAAATGAGATGCTGAGTACCCTAAACACAGAAGAGGCAATGTTTTCTTAGATGAGCTGCCTTTCTTGTTCACAATGAACTAAAGAAGGTTTTTCTAGGCATGGCAGATATTCTGGGAGATTCAGGAAGGGATATAGGGAGAGAAACCAGCCTTTCCTGCATCCCAACTTGAACCCTGAAGGGAGGATTTCCAAACATTCTCCCAGCATTGTTATGGGATGACATACATTCACCCGCTCTGAGTTCCTCTCATGGCTTTATTTATCATGCTCCCATAGACTGGAAAGCAGAAGGAATTCATTTTAAGACTTCAAATTATGTGCAGCATTTGATTAAATCTATCTTGAGAAACATCACTCATTGGCCTGTCTGGAGCTATTGTTGTGTGGTTAGCTCAGCACATATTTTCCAAGCACAAAATAAAAGGGTTAATGTGTGGAGATTCAGAAGAAGTCTCTTATTTGGCACTTGTACCAGCTATGAGATGGTTCCTCAGAACCATCCCACCACTAAGCAAACCAACCCTCTCTGAAGGGTCCAAGCTACTCCCCACATCCTCAAGATTTTACAGGAGCTGTGGTGCACCTCAGGGAGGGGCTCCCACTCAGGAAGGAGGCATTTTTCCCTGCATGGAATAAGCCATGGAAAGAGTCCCAGTTCTACAGGACTGAGAATATGACTTTAAAAAAAAAAAAGCAGCATAGACATAATCACTGCTTCTGTAGAAGCCACATCATTAACTTCCAACCCCCAAGTGAGTGTCTGAGTTGGAGAAAGAGAATGAAAGAAAAATAAGGTCCTGAGGCAACAAGAAGGAACCCTTACTTGACTCTACAGAACTGACCGTGTCTGATGTGCACACGTTATATTACTCTAGACCAGTGGTTCTCAACCGGTAGTGATCTTGTCCCCAGGAAACACCTGACAAAGTCTGGAGACATCTTTGGTTGTCACAAATTGGGGAGTGCTACTGGCATCTAGTGAATAGAGTTCAGGCTATTTGAAAAGGCTTCAAAAGGGAGGATCTAACTCAGGCTTGCGGGTTAGAAAAGGCTTCCTGAAAGAGGCATATCTAAGATACACCCTGAACTACCAGTGAAAGTTAATCAGCTAAAGGATATGGTGGTTCATGGCTTTCTGGAGACTTTCCCCCTTCTTCCTTGATGTTGACCTCAGTCCAGCACATGTATGAATTCCTCACATTTTTCTGGGTGACAAGATTTAGATAAGTAGCCTCATTCTCAGCCCTGGCCTCCAATATTCCCAGCTTCTCTTCCCCATTCCCCTGCCCTACTGCTGAGGGGCCCCCTGCCTTGTCGTTGGACACCACTACATACAACCTGGGGCTCATCCTCACTCCAACACCTGCAGCTACATCAGGTGGTACCAGGTTTCCCACCTTCATCACTCCCTGCAAGAAAGTAGCCACCTCAAAAGTGCCAAAGAACCGTTATTCTAGAAACAAGTTAATTTGAGTTCATGCATTTATTGGTCTGTCCCTCACTGTTTACCTTCTTAAGCACTGGTTCTCAAATGTGGCTTCACATTAGAATCACACAAAGTTTTAAAAATGACTATGTCCCCAGAGATTCTGACTTTGTTGGTACGGGTGCAGCCTGAGCTGCAGGAGTTTTACACTCCTCTCAGATTATTCTAAGAGGCAGCAAACACCAAGGACCACAAAGCCCTGTCCAAGCATGTTGGGCCGCAACATGGAAGCAGTACACTGATGCTCTCTGGCCCCACACATGCAGCCAATGCTCTCCCACATAATCTTCCCACCTTGCCCATCTGCTCCGACTAGTCCTGCCTTGGTCCCCATGGAATTTTCCATTCATTACTCTTAATTTTGAACAGCATTATCAGTTCTCCCTTTCAACTCAGGGTCTGTTCAGTTGCCTTAATCACCTTCCCATTCCCTATATTCTATTCTACCCAAGTACAACCTTACTTCTGCTTCCCCACAACATAAGATCGTTTATCTTCTTATCACATTCCCCTATGTGTAAATTTATTGCTGCAGTGGCAATTTACCACATACTTATTGACTTAACACATAAATTTATTCTCTTACAGAAATGGGTTTCACTGGGCTATAACCAATGTGTCATCAGGGCTGTATTTCTTCTGGAGGCTCTACGGGAGGATCCATTCCCTGACCTTTTCAGCTCCTAGAAGCTGCCTGCATTCTTCGGCTTGTGGCCCCTCCCACCATCTTCAAAACTAACAGCATAGCATCTTCTAATCACTAGTTCTCTGACCTCTGCTTTGTCACTTCTCTTCCTCTTATTCAGACACCCTGTCTCCCTCTTATGAGGACCCTTGGGCCAATCTGGATAATCCAGAATAATTTTCCCATCTCAAGATCCTTTACTTAGTCATATCTGCAAAGCATCTTTTGCCATGTAAAGTAACACATTCACAGGTTTGGGAAATTAGAACATGGATATAGATATCTCTCTGGGGGTGGGGGGTGCATTCTTCTATCTACCACACCCTGTTAAGGCAGCTGTCAGCTTTGTAATCTGTCAGCTTTCAAATACCTAGAGGTTCTGAGATCTTTAAAGATGGAGACATTGTAACACTGGACTTTTTGGACCTATTTCCAGTAAAATGAGAAGGATGAATCAAGCCAGCACAGCAGGTGACGTTGGTGGTGATAGTAGTGATTTTGCACCCCTCACCCTGGGGATATCTGACAATGTCTGGAGACATATTTGGTTATCTCATGTGGTGGTGGTAGTAGGAGGTTACTACTGGCATCTAGGTGGGTTGAGGCCAGCGCATGCACAGAACAGCCCCTCTACAACAAAGAATTATCTGGCCCCAAATGTCAATAGTGTCAAGGTTGAGAAATGCCGAATTAGACCATTCCTACTCAAAAATGTGGTCCGTTAACCAGCAGCCTGAGTATGACCTAAAAGCATTTTAAAAATGCAGAATCTTGGGCTCTGGCCCAGAGCTATTGAATCAGGGTATGCATTTTAACAAGATCCTCAGGCTATTCTATACATATTAAAGTTAAAGAGCAATGGACTAGAGCAATGATTCTCCACCTGGGCTGCATATTAGAATCACTTTAAAAAAAGACAGTAACCTGAGTGTAAGACTCAGATCACAGATTAATTAAATCAGAACCTCTGGATGTTGGAAACCAGGCATTGATATTTGTTAAAAGAACTCCCGATGATTCTAATGTGTAGTCAGGATTGAGAAGCTCTGTCCTATGATCTCTGAAGCTCTGCTATTCAAAGTGTTGTTGGTGGGCAGATATAGCAACATCACCTGGGAAAATTTTAGATGCACAGACCAATCTTTTGCTCTACCCCAGAACTTTTGAATCAGAAGCTGCATTTAACAAGATGCCCAGGTAATTCCTATTCACATTAAAATTTGAGAAAAAATCCTATTTCTTTTCAAAATATAAAATACAGATTTTGCTGAGGCCATTTACCATATTCCTAAGGAGGGAACTATTCAAAATCTTGTTTAAACAATGCTCTTCTGTTTCCAAATACTGTATATTGCATGACTATATTTAGTTTTGTTATTCACAGGTAAATTACTACATTTTAAGCAACTCACAGCTTGTCAGCTTCCAGGAACAAGGCTTTCTAAACAACGTGGTGTGTGGAAAAGCACTCTCCATGGAGAGGCAGGAGTGCAGTTAGCAATGAGAAACTTGGCCAGGATTTGCTTGGCAAAGAGGTGTTTCTAATAGAGCCCACGCCTGGGTTGTGCCAAAGGGAAGAGAGAAATGAGTTACAGAGCAAAGGCAGGCAGGGAGGAAGCCCTGATGATAGCACTTAAATTAGAATGAGAGGTTGCAGAGCTGGGAGTGGAGGTATGGATTTCCAGAGATCAGTACAGCCCTTGTCAGTCAAGGCTCAAAGTAAATTATGAGCAAACAAACTTTATTTTCTTTTTAATCTAAATAGAGTAAGAATAAGAGAGTGAGCAGGGCAAGAGGAGGAGCAACGTGTTCTACCTTCTCCTGGAAAATAAAAAAGGAGAAAGAGAAGAATTTGGAATTAAAAAAAAGTACTATCTAATCTTTGAAATAAGAATTACCATATCCATTTTATAAAGGATTAAAATGGAGGCTTTGAGAGATTAAGCTACTTGCCCAAGTACACCAACCTAGAAGTGGTTAATTTAAGCACAGTTTTCTCTAATTTCTGTTCATTACGGGCTGAAGGTGGATGTTACGGATTGAATTATGCCCATTCACTCCCCAATATTTATATGTTAAAGTCCTAAACCCCAGTACCTCAAACTGTAATCTTATTTAGACATAGGGTCTTTCCAGAGGTGATCTAGTTGAAGTGAGGTTTTTTGGGTGAGCACTAATCTAATATGACTGGTGTCCTTATGAAAAGGGGAAATTTGGAGACAGGTAGAAATGGAACATGGAGACACAGGAAGAAGATTGCCATTTATAAGCCAAGGATGGAGGCCTGAAACAGATTCCTCCCTCACAGCCCTCAGAAGGAACCAACCCTGCTTATACTGTGATTTTTGTCACAGGGTGGACCTCACAATTGGAGTTCGGCCTGGGAGCCACATGGGTTCTTGGCTTTGTGCAGGAAGGAATTCAAGTGTGAGCCAACAGAGTAAAGTGAAAGCAAGATTATTCAAAGTAAAGGAATAAAAGGATGGGCACTCCATAGGCAAAGCAGTGGCATGGGCTGTTTGACTGAGTACACTTATGGTTATCTCTTGATTATATGCTAAACGAGGGATGGATTATTCATGAGTTTTCCAGGAAAGGGGTGGGGAGTTCCTGGAGCTGAGGGTTCCTTCCCTTTTTAGGCCATATAAGGTAATTTCCAGACATTACCATGGCGTTTGTAAACTGTCATGGCGCTGGTGAGTGTCTTTTAGCATGATAATGCATTATAATTATAATATAATGAGCAGTGAGGACAACCAGAAGTCATTTTTGTCACCATCTTGGTTTTGGTGGGCTTTGGCTGGCTTCTTTACCACATTCTGTTTTATTAGCGGTGTCTTTGTGACTTATCTTGTGAAACCAGTTCTACTGACCTTCTATCTCATCCTGTAAGAATGTGTAACATCTTGGGAATGCAGCCCAGCAGGTCTCACCCTCTTTTCACTCAACCCTTATTCAAGATGGAATCACCCTGGTTCCAATGTCTCTTGATAATTTCAAGCTTCTAGCTGCTACACAATAAATTTCTACTGTTTAAGTAACCCAGTACTTGGTCCGGCAGCCCTAGAAAACTAAGTGACGCTAATAATAAGGGTTTAATCAAGAAAACAGGCCAGGCACAGTGGCTCATGCTTCTAATCCCAGCACTTTGGGAGGCTGAGACGGGGGGATTGCTTGAGCCCAGGAGTTCAGGACCAGCCTGGGCAACATGGCAAAACCCTGTTTCTACAAAACATACAAAGATTAATTGGGCATGATGGTGCAACCTGTAGTCCCAGCTACATGGGAGGCAGAAGTGAAAGGACTGCTTGAGTCCAGAAGGCAGAGGTTGCAGAGAGCCGAGATCATGCCACTTCACTCCAACCTGGGCAACAAGAGCAAGACCCTGTCTCAAAACAAAAGCCAAACCAGTTAATTTTTTTTCAGAAAGAATTTAACTTAAGAAACTGGTTAAACAGGTATTGGAAGACTATCCAGGTAAAGTGTGAATACATGTAATTGCAAGAAGCAGCCACCATTCCCAGGGCTAGGGGAACTAAGGGAAGAGGCAGCATGATCTGGATCTAGAAGCTTAGAAGGGAGGCCCTGCTGAGCTGAAGCCAGGCTGGGGGCTCTTTGTCACTGCTGGTGCCTCTGAACTCAGAGGAGGGACCCACGTAGCTGAAACTCAGATCTCTGAGGAGGGGGGACAGCTGGCTCGTGCTGGTGTCTCCAAAGTAACACTATGAGGTCGGCTCACAAGTATGGGAAAAATGGAAACCAGAACCAGTTTTTATCACCAAGGTGCAGAACTTTCCTAGGCAACACCGGCAACAACAAAATGCAAAGGAGTCCCAAGAAGCTCCTGCTGCCTTCCAGGCATCTTCCTTATTATAAAGGTGCAGATGGTCTTCCTTCAAAAGGTCCCTGCTGGACATCTCTCCTCCATGCCATTACCAATCACCCTAGAATGTGAGAAAGCTAATTTCTACCATCTGGTATACCACCACTTTTTAAAATTTCCTAAAATCCCTTTGTCATGACACTGCTCCCCACTTCAAAAACCTTTATTAACTCACGGCTCTCTCTCTATCCCCATTTTCTCTCCACCTTGACCGTCATCCCTAACTGGCAATGATTTCACTGATCCCCATTTAATACTCTTTTTTATTCTTCATGTTGACAGCTCCACACTCTCTCCATAAGCCCTTTCTTCAGTTGTCTGCCTCAATCTCAGCAGTTGAGATCATTTTTCCCAAAGAAAATATGCTGTCAGACAGCAACTCCTTAACTTCTCTCCCCTCTTCCTCTAAACTTAACTATCATGGCCCTAACTTCCCTCCTTCTTGCCTGTCCCAGAGGCAGAGCTTTCAGCCCTCCTGTACCGGGGTAACCTTCCCCTACGTGGGCCTCAAACCTGATCCCTCATACCTCTTCCCAGGCCTTGCTCTCTTGTCTTTATTTTGAATCTCACCCTTCCAAGAGCTACTTCCTCCCCACCTATAAATACACCCACATCTTCTCCTACCCTAAAAAAGGCTTCAAAAGACCCAGCTCCCTTTTCAAATTCTCATCCACACATAGCTTTGCTCCCCCACTTTCCAGTCACTCCTCCACTCATGCAGTCTGCCATCTATCACTGTCACTCAAACACCTTCCATCAAGATCAGCAATGATCGAATAGCCAATTTCACCGACCTCTTAGTAGATTCTAGGATGACTTTTCTTGGTGTAAGAGTAATACGCATTCATTATTAATCATGAACATTTTGGAAAATACAGAAAAAAAAATAGTAAAAAAGAAAGTCATTGAGAGGAGCTCCACTCCCATGGGGCATCTATGAGAGAACTGGAGTTCTTGGAATGAAAAACTAAAAAAGGAGAATAGAAATTGAAAACAGTTCAGAGGACACAAAATGTTGACACTGTAATCTCAACTATTGATAATCTTTGAGGAATAGTTCCGGATAATCAAGCATTCTGAATACCTAATACTCATCCCTGTAACCACCAAGATATTTGCCTCTTATCATATAAAGCTAAAAATCTATTTAAAAGATAACATACTCTCCTGTCTTCTGTGACAGAGGATACCAATCACAATTTAACCTTTTATTGATGGCTTAAGGTTATGACACAGTGTAGCAGAAACAATAATAGAACTGTATTTGTTACCTCTCCAGTATGGGCCAGGCCTGAGCTAGGTATTTTACATAGGTAACCTGAATATCATCACATGTCATTTCTGTAGCTCATCTGCATTTTGTAAATGAACAAACTGAGGCTCACAGAAGTTAAGTTATTTACAGACTGCAGCCCATCTTCTGCGCAGCAAGGCTTAGATTTGAAGCTAAAACGTTATGTTCTTTCTGCTGCACCAAGCTGCCTGCCCAGGGTGAGGAGCACTGGGTTCAATTCTGTGTCTTCCTGGAGACCTTGGAAAAGCTACACATCTGCCCTGGTACTAAATTACAAAGCCTCAAGTAGGTTTCTACTGCAGAATGCACATACCAAAGAAGCCGTTTCTTATCATTTGGGCTTCAGTGTAGTCTTTGTATTTGCGTGCTAGGACACCTTAACAAAGTATCACAGACTGTGTGGCTTAAACAACAGAAATTTACTTTCTTAGAGCTCTGGAGGCTGGAAGTCCCAAGACCAAGGTGTTGGCATATTTGGTTTCTTCTGAGGCCTCTGTCCTCGGCTTGCATGCGGCCGCCTTCTCACTGTGTCCTCACATAGCCTGTTCTCTATGGACACACATTCCTGGTGTCTTTCTATGTGTCCAAATTTCTTCTTACAAATAGGACACAAGTTAAATTGGATTAGGGCACTCTAATGGCCTTGTTTTAACTTAATCATCTCTTTAAAGGGCCAATCTCCAAATACAGTCATACTCTGAGGTACTGTGTGGGGTGAGGAAAGTATGATGTGGGATGTACACAAATCAGGCCATTACAGTCTATGCAAAAAAAATGGAAGAGTTGAGATCCAAAGTGTGGCTTTTAGTTATCAAAAGCTAATGTCCCAAAAGACTCAGGACATAAAATCATGTCATACTATTATTCTTATGTCATATTGTTAAATTATGAATCCCATATTTTATAATTGGGTTAGATTTCTTTAAATTCCCACTGAGACTTAAAACACTATGATTGATTATAGTACTAGGTACAAGAACAAATGAGAAATTTAAATCATTATATTTACACTAATGTCCTTTGACAGCATTAATTTTTAAAATGTTTTTACTTGATTTTTGTTGTACTTCTGACTCCCTCACTGCTATCATGCTATCAGGAGCTTTTCTTACTCTTTGCAATATACAACCAGATCCTTCTGTCATTTTCCAACCCCATCGTAGCCCAGAAACTTGATAACCGAGGTGCCCACATATGTAAATCAATAGGCTTTGTTTGAAGGTTTAAGGGGCTTATCCATGAGTCAACTCTGTTGCACAGCTTCCATGAAACCTCTTTTAGTGACTTGGAGACTTTGCTTGCCACCTTCTACCCCCAGCTGCATTTGAATTGTTTAGGGTGACCCAGCTGACTCAAGTTTCAGGTACACAAGATGTCATCTTGTAGAACTTTGGCAAGGGAAAATCTGTTACCTCTCCATAGAGGAAAACTTTGACATTGGCAAGCAAAACTCTAGGACATATTTAAATCCCCAGATTCATGAGCACCACATTGTTATACAGAGTGGGATAATATAACCCAACATGTTCTCCCCCTGAACACTACTGTCTCCTACAATTCATTGTATCCCTTGACCAGTCTCCATTTGACCTAGACCTAAGTCATCATTACCTCAGAATAGGTTTGTTGCAACAAAATATGGGTATCAAAGAAGTCAGCCCTTTGATTTTGGGTTCTAAAATAGACTTTGCAAGAGAAAAGCATTTTGAAATCCCAAAACTTGACTTTTAGATATCAAAAGCTAATTCCCCAAAAGACTCATGGCATAAAGTTATACCATACATCAGTAAATTATGAATCCCATGTTTCTAAAGGGGCAATATAGAAAGTCTCTCTGGTTAGTTATAGTCATTAATATTTTGAAAGTAAACAATAAAATATGCTATTTCTGTGCAGATATTCTAATAAACATAAAAAACTAAGTTTTGGCCAGGTGCAATGGCTCACACCTGTAATCTCAGCACTTTGGGAGGCCAAGGGAAGCTGATCACTTGAGGCCAGGAGTTGGAGACCAGCCTGGCCAACATGGCAAAACCACGTCTCTGCTAAAAATACAAGCATTAGCCCCGTGTGGTGGCACAGCCTATAGTCTCAGCTACTCAGGAGGCTGAGGAGAAGAGTCGCTTGAACCTGGGAGGTGAAGATGCAGTGAGCCGAGATCTCGCCACTGTACTCCAGAAAGGGCAACAGAGCGAGGCTGTCAAAAAACAAACAAACAAACAAGTTTTAAATGAAACTATACCAGAAACAATAACTGAGAAGAATCTCCAGGGGGTCTACAATCCAGTCCCCCCTTCTGGGGCTGCATGAGAAGGGAGAGAAAGTCACATTGATGACTTGCAGAAGGCCCTGTAACTTTCCCCCCATAAACTCAGGCCTGGGAAGAAGGTGGACAGAAGAACTCTCAGAATCATGTTTGGGAAATCTGAGCCCAGGAAGAGGTAAGACTCCACCCCTGTGGACACCGGAATGATCTGGGTATGGGCAGAGAGGCCAGAGGCTGCCTCTGAAAGTCCCTGTGTATCCAGACAGCAGGTCAGGAGCCAGGGAGCAGGTGGGCCAGAAGAAGCTGCACAGTGAGGATGAGGAGGACTAGAGAGTGAAGGGGACATCTTTGTAGATGCAGGCGTGCACGCATGATGATGCCCATCCTCCCCACATTCTCCCAGGGGAAAAGAAGGAAAACACTGAACTCAGGGAGCAAACCCAGATTCTGCTACCAGGGAGAAGGGAGGCTGCAGATGGGACTTAAGTTTAGTCCTAGAAAAGGAAAAAAGGTTATTTTTTTTTCTGCACATCTGAGTGTATGGACTGAGGAATCTGTGTTCCTACTATACAGAATATTTATTCCTTTAAAGGCTATAAAGTCCAGTTGAGAGTGATTCTTTCAGTGAACACCTATACTCTATGGCACACACGCGCCATTGAGATGTAGACACTGGCAGTCTTTGAGACACACTCTCAGCTAAGCTACTCAGCCACAGCTTATGCACGTTGAGTCCCACACGTGCCTCAGCACACCCATTACCACAGGCCGGCCAGGGGTCTAATCAGAGCCTACTTGTTCATAAGGACCAGAACCACTCAAGCTGTTGTCAGCAAATTTTTTAAAAAAGAATTTATTGGAAGGATATCAGGGTATCTCATGGAACTTGCAGGCAGAAAGAAGAACTAGGCCTCACACCAGCACCAGGCCTCTGAAGACAGAACCAGGAACTCAAGAATCAAGTCTCCACTCGCCTTTTCCCAAGACCCTCAGGCTCTCCCCCTGCTTATTTCTGCCCCTCTGCTCTGTGTCTCTCTGAAATCCAGTTTCCTCTTCTGTGTGTGCCTGGCCCCTGCCACTCAATACTAACATGTGGTTTCTTGGCTCAAAGCTCAGGAGAGATGGTTATAGGCTCTGGAGTACATTTCTAATTCAAGGATTTTTTTAAGAAAATCTTTTTAAAGGGACACTTCATTTTCCATTAAAAGCTGTTTACAACTTTTAACATTTAAAACCAAAGAAAAATGGAAAGAATAGTACAATGAACACTTGTGTAATCTTTAGTTAGATTTATCAATTGTTAGCCCTCTATGATGTCTACTTTCTCTCTCTCTCTCTCTCTCTCTCTCTCACTTTCTCTGTATAATATATACAGACAGATATATTTTTCCCCTGAACCATTTGAAAATAAATTGCAGAATCATGAGATGTTATTGTCAAATTCTTCTTCCGGTATCTCCTAAAAATAAGAACAATCCAGGAGAGAAAATTGGATTGACTCAATCATCACCTTAGCTCTCCCTCAGTTGGGTGTCCAGGCCTGGTCCAATCAGCTGTGGTGCAGGGGTTATAAGGAACAATCCCACCTCTGGGTTCACCTCTCTGAGTGGGGTCAGTTCTCAGAGAAGGACATGGCTGGGTAGATATTCAAAATGATTCCACTGCATCCTGATTACTTATTATCTCTTTTAGATTAAAGTTTCAGATAAAATATGCTGTCATGAATCCCTGAGGTTGTCTATAAATAGCTGAAACTGCAAAATCTAAATCCACAAATGCCGAACGTCTACAACATTTTCAAACAGCCGAAATCTATTCCTGATAAATGACTATACAACTTTCTGCTGCTGATCACTTCCAGTAATGAAACTGTGATCTTGGAAAGTTTAGGAATAAAATAATCATAGAGAAGATTCTCAGTACCTATGAATAAGTAAAATAGTTAAATAGCTAATAGTAATTGAGCATTTACTCCAGGCTAGGCACTGCACTAAGTATTTTACATACATTATTCCATTCTATCCTTACAAAAACTATGTGCAATATTATTCTTGACATTTTATAGAAGTAACTAAGGAGCAAAGAGCTTAAGCAACCAACCAACTAGTAAGTGGCAGGTCTCTAATACTCCTTAAGCTATATTATTAACCACCACCCTGTATCCAAAAGCATAACCATGCCCTGAGTGCTTAAGGGAGCTATGCATCTTCCCCTGCCCCTCTAGAGAAAGAAACTTTCTTTTTTAGTAACAAAGAATGAACATGGCTCCAATGTTATAACCGGATAGCCTGGAACAACCCTTATCACTTTTACTGCAGGAAGCTCCCTAGGGAACAATCAACACAGAATGAGTATTCCTGTGCCAGTTAGCACTGTCTCTGAACAATCCCCAAATACTCCAAGTTCAACTAAAAGGCCACATGCCAGATAAAGAAGGGTTACCCTTTCCTGAAGAAGGTGATGGTGCTGGAATGAAACCATCCTTTCTAATTACATTCCTGCCTCAGCCAACATGTCAGCGGGAGTTTCCATAAGTGCTTGGTCAGAAGGCAGGGAGCGTGCTCCCACACACCAACAGTACGCTGTGAGGTCCTCTCACCACAATATCCTGGGCTAAGCAGTGTCCATCAAATGCACTTTTACTTACCCTCATCCTCACAGGGTCATAAAATGTTGACTGTTAAGATGCATTTAATCCACAAATTGATAAATACACCATACTCCTGCCTCAGCACCTAAGTTAGAGGTCAGGGTTGAATGTTGGCACTTTACGAGCCCATCAGGATGCGTTAGCCCAGTTTAAGTTCAGTTTGGGGTTTGGGGGCTCAGGTCTTCAGAGGATATTCTCAACTTTATAGCCTCTGCTGGCAGCCTCATCAAGAGGTTGCATGTGACAAGGATAGCAGAGCTACATGGCGGGAAGGGAACATCACTCACTTTCCTGACCTACACCTCATAGAAGAGGAAGCAGTCCGAACATATTCAGCTTTTATCAATAACTCCTTATGATTCAACAACAAAGATAATTTTTAAAGCTTTTTTTAAGCCTGCTTATGTTTTCTACTTTTGAGAGTGGTCCAAAACTTCCTTTTTGCAGTGTAAGATACCACTTCCTGTAACTGACCTAAACTACACTCTCACATTTCCTTGGATGCCCTCTAGTATAACTATTCTCAGTTTAGTCGTGGCATCCTTTTGAAAAGGGAATATTTACCTCTATGTTACTAGGCTCTTTCAGGCTGCTTGGAAAAGACACACCGATATTAAGGAAGAAAATGTGTTCAGTGCAAGGACACATGAGGATGTGAGCCACTTGAATCTGCATAAGAATCACTTGAACCCAGGAGGCGGAGGTTGCAGTGAGCCAAGATCACAGGGAGGCGATCACCTCTGTCCTAAACATAGACTTCCAAGACTGGGGAGCACAACACATTTCACAGAGACCTAGAACAATAGCTTCACATTGTCCTCACTCAGTCTGAGTTCTAGTCACCCACTTTCATTTTCTCCATCTGGTATTTATTGTTTCAAAGACAGTGGACTGAATCAGCTTGCCACCATCACACTATGGAGCGCCCCTTATTGGTCAGTCTCTGTGACTCTTGGTCTCAATCATGTCCAACTTATATGTATTAGATTTTGACTCAAGGGAAAAATCCCTGTTCCATCATTTATAGCCAGGATAGCAAGATAAGCACATAGTATATGAGGACCATTCAGAAGAGAGCTGGGGGCATGAGAGAAATTTCAGCCTGCATAGCCTGTCTTTTAATTTATATTTAGTAAGTTCTGTTTTATAACTTCAGCGTTGCCTTAAATGCAGGAAATGCAATGGCCGCTGGTAAATTGCAGAGATTAAAGAATTGAAAAGTTTCACTGTCATCATGTGCAGAAAACAGTTAACATGGCAGGGCTGAGACTACTGGGCTTAGAAAGTGCTGATTGCAAGGCTTGTCCACGGCTGGCATCAGAAAACTTGGATTTAAGGAGAGTCCCCACCACTCTCAGAACTGCTTGTGTGAACAGTATGGTTTATGCTGAACAGTTGCTTTCCTTCAAGGAGTCTGAAATTCTGGCACATGATAAAAAGAAGCTGCCTACGTGACCAGCCTCACAAAAAGCTTTGGGCACTGACTCGCTTATGAGCTTCCCTGGAGGACAACACTTGACGCGTGGTGTCCCAATTTGTTGCTGGAGAAATTCAGTGCATCTTGTGCGACTTCACTGGGAGAGGACTCTTGGAAGTACGCGCCTGATATCCGCTGGTCTTTGCCCTACATGCCTTTTCCCCTTGCTGATTTTACTTGCTATCTTTTCACTACAATAAATCATAGCCATGAGCACAACTATATGCTGAGTCCTGTGAGTCTCCCTAGTGAACCGTTAAACCTGGGAGTGGTCTGGGGGACCCCAACACACAGCCAATCAGATCCACAGATTTTCATTTGTATTAGGGTAGCCTATCTCCTCACATTTAAAAAAGGAACTACAAGTCTCTTCCCTGCAGAGACATTACATTACTCCTCTCTGCCTTCAATTACAGCTATACATTCATTACCACTATTTAAGTCGGGAACTTGAAAGAGTCAGCTTTCTTTGGAAGTAGCCATAAGAGACTAAAACTTTAATGAGGGCAAAGAGAAGACATCAAGGGGCACAGCCAGCTGGAGGAGGCTGCCATCTGATAGGCTCACTCTGAGTGGTTATTCAGCCGGTTAGTGGCAGCACTGCTATTTACCATAAAAAGCTGGTTAAAATGAGCATTTTCTGTCACACTCACACATTCTTAATGAGCCAGATTCTTCCACGGCATGACCTTTTTGTGCAGGTCAGCTCCTTTGAACAGCTGCATTTATCCTCTTCCATTTTTAGGTTTTGCTGGCACATTAAAAATAATACCTAAGGGTCTGAAAGAAGCCCTGTCGTTGCTCAAAATTGCCTGACTTACTCCTGGGGAGTAGCCCAGACCCTGAGAGAATCTCAGTCCATGAGGTTTTATGATAAATGTCAGTGATTATGCTGATAATAGAATGGTCCACCAAAACTAGTCAAGGGAAGGCATTTTCTTTTCGGGGGGAGGAGGAAGCATGAACTGCTTCCTGTAAAGCCTACAGCTAGTGCTTTAGCATCCTGCTTCTTCTCCCAAGGGTGGGAGTGGGAGAGAAGAAAGAAAGAAGGTATAGGAAGGAAACGGACTACAAGGAGGGAAAGAGAAGGAAAAGAAATGGTCAGAGAATGAGGCAAAAACTCGCTTCAGCTTTGAGCCTCTGGCCGTGAAAAATTCCCATCCCCAGGGGTCCTCTGAAAAGTGCTCAACCCCACCCATAACCTAATGCCACCGGGTATACTTCATGCTGCCCCTGAGGCCATCCCCTCATCCGGCCCACCAGGCTTACTCTAACTGTAGCTTACAGTGGGGTGGGCCCATCATTTTGATCAAACAAGCAGCCTTTCTAGTCTCCTCATAAATTCTAAAGGCAGTTGTTTAGCCCTGTCTGGAATATCCAATGCCCTGTGCTCAGGAACAAGTCTGTGGTTCTTCTGTCCACAATCCTACATGTCTTCATGATGTCCCAAGCCGGGAAAGAGCCAAGAACCTGGACAGTGGTTGTTTTAGTCTGCCCAGGGTCCCTTCTTTGGAGAAACCTCTTCCTCCGTGCCATGTGGTTTGTGAAGCTATCAGTAAGAGTGTGCAGCCTGCTATAGGGATGGTATCATGACCCAAACGCAGCCAACCACAGGAATGCCCCCTTGACAGTGTGCTTTGTCCAAGGGGTGGGCACATGACACAAGCAGGGCCAACCAGAACCCTCCCCTGAGTTGGATCTATGGACCAGGAGAACAGACTCTTCTGGCTAGGCTGCCAAGGCTGAAAGGATGGCATTTTAGGGCTTGCACCAGCTATCTTCTCAGCCACATGGAAAAACTAAAACAGCTGAATAAGCTGAGAGTCTGGGTGTGTGTGTGTGTGTGTGTGTGTGTGTGTGTGTGTGTGTGTGTGAAAGAGACAGAGAGAGAGAGAAACTTACATCATTGAGTTCTGCATTAGTTTGTTAGTGCTACCACAACTCTGGTAATTTAAACAACAGAAATTTATTTTCTCACAGCTCTGGAGGCCAGAAGCCTGAAATCAAGGATCAGCAGGGCAGCACTCCCTCAGTAGAGTCTGGGGAGAATCTGTTCCTGAATCTTCCAGCTTCTAGTGGCTGCCAGCAGTTCCTGGCATCCCTTAGCTTGTGGCCACATCACTCCATCCTCACATCACCTTCTTTTCTGTGTATCTTTTCTCTCCTGTCTGTGTCTAATCTTGCTCTGCCTCTCTTTTATAAGAATGCATATCATTGCATTTACAGCCCACCCAGATAATCCAGAATAAATCCCTCCTCACAAGATCCTTAAGTTAATCACATATTTGCCATATAAGATAATATTTGCTCTTTTGCCACATTAGATAACACTTACAAGTTCCAGGAAGTGACTCTATTTTGGTAGGGGTATGCTTTTTAGTCTATCACAAGTCCCATTTGAGTCCCCAAGACCTTAGATTCTGCAGTTCTTCCTTCAGCCCCATGAGCCACCTCAGTAGACTCCTCATCAGCCAGTAAGTTCCTTCCTGGCCCAGGCTAGCATGAATTGGTTCAGTCACTTGTTTTAAGGGTGTCTTAAATAACACACATCCCCATGTCTGCAGCAGGCTGGGCAGTGGAGGAAGTAGCAAGGTGCAGTAGACAGAACATTTGCTCTTTCATGAGTGTTTGGGAAAATCACTTCCCTTTCCCAGCTCTGCTGTTTCATAATCTTTGCAAATATTAAGCTTAAAGGACTATTGCATTTGTTTATGCTATCTTATTGTTTTAAACACCCTGTAATTATATTTACGACTTGATGATCATTTAAGGTTTTTTTCAAATGTGATTTAAAAGACCCAACCTAAGAGGCTTGAGCAAAAAGAAGCAGGTAACAAACCTAAAAGTCTAGAGCTATATCAGGTACAGCTTGATTTGAGGCCCTGATGATGTCACTGGACTCCATCTCCTGGTGCTGCCTCTTCAGGATTGGCAGTATCTCAGGCCCAGGTGGTGGCCCCCTGCAGCTTCAGAGTCACACTATCCAGTACCCAGGCCAGCAGAAAAGAGAGTCAGCCTCCCTAATGAGTAAACAAGTCTTGGAATTGGATTTCATTCACTCTACTGGTCTGACTTCTGTTGAATTCCTATTCAAAGTAATCACTATGGTCAAGAGGATGAAATGTAGTGATTGGCTTATCCTAGGCCATTTGCATGGTTGAAAAGTGGAAGAAGAATGATACTCTAGAGGGAAGGTGGATGCTGTTACCTGAAGTGTGGGGAAAGCATGCTGGGTGTGAAAGGAATCAGTGTGTACTGAATATTATGACATTAAAATTTTTATAAAATCCATTTATTCTTTGGGAGGCTGAGGCGGATGGATCACAAGGTCAGGAGATCGAGACCATCCTGGCTAACATGGTGAAACCCTGTCTCTACTAAAAATACAAAAAAATTAGCCAGGCATGGTGGCAGGCACCTGTAGTCCCAGTTACTTGGTAGGCTGAGGCAGGAGAATGGCATGAACCCAGGAGGCGGAGCTTGCAGTGAGCCGAGATGGCACCACTGCACTCTAGCCTGGGTGACAGAGCAAGACTCCGTCTCAAAAAGAAAAAAAAAATCCATTTATTTATCCAAATGAATAGGTCTGCCAAGCTTATAATGAATAGATGGATTATCATAAATCATACTTTTATAAATATAATACAAAAACGTATACTACCAACTTGCAGAATTTTCCAAATTAATTTGAAGGAGATCATGTGAGTTTAGTACCTTTAGACAGGGCAAAATAGGCATACATTCAAATTATGCATTACTTTGGATATGTCAATAAACACAAATATTTAATAAGTACTTTATTTCCCCAAGTTGCTGATGAAACCATCTTGTCACAGATGCTCTCAATGATTACACAAATGTCACCCTGAACATGATTAATTAACCATAATAAACACTGTACTCAACTCTTGAAGTGTTCTTTTGGCCTCAGTGTGAGATTCGATTTTCTGTAGCCATAGTTTGCAAACTTTGCAGTTACATACTACCACCAATAACAGTGAGGCTAATATATACATTATAAAACATGTAAAATATGAAATGAGTTAAAGATAAAATAATCAACATGCTTTTTTTTTTTTTTTTTTTTGAGATGGAGTCTCTGTTGCCCCTGCTGGAGTGCAGTGGCATGATCTCAGCTCACTGCAACCTCTGCCCCTTGCCTCGTGCCTCAGCCTCCCAAGTAGCTGGAATTACAGGGGCACACCACCACACCCAGCTAATTTTCTGTATTTGTAGTAGAGGTGAGGTTTCACCATGTTGGCCAGGCTAGTCTCGAACTCCTGGCCTCAAGTGATCCACCTGCCTCAGCTCTGAAAGTGCTGGGATTACAAGCGTGAGCCACCGCACCCGACCTAAAATAATCAACATTCTTTATTTTACTTATCAATGGTGAAAACACCTTTATGATCTCATTGAAAAAAAATAGTAGTACATTTAGTGATGGTGTTGTCATTACTTCATTTAGAATATATTTGCTAGACTGGGCATGGTGGCTCACATCTGTAATCCCAGCACTTTGGGAGGCCAAGGCAGGCAGATTGCTTGAGCCCAGTAGTTTGAGACCAGCCTGAGCAACATGGGGACACCCTGTCACTACAAAAAATACACAAAATTAGCCAGCATGGTGGCATGCACTTGTAGTTCCAGCTACCCAGGAGGCTGAGGCAGGAACATTGCTTGAGCCTAGGATGTCGAGGTTGCAGTGAGCCATGATGACACCATTACACTCCATCCTGGGTAACAGAGTGAGACCCTGTCTCAATAAAGAAAAGAAAAAGAAAATATTTGCTTAACATTTTGTGACAGAGAGCTGAAGGTCCAATTCTAAGCCCAGTTTATTTTGATATTTGGTATTATAGCTGTCAGAGCTGAAAAAGCTAACTCAGTGTTATGAGCTGAACTGAGTTCCTTCTAAATTCATGCTGAAGCCCGAACCCCCAATGTGACTGTTCGGAGATATGGCCTTTAAAGAAGTAATTAAGGTTAAATAAGGTCATAAAGGTAGAGTGCACATTAGATAGGACTCATGTCTTTGCAAGCAGAGGGAGAGACACCAGGTAAGAGCCATATGAGGACACAGGGAGGAGGCAGTCATCTGCCTGCCAAGGAGAGAGATCTCAAAAGAAATCAATGCTGCCGGCACCTTGGTCTTGTTATTCTGGCCTCCAGAACTGTGAGAAAATAAGTTCCTGTTGTTTAAGCCACCCAGTCTGTGATATACTTTTATGGCAGCCCTGGAAGATGAAAGCACCCACAAATATGGCTGTATTGGCCTGACTTTGGTCAAATTCCTACTCTTAAAGTAATCACTATGGTCAAGGGGTTGAAATGTGGTGACTGACTTATCCTAGGCCATTTGCATGTTTGAGGAGTGGAAGAAGAATGGTACTGTAGAGCGAAGGTGGGTATTGTTACCTGAAGCATGGCGAAAGCAAGCTGGATGCGAAAGGAATCAATGTGTACTGAATATCGTGACATTAAGACACTCTACAGATCTGGATGGAAGATGTGTACCATTGGCTCACCCACCAAATTACTCATTTTCCAGTCCTATAAACCATTCATGCGAAGGTTTTTTTGTTGAAATTTGGCTCATAAATTCCCATCTGCTCTGGAAATCAAAATTAATTGAAAGGTTTTTTGTTTGTTTGGCTGGTTGGTTAGTTTTTGTTTGTTTGTCTGTTTTGAGGCAGGGTCTCTCTCTGTCACGGAGGTTGGAGTAAAGTGGTGCAATCATGGGTCACTGCAGCCTCCACCTCCCAGGATCAAGTGATCTTCCCACCTTGGCCCCCTACTCCCCCCGTAACTGGGAATACAGGGGTATGCCACAACACCCAGCTGATTTTTATATTTTTTATAGAGACGGGGTTTTGCCACATTTGCCCAGGCTAGTCTCGAACCCCTGGGCTCAAGTGATCATCCCACCTCAGCCTCCAAAAGTGCTGGGATTACAGGTGTGAGCCACCATGCTGGTCCCAAGTTATTATATTTTTATATTTTCAACAAATGAGTAAATAAGCCACTGGAATTCTGTCTGAAGATTTTTAAACAGGTTAGAAAATTTTGTGTAAGTTTTTAAAATGTGCATACACGAGAGTTTTTATGGTGCCACACTTTTATTGTTTTGGATAACAAAATAGCCTAATGATAAGACATTTCCAAATATCTCATTTCAAAATATTTTCTCCACTGCATAGTTTATTTTTGTCTTTTGCTTTATTTATTGTAGAGTTAACCATACGCCACAGCACAGTTTTATCATCAGTACCTGTAAGAGCTCTCTAGTGAATTATTTCCGTAGTAATACATCTTATTTATATGCTTACTGTGTACCAGACACTATTCTAAGTACTTTACATATTGATACATTTAATCTACACAATAGCTCTATGAAATCAGTACAATTATCACGATTTTACAGATGAGGCAACTGAGATGCAAGGGGTTAAGTAACTTGCCCAAGGTTACATAATAAGTAGTAAAGCTAAGATTTACTACCAAGGCAATTTTGTACCAAGGCAGTCTGTCTCATAAACCCATGCTTTTAATTGCTACAGTACACCACAAAGATTGCACTAGTCACATGCTAACACTGATATTGTCCAACTGTCTGATTTTTGCCACTGTGATGAGTGTAAAGTGACATTTATAATTTACTGTATAACTTTGGACAAACTACTTAAACTCTGTGTGTGTTTCTTCATCTGTATATTGGAGATAATAAAATAATACTGATTTCAAATGGTTGTTGTGCAATTTAAATAATAGTAGTGATGTTGAGTATCTTTTCTATATTTATTGTCCATTTGGGGTTCCCCTTTTGGGAATTGCCTATTCATACCTATTGCCCTTTTTTATTGGGTTTTCTTTTTCTGATTGATTTGCAGGGTGTGTGTATGTGTGTGTGTTATGAGTTACATGTCAGTTTTAGACATTTATATCTCCTTCTATCATTTTGTCTATGGTGCCCTCAGTTGAACAGGAATCTTTCATTTCATTTTGATATACTCAAATCCATTAATTGTGTTCCAAATGTAGAGAGGATAAAGATATGAAAAACATTGTTTTTGCTCTAAGCAACTTAAAACTAGCTGGAGAATCAAGAATAACTATGAGAACAAGTGTTAAACATTGTATAGCAGTCTGCAATATAATGCCCCAAGTTGTAAGGCTGTGTAGCCAACAGTATAAACTTGGGAAAGTATCTAAATCTTCCTGAGCTTCAGTTTTATTTGGAAAACGGAAGCAATAAAAAAGACCTTTCCATTTACTGTATTTTTTAAATTTTTATTTTTTATTGTTATTATTTTTTTGAGATGGAGTCTCTCTCTATTGCCCAGGCAGGAGTGCAGTGGCACAATCTCGGCTCACTGCAACTTCTGCCTCCCGGGTTCAAGCAATTCTGGTGCCTCAGCCTCCCAAGTAGCTGGCACCACAGGTGCCCACCACCATACCCATCTAATTTTTGTATTTTTAGTGGAGACGGGGTTTAATCATGTTGGCTAAGCTGGTCTCGAACTCCCGGCCTCAAGTGATCCGCCTGCCTTGGCCTCCCAAAGTGCTGGGATTACAAGGCATGGGCCACCGTGCCCAGCCTCCTTTCTATCTATTGTGAAAATTAAATAAAATAAGAGATGTTGAATGGCTTTCATAGTACCTGGTGTATAGTACCAACTACAATTTAGATGCAAAGCCGATCATGAAATAATAATGGCTATCACATACAGAGGTCTACTACCTGCCAGGCACTTTTTATATGCATCTGCTTAAATTTCACAACTCCCTGCAAGGCATTATCACTGCCATTTGTCAGAGGCAGAAACCTAGGTTCAGAGGGCTTATTATTTGATGCAAGTCAGGCCATGCAGCTAGTAAATGGCAGTGATAGGATGGAAAGCCAGATTGGTTTGACCTCAAACCTCCTGTGCCTTCTACCATGCCAAGCTGTTGTCAGAAAAGATATGAAGGAAGCAAACTTGACGTGGTTCCTGAAAACAAAACAAACAAACAAACCCAAGCATTTTAGTAGATAAGAGGAAGGGAGGAAAGATGATACCAGATTCTGAGAGGGTGCAGTGGATCTGCAAGGGATGCAATGTATTGTGCGTTATTCGAGGGCAGAACTTTATCCACAATAGTTCCCTTCAATCCTTGCACAGTGACCAAGACAGAGTATCTGGTGCGGAACATCTATTCCCTAATCTTATTACCATAACAAGGGAGCAGGAGTAAGTTGTCTGACTGGAGAGTTTGAAAGAACTGGGGATGTGTCACTCTACCCCCTCAAGTTTGGGGAGCAGGCATGTCCCAGGAGGCACATATTTTCTGCTTTTCCATGCAGTTTAGTTTTTACACAGGCAGGTTTTCCAGCTCTGCTTGTGACTGAGTGGACATGTTCAATTCTGGGCCCGCTGTCCCTGCAGATCTAAAGCCATGGCTGCCATTCCAGCCTTTAGCAGAGACAAAGCTGACATTTTGCTCTCCATAAGTCTGACTCCTGTTGCTATCTCAGTGGATTCTGAACTTACATGGGGACCATGGGTATTATCTTGAAGCCCCCTAAAGCCACAACAGTGGGCACTCAACAAACCTTGGCAGCAGAGTGAGTATGACAAGTTCAGAGGACAACGAGGAGATGGGCCTGCTTTGAGCGGAGGAAGTATGCTGATGTAGTTGAAGAGAAGTTAGATGGACAGGGTGGGCCCAGTAATGCAGGGCTTATAAGAAAGGCAGAGTTTGGATTTGATGTGGGTAGAAGAACGCTGAAGTTTCTGAGTAGAGGAAGAACATGAACACGAGGAAGACAATGTTTAAAATAAGGGAAAGAATATGACAATGGATTGCAGTGGAGACTACAGGGGAGAGCCTGGAGTCAGAGGACAACGAAAGGAGGTTTCCAGAATTTCTGAGTGAGGGAGGATGAAGGTCTGGCCTAGGAAAGTGGACATGTGAACGGAGGCGAGGGGATGCATATGAGATCTCAGCGGCTAAACTGCCAGGCTATGGGTACAAGCCGGCTCTGAGAAAAGGAGATAGGTTTGAAGGCAACCACCCTGAAAGAGGTAGATAAGCAGGCCCTGAAGCTGGGGGAAGTGAGGCTTAGTCTTGGGCATGTGAAATCTGAGTTGCTAAGTGGATCTGCTCTCCTTACTAGTTATGGCAGGAAAGGCGCCTTAATTAGGAGCATTTTAGGGAGTTAACCCTGTCAAAGAGGTAGCACACTTTCGAAGGCCAAGGGCTGGGAAGAAGGTGGTGAAGATGGCAATCCTGAACACAGAGGCTACTTGGGATGACAGGGATGGGAGGAGGGACACAGGTGATGAGTGAGTGGGCGGAAGAGAGGAGGGGGACACCGCTCCCCGGCCCGAGGGAAGGAGGGGATGAGGCTGCCGGCAAACGCTGGACTCAGGATCTTCCCAGCAGAGCAGGGCGGCCGCCACCTCACCCGGGACAATGCACTGTAGAACCCACAGCAGCCTTCCCCACGCCGGCCGGTCTTCCCGGCCCTGCGCCCACTTCCCGGTGCCCCGCTGCCCTGCTGCCGTGACCCCGGGATGCGGGGTCTCCTCTGCCTCCCTGGGCCTCCCCCTTCAGCCATGGGGGGCGGCTCCGCTTCCTAGGCCGCGGGACGTCTTTTCCTCCAGGTTCCAGTCCCGGACCTTCCCGGGCCCCCCACGGCACCGCCCACCTGGCCACCGCCGCAGCCCGCCCGGGCCGCCGCCAGCCAGCAGCCCCTCCCGGGGTGGGGTTTCCCTTCCCCCTACCCCTTTGTGGCAGGGACCCACGGGACACCCCCTCTGCCTCCGCTCCACGTCCAGGGGGCCGAAGGGGCGCCGGACGAGGGACCGTGCGGAGAGAGGGGTTCGGCGGCGCCAGGACTCCCGCGGGCTCCCCGGAGCAGGGGTCGGAAGGAGGGGGAGCGGGAGCCGCGGGGGCCGCTGCAGCAGAAGGGGGAGGAGAATGGGGAGGAGCTGGGGGGGCAGGCAGGCGGGGAAGGAGAGGTCTTAAGGGGCGGCGAGGGGAGGTCGCATTTCCTCCGAGGCTGGCGATCGGCGGAGCTCCCACCTCCGCTTACAGCTCGCTGCCGCCGTCCTGCCCCGCGCCCCCAGGAGACCTGGACCAGACCACGGTGAGCGCAGGGCGCACGGCGCGGAGGCCGGACTCTTCGGGCGGCCGGGGGTGCTTGGGCGGCCGGAGCGAGCCTGCGGGACCCGAGCAAGTTTCCCAGGTCAGCGCGGGGCCCGGCGCCTTCAGACTCGCTCTCTTCTCTCTTCCGCAGATGTGGAAACGCTGGCTCGCGCTCGCGCTCGCGCTGGTGGCGGTCGCCTGGGTCCGCGCCGAGGTAGGCGAGGGGCCGAGGAGTCCGAACTCGGTCCCCGGGGCCTCTTGGGTCTGCGCGCTGGGCGGGTGGGCGCGCGTCCTGGGGATGCTCTCCCGGGGTGGCGCTGGGAGTTTCGGTCCTTGGGGTGTGCTGGGGTGGAGCTGGGGCAGTAATGCTGCTTACGAAACTTAAATCTTTAAAGCAGGAAAAGTAGTTCGGGCCGTAAGCGGGAGCCCCGCCGCGGCTAACATGGAGGGAGAGCGGGGAGGAGGAGAGGGGACGGGCTGGGCCGACGGGGACGAGGCGGCGACTGGAGCAGCAGCGAGTTCAAAAAGGCGCCTCAGTTCCGTCCTTCACTTCAGAGGAGACTGAGAGTAGTTGGGGACTTTTCCCTCCCAAGTCTGTCTCCTGGGGGCGGGGGCAGAGGAATCGGGATTCTTCTTTTGGGGCAAAATTAATTTTCCTTTCTCTCTTTTAAAGTGAGATCATGATTCTCTGAAATGTATTTTCTTCTTTGTGAAGTGTCCTCGGGTTTTGTGTTATCATCTGGGCAATGTAACGGCCTTTTCCCAAGTGTTCCCTGTAACGTTGCGCAAGTGTAAGAGAAGATCCATTGCTCTGCTCTTTGGGGGCTCGAGTTTCCAGTTAAAGCATTTCAGCGCTTGTTTTTTTGTACCAATTTTTTCAACTCTAACGACCTTCCTGAGACACTACAAACAAACCAACAAACTCTTTGCTCAGAAGCCGCTCCATTAACTCAAAGGTTTATGGACAGAAAATAAACAATTCTAAATTCCCCGGGCTCCAGTCTCCAGGAAAGTGAGGTCAGAAACTAAACATTTGATAATTATGGCAGGAAATATGGAAGGAATTAAAAAGCATGAGGGAGAAGAAATGGAATGCACATTACAAAAGAAATAGCTCCCTGGTGGGTGGTTTATGCTCCCTGTTTGAATTTTTTCCTTCATATTACAGTTTAACCACACCCTTAGCATCGCAGCTTGACTCTGCCCAAAAAAGTCATAAATGCATACAAGGTCTTCACAATTTTTAAAAAATACGCATTGTACTGAATTCTCATTTAATTCACTACTACGTTGTTGATTGAGGTGGAAACTCAATCAACTGTTTTTACTGCCAATGAAATAAAAGTAGCTAATATTTATTAAATATCTGCTATGTTGTAATAAAATTCCATTTTAATGACAGATAAATTGAGTCAGCGAAGGTTACCCAATGCTCTCAGCTATTAAATGCTAAGGGTGGGATTTGAACCCAAACAGTCTGGCTCCGGACCCAAGGCTCTTGACCATTAACCCACACCACTTCCAAGCACAATGGTTTAACATTTACCAAGTACATTTTTGTTTACCACACACTGGGCTGTGTACGTTACCTGCAGTTACTTCTTTTAAAGCTCCCAAACCCTGTAATGTAGGTTTTATTATCCCGATTTTACAGAGGAAGAAACAGGTTTAAGGAGATTAGGTAACTTGCCCAGGGTCATACAACTAGTTAGCTCTGAAGCAGGATCTGAACCTACCTCTCTTACCTTTGGAGCCCATCTTGAACTCCAGGTCTGCTTCTTATCCATCTGGTTTTCCAGGGTTTGCATTTGAGAGCGTATCCCCCTTCACTGGCTGATGTAGCCCTGGTTAAGAAACATTTCTCCATCCCCTGCTGTGGCCCTCAAAAGGCAGTTGCAGACCAGTGATGGATGAGGTGAATCCCTGGTTGGTTTTCCAGCAGGCTCAAGAATTGCCAGCCAGTGTGTGAAATCACTCAGTGAACTGGAATGCAAATATGAGGTGTGAGGAGGCTGTTGGTTGACTTACCAGGCTGTGTGGCCCAAGGTCTGGAATCTATTCTAGGCGGCCTGCAAGACACACACCCCTCCCAACCCCCTTCCACACAGGGAAAACTTATCCCTGGTAGGAAGTTCCCCCAGCAGCAATTTCCTGCTGGAGGTAGAAGAGCATCCAGTGCTCTCACATAATTCCCAGGCAAACTACAGGGAAGAAGGCAAAATAGAGAAGTACTGAGATGTGAAAACAGAGTGCGTTGGGGGAGAAAAGAGGCTGTGAACTCACAGTGTATGGAAATGGTTACAATGAAAAGAGTGAGGGGTAGGTATGAGCTAGGTTACATTTCATGGCTCCAGGTTATTAAGGATTATTATCTTTTAATTATTCCAACCTCCTGGTGCCTGGCCAAGTAAGATTTGGCAAGTTTTTAATCCATTTAATAATAATATACCTTTAACAATTGATGAAGAGGTACATTAACCCTCTCCCTATGGGAATTGTAATTTGGATTTTTTAAAAGCCTTTTATCTTGTAGTTAATGGTGCTTGCTGTTTAAATTTCTTCCTTGTTAACTCTAAGGACAGTCTGCAAAAATGGTCACATCATGATATTTACAGTCCTTAGTGACAATCTATTTTAGTAAACTTCAAATCGCTAAAATTGTACAAATATTGTTGAACTTTTTAGAAATGAAATTTAGAAAATAAATTGAGGCTTCTTGGTGCTTTCTGCTTTTCTGCGACCATAAATATTTAATTCAGCATATTTTTAAACAATTTAATCACTTTACAAATCATGTTGATATTTGAAGAAGCCAGAGCCTCTGTAGTAAACCAGAATCAGAGGTGCTCTCCACTTGGGAAAAGGTGATTGTCATCAGTATTAATGCCAGTCTATGTCAATCCCATTTGGTTAGATTCACAAAGCTATTAACAAAAGTCATAAAGGAGCCTGGGCTCAGTGGCTCATGCCTGTAATCCCAGCACTTTGGGAGGCCAAGACGGGAGGACTGCTTGAGCCCAGGAATTTGAGACCAGCCTGGGCAACATCGTGAGACCATATCTCTACAAAAAATAAGAAAATTACCTGGGCATGGTAGCACACACGCCTCTGGTCCCAGCTACTCAGGAGGCTGAAGCAGGAAAATCACTTGAACCCAGGAGGTTGAGGCTGCAGTGAGCCGTGATGGTGCCACTGCACTCCAGCCTGAGCAACAGAGTGAAACCTTGTATTTAAAAAAATAGAAACAAACTCATTAAGCAAAGTGTCATATTGTTTTGAATGTGTTCCATGGTGTCCTACTTCCTTGGCACCTCAGGGTTGCTTTCTGATTGCTTCTTCTCTTTCTTACCTGCTCACTCTCTTACTACTCTGTCTGCAGCATATACCTTCAGCCAGCCTCCCTCCAGATTCTGCCACATCCACCTGAGCACACACACCCATGCACTCTGTAGTCTGCTTGAAAGAAGGTACTGGGTGTAGCATATGTCTCTAGATGTGTGTAGATTAACATGTGAATGGACTAGGCAGAGAGGGCAGCAGCAGAGGGAGTGCCTGCACTAATAATTACACAGATATCCCTTTTCTAGATTCTCTGGGGAGAGGACTGTGTGAGCCTGCTCATCTACTCTTTCCCATCCCCCTCCCATTGGGAATTACTACAGTTCATTGAGAAGTGTTGATGGTGGATGCATAGTATGGAGCCTGGGAAAATGTTAAGAACACAGGCGGTAGTGTGTGTGCCCTTGAAGCTCAGTCAGTGGATATCTGTCACTCTAACATGGCAGGCTGGAGAGAACCCTGTGGCCCAACTGCCTGCTTTAGGAAGACAGCCCTGGCAAGTACCCAAGCATACCCCCACTCTCCCTTGGTGGATGTCTCTGCTGTCACTATGATTCCCAGCATTCCAGGTCTAGAAATTCATTATGATAAGTCACATGTACAGTTAACTGATTTGTAGTTCAGAATCCTCATTCCAGTAAGGGATCCATGCTTGACCCATGAACTTTGAGTGTATTACCTAAGAGAGAACAATAGCAATTCTACAAATAGATGTACTTCACTTAGCTCTAGACATGCAATACTAGAAGATTATGAGGGCTTTGTCCTGAGGCCACGTTTCTTAACCTCACCGTACCCTATTATCGGCATTGTACACTAGGGGTTATATTTGGGAGCTCCTCTATGTTCTTTAGAATTGTTCTGATGGTAGACTCAAGTAAGCCTTGCATCTAACCCATATCTCTGACTGCATCTTCTTGGTGCCACAACTTGTATTATTAACAAAGCTAAAAAGATCTCTAAAATGATCTCTTGCTTGTTTATCCTTTGGCAAATAAGCTACTTGTTGCAGTTCTAAAGACCATTGCTGGAAATTGGGGTGTAAAACATAGCAGGGGCTGTGCAGACTAGCCAGAACAGAAGGGCAAGCACCCAGCATAGGAGGCCCTGGCCATCGCAAGTGGCTTTAGAAGGTGGACACGTTACAGTTCCCCTAGAAGTCTCTGGATTGGGTGACAGAAACCAGGACTCCATCCCCAGGCTCATAGAAGCAAGTTGGAGAGGAACCATGAGGTGAAGATCTGGTCATGGGCTGAAGTGGATGTAATGATCCGAGAGGAAATGCCCCAAAGACGAAAAGAAAGTCTTTGAAGTCAGTGGGGCAGAGCAACACATGCTGCCACAAGAATAGGAAGTAAAGGATGAGCTGTAAATTACCAGTGATCACATATGAGAATTGAAAATGTCATGGATTCTTTGTCTTAGTCCTCTTCAAATAACTGGACATCTGGCAGAATGTTTCTAACAGACATAAATTTTATTAGCTTAATGATACCAGTTAATAGGGAAAAAAAGTACATTAGATAGGTTCACTTTGTAAGCCAGATGATTAATGTCCTCAGAGGGCAAATGCATACTTTTTGTTTAGGATGCTCTATTCTGACTCCTGCGATTTTGGCAAGGGGTGCTTTCTCTGAGAGTATGCCATGAATGGCGTGGCCTTCCCTTCACTGTCCTCATCGAGCCTATCCCCTGCTGCAGCTGAGCGCACCTGGTACTCAGGTCAGAGTCACAGTGAAGCACAAGGCATGGTCTCTGCCCTCACATTATTTACAGTCTAGTGGTGGGTCCAGGTGCTTTAAATCGTGGCAGCTACAGTTTATATTATTATAACTACATAGTAACTAGTAGCTTTATACTTATTGCTGTTTTTTTTTTAATTTACATTAATGTAGGGCCTTCCTTTGTAAGATCCTTTTATGGTAGCAAAATGCACAAATCTTCCATGTATAGCTTCATGAACTTTTACATCTGGCCCATGTAGGCACCATGCGACAAGACTGAGGGAGTTAGTACAGAAAGGTATGAACCTGTATGTTACCATGAAGTTACATACAGGAAAAGTTACCATGAAGAAAATGAGGGATAGGGATGATCTAGGGTACATTTCATGACTCTCTGCCCAAAGATGGCTATCTTTTAATCTGTCTCTTCTCTTGGTGTCTAGCCCAGGTAACATTTAGCAAGTTTTTAATCCATGTTTTAACAACAGCAAACCTTCAATAATTAATGAAAGATAAATTAATCCTCTCTATATGAGACTTACTATTTGGATGTTATTTTTAACATTTTAACTTGTTAACAATAAATGGCTTTCCTTGTTAGCTACAAGGATGTGCAGCAAACACAGTGAAATACAGCCTTAATTGACATTAATCCATTTTAGTAAACTTTAGATCTGCTTTGGGGAGCTTTCTTGACTGTTTTGTGGATGGATAGATATTCCAGGGCTCACTGTAATCTATATTGAATTCCACAAAGAACTCAAATCATTCTGTTAGACCACTTTGCCCTGGTCATTATTACTTTTGAAAGGACTCTACATAAGATGTCAGTCATGTTATTTATGACAGCAAAAAACTTAACATTGACTACATAGTCAACCGTAGGAGAAGGGTTAAATAAATCATGGAACAGCTGTATGTGCCACCAAAAGCATTTACAAAAACATTTTGAAGCGCCGGCAAATGATTATAATTTAATTTAAAAAGCACACACCCCCCAGCTTTATTCTCACGACTGTAAAAATTTATAGAAAAGTACAACAAACAAATGTGTTAGAAATTATCTGTAGGTAGTGGATTTATGGGTCATTTTATTCTTTGCTCTAGTCTTTTCTATATTCTCTAAGCTTTTAATTGGCATATTTTATTTTCATATTTTATCAGAAAATAACACATTAACTTTTTTATTTAAATAAAATACCACATATTAGGAGAAGGGAAAATTCCTCTCGAAAAAAGGAGGGGATCACAAGAATCGTCACGATGTCAAGGCACTGGATGAAATATCCAAGGGGCAGGACTTCAGGGATTGCTTAAGGAGAAAAAGGTGGGGTGGTAAATGGCCTTTCAGAGATGGCACAGACGTGGCATACATATTACCATTACCCTCTCCCTTACCCATGACAGACATTTCTAATCAATCATAGAATTCTTTCCTACTGAACTTGGAGAAGGTTTGAAAATCCTACTCAGCAATATTCTAGGTAGCCACTAGCAATCAGAGTCTATATGAGATGAAAGCTATTTACCATCCCTGCTGGATGGTAAATCAGTCCAATTTGACAAACATTGACACATCTTTAGCCAAAATTAAGATAATTAGAAGACAGAGTTTGGGACTGTATGAAACTGACAAAAACAACATAGGGTAATAGATGATAGAACTGGGTTAGCAAATGGATGAAATGTCAGGAAAATAGCACTTACACCAGATTTTGGCCCAAGTTTCTAAGCTCTTTGGATGAATCTGAACACCTTAAAGTAAGCCAGACCTTCTAACATTGGCCCAGTCAACAAAAATATAACGAGAATTTTCTTGGCTATTCTGATGAAGTAAACAGTTGCTCTTGCTAAAGTTCTAAGAGCTGCTGCTGTCATAGATAACAGCTTTTGCATTAGCCTGGCAATAACTTGCTAATAGAATGCTCTTTGGGTAGTTGGAGTACAAAATAATTCCCATAAATCTTCATTTCCTGCTTTGGTTGGAGGATTTCCATTTAATCTTTTCACAGACTTTAGATGCTCATTTGGAAGCCATCACCAATAAACTATTCCCAGGATTAGTCTGAATGTATGACCCCCATATGTCCCTTGAATAATCCTGGACACCATTTGTGACCAACTAAGCTGTTGACAAACAGGTCATATGATACATGACAAAAGCTATCACATGTTGCAGGCCCAGATTTATATGTGCATGCATGTGTGCATGTGTGTGTGTGTGTCATGGGATATTGGCTTGAATTGATGTAAGGAAAACGTCTCTCTGTCTTTCTATACTTTTTGTTGTTTCAAGATTTAAAATCCTATGTCTGAGGCAAAATTTGTCTTTTCCCCTGTCTTTCCTCTTATCCTTCAATGACAGTTAATAAGTGTAATTTATGGATCTACAGAAGTGTCAGGCATTATGCTAGTCAGTTTGCACATAAGCTACTATTAGGAAGAGTGTGGGACTAAAAAGCCTTACCATACAGATCCCTGTTCTGAAGGAGCTGCTACCACCATCGCTGCTTGGCCATTAGGGGTCAGATGTAAGGCTTTAGCAGAAATTCCCCTTCCTCACCTCTTGGCACTACTTCAGAAAATCCTGAAACATGGCAGTGGGATAGATGGCCCCTGCCTTCTCAGAATTTGAAAGACTCCACTTGGGCAGCTGGGGCCCTTTTCAGCCTGTCCACCTAATCAGTATGTCCAGTAGATGGCAGCTTTTTGTGTGGAACTTTTTTTTTTAATTTATTATTATTATACTTTAAGTTTTAGGGTACATGTGCACAGTGTGCAGGTTAGTTACATATGTATACATGTGCCATGCTGGTGCACTGCACCCACTAACTCGTCATCTAGCCTTAGGTGTATCTCCCAATGCTATCCCTCCCCCCTCCCCCCACCCCACAACAGTCCCCAGAGTGTGATGTTCCCCTTCACTTTATCTTACCTTGTGACCGTTCTGGGGGTCTGCTGTTTTTCTCTTCCCATTTTTCTTTGTCTTTTCTTGTTCTCATTTCTGGGTGTCTCCAAGTCTGCTTTTTTTTTTTTTTTTTTTTTTCTTTTTTGAGATGGAGTCCGCTCTGTCACCCAGGCTGGAGCACAGTGGTGCGATCTCGGCTCACTGCAACCTCCTCTGCCTCCTGGGTTCAAGTGATTCTCCTGCCTCAGCCTCCTGAGTAGCTGGGATTACAAGCGCCTGCCACCACACCCGGCTAATTTTTGTGTTTTTAGTAGAGATGGGGTTTCACCTAGTTGGCCAGGCTGGTCTGGAACTCCCACCCTCAAGTGATCCACCCGCCTCAGCCTCCCAAAGTGCTGGGATTAGAGGCGTGAGCCACGATGCCAGGCCTAACTCTGTCTTTTTCATAGACTCTGTAACAAACCCATTTTGTTATTAAGAGCAACGCTGTAGAACAATGAAAGAGTCCAACTTAGAAGTCCTGCTGTGCCCTTTTCTGGGCACCTTTTTAAAGTCACATAATGTCTCTAACTTGTATCTTCAGTTAAGAGCGAGGGCTTTGGGGCAGTGGACTGAGTTTGAATTCTGGCCTTGTCCAGCTGTGAGGCCTTGTGCAAGTTACTTAACCTCCCCGAAGTCACTTTCCTTACCAGTAGAATGGGAATCATTCCTGTGTCTCTACCTGTCTACTCGATTAGATCTTGGAAAAGGTCTCCTCTACTCATGGTGTATAGTCAACACCAAAAACAAATACCTGCAAGAGATGAAGGGTCGCTTATGTTTTTGACTCTGTAATGATTTCACCAGGAGAATCCTCAGTATACAAGTAAACATCCACTAGGCATGGTCTTTATTTGCACAGCCTTTGTGCTGGCTCAGGTTGTTACTCTGATTACTGATTTTTCCTCGAGAGGAAGTATAACATAATGGCTTAGCGCTCAGACCTGGAAGCTAGATTAAATCCTAGCACTGCCCTTACTAGCCATGTGATCTTGGGAAAACTACTTAAAACCTCTCTGAGCCTGTTTCCCCATCTCTAAAACGGGCTTAATCCAGAGTATCTACCCCATAGGTTGGTTGTGAGAATTAAATAAGCTCTTACATGTAAAGCAGAGTGTTTTGGCACACAGTGTGCAGTGTTAGTTGGTATTATCATCTTCAGGGCATCTCTAGGGGACGAACTCCAAAAGCCATGGGTGCGTGTGTGTGTGTGTACATGTGTGTACACACGTGTGTTTGCACACACATTCACGCACGTGTATATGTGTGTTCATGGCATACAGAAGTCTCCTTGCTTCTTTTTCTCTCTCCAGAGATTTAATTATCACCTTCTTTTTTAAAGAGAAAACTAGGATATTTACTTCAGTGGATGCTTTAAGGCCCAGAATTTATATCAGAACCCTTGCTTCTACTGAGCTAATCTTGCCCTTAAACTTCTATGTAGTGTTTCTTCTGTGAAGCCACAGTTCTATCATTCCTCCAGGAAGAGATTGAAGTACTCATGGAGCATCTCCTGTGCAGAGGCAGTAGGATGGGAAGCCAGCATAGGTTCTCCCTAAAGGTAGAGTGAGTGAATGGAAATAACTGGGAAGAAAACAGAAAGAAAAGGCAAAAAAAGAGGTATGTATGAAGGTGGCAAACAGATATCTTGGGTGGTCATTTCCATTTTGCTGTGGTCTTCATAGCATGGCCTGTTACCAGGCAATAAATTTCAAATTGTTGGTGTGGAAAATGTGATAATGCAAAGGAATAGGATCCTTTGCTTTCATTATTTCAAAAATAAGTGCCAATTACTCTCAAAGACAGGGTAAGAAGTATTCCTGGAGCAAGCTGGAATTTGTCCCTTTGGGAGCCAAGGCCACAGCTTCTGGTACTTTGCACACAGACCTGCAGTCCCACTAGGGAGGGGCTGCTGTGTCTGCAGCCAGGCCGATGCCAGCCTCACATGCCCACCCCTTCCTGGCCCTGGAGCCAGCTCTCTGTACCACTCCTTATGTTGCTCTTTGCTCTTCCCTTCATCTTTCTCCTCTATTTTCCTTCTCTCACCATTACAGAGAGGTCATCCTGAAGTGTCTGGGCTGCAGTAGGAGCTGCCAAACATTCACGAACCACCACGTTCACATTAGATGCAGAGATAAAACTGCACAAAGTCTCAATACACTATTTTGCATCACTCATCTGGGACAAAGTAAAATTTTTCAAAGTCAACTCAAAAGAGGAAAACAAAAGGTATTGCAAATCTGTTCTCTGTTAGGCACTGAGTTAGTGCTGGTGGATAAGAGACCTTGTGCCCAAAGAGCTTGCAGTCCGGAGGGGAGGCAGACAGGAACACAGGCTCAAAGTGATGCAATGTGAGAAGTATTGGGACAGGGCTGAAAACCTAACCCAGCACGAAGGGCTCAGGAGCGCTTCCAGGAGGAAGTGACCCACCAGCTGAGCTCTGAAAAATGACTGATAGTCACTGTGT
Organism: Homo sapiens; assembly: GCF_000001405.40. Lineage (NCBI taxonomy): Eukaryota > Metazoa > Chordata > Mammalia > Primates > Hominidae > Homo > Homo sapiens. The sequence goes on along the minus strand of NC_000003.12, from coordinate 120,440,420 downwards.
CTTGTGGAAGTTTGAAAACCAAAGACACTTCTGCTAGGTAACATCCACTCAGCATTGTAGAGACCCAGCCGTTTAACTTTCCAGGTAACATCAGTTGTTATATGGCTATGTGCCTGGAATGACACTTCAGACTTGGCCATTCTGGCCACATAGACATGGCAGGCATGACCTCCATTTGGAATTAGGTCCATTTACTTCTGAGTCACATTGGAATGCAGTTTTTACAGTGGAGCATTTGCAGCCTAATGATCAGTGACTTAGGAGTTTTGGGGGTTTTTTTTTGTACCAGTTGTTTTGTTTTGTTTTTTGACACAGGATCTTGCTCTGTTGCCCGGGCTGGAGAGCAGTGACACAATCTTAGCTCACTGCAGCCTCTACATCCTGGCTTAAGCAATCCTTCCACCTCAGCCTCCAGAGTAGCTGGGACTACAGGCATGTGCCATCAGGCCCAGCTAATTTTTGTGTTTTTAGTGGAGACAGGGTTTCACCTTGTTGCCCATGCTGGTCTCTAACTCCTGGGCTTAGGCGATCCTCCCTCCTCAGCCTCCCAAAGTGCTAGCATTACAGTCGTGAGCCACAGTGCCCAGCCTTGGGGGATGTTTTAAGGCAATTTCTTTGTTCTTCAGATGTATTCACAACTGTTCCGCATTAAATAAGGCCAAATGGCAAGACAGCTCTAAAACGCCAGCAGAGTTGCTAGGTAGGGTTGTACAGACTGTTCACTGCACAAGTGTGTCATGTACCTGTGTGTGGCACAGGGCTTGTCTGCCCACCCACAGGAAGGAGCACATTTTTTTCTAACTGATGTGCAAAGCTCCCCAAACCCAACGTTATCTCTGAGTCATGTGATGTTTATTAGACTATGGCAGTCATTTCTACATTTGTGCATCTTATAAGTTGATTTCATTTAGACTCTTGCAAAGTTTTTGTACTAGGCCTCCATCAAAAGCCAGTTCTGTGTTTTTGTGGATTTTCCTCATAGATAAGCAGAGATGATAGACATGGAAATCTTAAATATCTGGTTTCTTGTACCCACAGTGTGCTACTTTGGGCTGTTGCACAAGTCAGTCTAGTTTGGGAACTGTGATTCCCCAGGAATTAAAACAAGTATTCCCAGCTTCCTTCTGATTGCTGGATTAGCAGAATTTCCTCAGCCTCCAGCTGAATTCCAGCCCCTGGGAAGAAATGTCTTAGAGTAAACCCCCAGCCTGGAGCCTGTCAGAGGTTGTGTCATGTGTTTGCATTAGCTGAGCAAAACCCGAGCAGGCTTTCCGGCCTTGCTCTCGCCTCCTCCCTGCACGCCTCTCCGCTGGGAGAGGCCAGTTAAAGTCTAGACACTGTCTGCTTGGCTCTGTGCCTTTTTAGCACAATCTGCATGGTTCTGTAGCTCTTACTTTGGTTGTCTGTCCTCACTCGTTTCCCCAGTTTTCTTAGTTAGGCTTAAACTGTCCCGGGGGACTGGCAACGAGTCGCACACATAGGAAACAGGTGAGTGAATTTATGAGACTGTCAGGATTCAGCTGCCTTGAAAGGTTCAGAGTGAAGATAGCAGCAGTGCTGACTGAAACTGTGGCTGAGTTTACAGACATCCCTGGTGTGAGCTGGCTTCAAACGAACCTCCATTTACTGGCCAGAGATGGGCTGGGATGAATAACTCAGGACAGACAGTGGCACCCCAGGTAATGAGCAGCCACCTGACTCCTCATCTGCCAAATATGGGGGTTAGAGTAGGTGGGCTCTAAAATGCAGCTTTGAAGTCCTATTCATATAAAAGGAGGCGGATATTCTAGGCTAGACTGTCAAAATATTCTACTTAATGGAATTGGGATATTTGATTAACTCTTATGGTGATTTACAGCCTAGTGAAGAACAGTTTGAAAGATAGGCTGGCTCAAGAATGAGAAAACAGAGTGAATAAAAACAGGAGGCATCTTGTGTCCTTTACTTTCTCTCGCCATGTAGTGAGTGGAATATAAACAGTACGGCATGTGGCACCTGAACAGTCTTCATGCCCAGGAATCCCAAATGCTGTTTACTCTACAGAAAGGAATCACTTGATTTTCCACTTCAGAAGCCAACCGCTCAACAACACTGGGGAAGAAATGAAGAATCCTGGGTCTCCTTGTAGTCGATCAAGAAATTTTGGGGGGAAAAAGGGAAGACAACCCCTAATTCAGAGTGTGCAGTTTGGGATTTATTGAACTTACTTGAAAAACAAAAGCAAACAAAACTTTTTCTCGCTTCTGTAAATGTTCACATTTTCTTTTAAAAATAATGATGCAGTATTGCAAATGGCTTACAGAAATAGTTGTCTGAAACTATTGCGTGGACCCTAATTTTGTTTTCTGGAATCCTTCTTATTACTTTCTCATCATGTTGCCTGGCCCATGATCAGGATCCAGGGGCTCCTGAACAAGTATTAATGAATTGCCTGCCCTGCTCCCCTGGCCCTGATCTCTGGTCAGATCAGGCTCTTACTACAGCCCATGGGCACTGGTCTTTGGCTTTGACCCAATGGTTAAATCAAGTGACTTGTTAGGGTGAACACAGTAAGGAAACAGAGGCCAATGCAGATGTTTTAGTCCTGCTGAAATGCTTGGTACCTTGCCTGTACTCCAGTTCCCGAATCTCACTAGAAAATCCCAATGTGCTAAATCGTGCTATTGATCCTGACTGGGGAGCCAGCCAGCTCAATATTGGAGGTGGCTTTTCTAGTAAGGGTACAGTACAGGTTAGAATTGAATTAAATTTTGCTGTGCCCCAGGGTAGACTATATGTGTGTGTGTGTGTGTGCATGGATATGTGTCTGTGTACATACAGAATACACAAGGAGACATGCACACACACACACAAATAGACACTGACTTAAATTTCACCACTAGGAGAACATGGCCATCTCCCTATAGCTCTAATAGTGAGACTTTTCTCACAAAAATTCCTGTGGAATTTGTTTTGTTTTAATTTAGTTTAGTGTTTGACTTATGTTATACTGCCCTGATTTCTTTCTAAGCCTAGGCACATAAACCAGTGCTTATTTTTATGGTGTGAAGTTTGCCTGTTAATGAATTTAATAAGTGCATGTCATTCATTCACTCATTCCCTACCATATTCCAAAAATAAGACATAGGTTTTCCCTCCCTAATCCCACAGCCAACATATCCTATTAGCTTCTGTAAGGGTTGGGCTAATTACATGTATTTTTAGCTATTGAGAGGGCCCAAGTTTGTAGTTTGTGGCATAACATTTGTGACAGAGAAAAAGAAAATGGACGGGACCTCAAAGATGGTCCGAGAAATTTCTGATCCCCTTCACACATATACCTGGCTCACCTAAACTGTAGTGTGAAATTGATACAGTGGAATTTCTATCAGAGAGGCTAAACACTATTGAAACAGAAATACAGATGCTCACCCTGAGCAAAGACTCAGACATACTGAGTTCCCTTTACTGTCAGGGTCCCTACCAGGAGGGCCCAGCATGGCTTCTTGGTGGCCCAGCCGAGCTCACAAAACTTGCTTTGGGATGGAGGCAGATGTATGCTTGCCAGTCATTCACAAATACTCGGAGCACGCAGCTTCGCTTCTCCCAGGGCACCACCATCCCTGGTTTTGCACTATGTGCTATAATTATGGTGCTACAGGGACAGGCTGAGTCCTATATCAGAAGCAGGAAATTCACCTGGCTTCTCCCTAGAGTCCCAGCAGTCTTTCAGGAATGTGTCTGTTTGTGCTTTGTTCCCCTTCCTCTAGTTTTCCCTCCTTGACATTTTCTATTTTCTTTCCTTTCTTATCCTATGTGGCCTTGGTCTTGCTGACAGCCACATGCAGAGATGCAGATTTTCTGGTTTAGCTATTTATTTTAAGGAGAAAGACATTCACTTTATGCATTAATTGGTGTCTGCCTCCTGTTCCACAGAAGGGTAATTTTCTGTGTGGCACCAAGGGCTTGATAGTGATCAAAGAAAACCCCAGTTCCCAGTAGGAACACACTTCAGGTGTGAGTCCATTTTGGGTTTCTCAATCTCCTTTCTTGGGAGATGAAACTAGAAGGGAGAATGGGACTGGGAAATGTTTTGAGTAGAGGCCAGACATTCAAGTCTTGGCTAAATGTTGGGTATAATAATTTCAGTACTCACTGCAGACTTATTTCTTAATAAAACTCCCCAAGCTACTTGTGGACCATGTTGTTTTAAAGGATAGTTACAAAGTTAACCGCTTCCTCTTACAGATACAATTGGAGAAGAGTCTTTGTGTTTTTTCATTTTCTACAAAGGAACATATATAAGCTAGATAATAAGAAACCATGTTGGGGTTGTTTTTGTTTATTACGTGTCCTATTTTAGATACTTTTTTTTTTTTACAAAAATAAACTGTGATAGGGATATGAAATCCTGTAAAAACAACCAGCGCTTGAGGATGACTACCCCACTATGTTGGTCATTTTACAGCTTAGGTAATTGCGTTTTTCCTCCAAATTCCCCATACACATTTGATCAAATAGAAGTCTCTTCATTTCCTGTTTAAGTTGCTCCATGGAATTGCTGTGTGGATTAGAGAGCAAGCTGGGTTCCTCCCCAGTGGCTGTGTTTCCGTTGGTTGATTGGGTTATTTTCCAGGTAATGCTATAATTATTTTGCCCAGTGTAAATGGCATTGTCGTGTAGTGACTGAAATTACTCATGTTACAGTGGCCTGGAATGTAAAGACTTCCTCATTCTCCAGTGATTTGTTGTTTGACTCTGACTCCAGGAAAAAGTCTTTTCTCTGCCTAGGCTGAAGTGTGTGCATGTATTTGGGGCTCAGATAGATAGCTGAGGCTCTAGACTGCCAGTCTGTGGGCTCAGATGTGACAGTAGCCATATTCAGAAAGTCATGACAGTCTCTGAGAAAGAGACAAAAGTTAGGAATTGTAAGCCTAAGAGTGTTCAAAGCATGTAATGAACTGTCCCCAAATGGTTCTTGTCCTAGAAGTGGGTAGAACAAATAAGGAGGAGGAAAATAGTGATGAGGAAGACTGGAAGAAGGGAGGTGGTGATGCACGTGGGAAACTCTGTTAATTTTAGTGGGTTAAGCAAATGCAGATGAGGCAATTGAGTGAAGAATTTCTGTTAAGTGCTTCATGAGAAAATACTGTGAGTGAACACTGCAGATGTATATGATCAGAAAAGATATATCACTGTTTTTTGTTTGTTTGTTTTTGTTTTGAGACAGAGTCTCGCTCTGTCGCCCAGACTGGAGTGTAGTGGCAGGATCTCGGCTCACTGCAACCTCTGCCTCCTGGATTAAAGCAATTCTCGTGCCTCAGCCTCCCAAGTAGCTGGGATTACAGGTGCCTGCAACCACGCCCGGCTAATTTTTGTATTTTTGGTAGAGATGGGGTTTCACCATGTTGGCCAGGCTGGTCTTGAACTCCTGACCTCATGTGAGCTCCCTGACTCAACCTCCCAATGTGCTGGGATTATAGGCATGAGCCACCGTGCCTGGCTGTTTTTTGTAAGTAAATGTATGCTCTGTAAGCACAACTCACAAATGATAATTAAAGCTGTAAATTAAAATGGCACCTGTACATAGTGTGTGGCAAGGGAGATGATGTCTACAAAGGTGCCTCCCACAAGGTAAGTACTCAATAAATAGTAGTTGCTATTGTTCTCCTTGTTGTTATGGCTTGAATTCCAAGGAACGGTAATAACACCATAGGGAGAGACATGAAGAGCCTAGACCCAAAGTGTGTAGTGAGTGAAGTCCATATATGTGCTGGGTTAAATGGTTTTTTAGTTAGAGGATGTTCCAGAGTTTTACAAAGTTCGTGTGCGTTTATGACTCTAGAAGGAAGTATAATAAGTAATGTTTCCCAAACATTTTACCACAGAACACCATTTCAAAAAAGGCCATAAATATTTCAAGGCTAGTGTTCCATGGACAGACTTCCCATGAACAGGATCTATTTATATGTGACCCCAGGTCTTAGTGGCCTTGCTGAACTCACCTCATAAACTAAGTTTCCTCAGGAAGGCAAGGGACTTGTCTGGACCCAGAGCCTGTCTCAGAGAAGATCCTCTTGGTAGTGACTCTAGAATGGACCATCAGCATGGCCATGTGCACACCTACCCAGAACTGGCTGGGCTTTTGGATATCAACTTATGTACCCAGGAATTTTCTCTTTTATTTTTCACTTTCTCTGTTCATACCCAGTCTATCAGCAAGTCCTGCCTTCTGTACTGTCAGAATGTATCACCTCTCCATTGACTGTCCTCTGTCCCCACCGCCACCACCCTAGCCAAGCTGCCATCATTGTGCCTGGACTATTGCAATAGCACCTAGCTGCTCTCCGCTTTCTCTCTCCTGCGACCTGGCTCTTTCTGTACAGGACAGCCTGAGTAATCTTTGTAAAACACATATCTGATCATGCCACTCCCTGAGCAAAACCCCCCAGTGACATCCATTGCATTAAGAATAAAATACAGACTTATCAGTACCTTTAAAACCCTACATGCTCTACCCCTTGCCAGCTTTTCCCAGCTTACCTCTTGCTGCTCTGGCTTTTGGACCCAGTGCTATGGCTACACTGGCCTTTTCTCTGTTCCAGGAATGTAACAAATTCCACCCTGCTTCAGAACCTTTGCACTTTTCTACTTTCGTCTGAATTGCTCTCATCCTTCAGGTCCCAGCTCAAGAAAGCATTCCCTGACCACTCAATCTAAGTGGTGCCCTCTCTCCCAGAGTTCTGTCATACATACTCTATTTTCCTCTAAACTTACTGATCACAGGCTGAAATGAACTTGTTATTTTTGTTTGTTTATTCACCTTCCTCCCTCTAGAGCATGTACTCCTTTAGAATAGGGCTTTGTCTCTCTCATTCTGCAATGGATCTCTAATACCTAGAACCAGTTGTGCTTAGTGTATAGTAGATGCTTAGTAAATATTTTTTGAATTAATCCACTAGCTAAATGGATTAATAAGGCCAAATGTCTCATATGTAATACGAAGAGGTGCCTACAATCTTTGTATCTTAATGATAGTCATCTCTGTGCCGTATTTTGCAAGAATGTTGTGCATCTGGGAAGATGGTTGACAGCACTTGCCCGTCAACAGTTTGCTTAATCTTGGACATGATAGTAGTGCTGGGCTTGCTTAATCAGACACCTGGATTCTAAGTCTCTCAGTCCCAGGTGAAGTTGGAAGTTAAGCAGAGGCTAGCTGAATAGTAAATATTTTTATTGTTTCCTTCCATGATCAGCAATTTTAATATAACTTGGCACCATTCCCAGAGGAAGCTAATGTCCCAAAGAATATGAAATAAAGCATTAAATTCTGTTGTTGGTAATTCTTTGCCCATAGTCACTAGTCACCTTTGTCTTTGGACCTCACCTTTTGCTGAAGCCTTTACTTTTTTGGATCCTTCCTGCTGTTACTCTTTCTCTCTGGTTTCATTTGAATGGCAACTGTGATGTTTCCAGTATGGATAAAACAAAGCAAAAGGCATTCAGTGTCACTGGATTTGCACATTAAGATCTCAGAGGCGAAGTCTCATTCTGGGGAACGTTCCACCGCTAACACAGTGGACAGCATTGAGTGAAGTCCCTGGGGGCCAACCACCTCCACTTACCTGTGGCCTTAACTCCTTAAGTCAGAGTTCCCGGACTTACCATAGCATACTACTTCATTTTTCAGTGGAGTTGGGAGTTCCTCAGGGTGACCCCAAACAGTTAAATATGTGGCATTTCTCCAGTGTTTACACAGTTAAAATGAAGGATACCAGAGCTGTGAGAACAATATTGTTACATGATACTTGGAAGTGTTTTTACCACAAATGATAATCTATCCATAGCAACTAAGCTAGTACATTTTTGTGTAGAGTTTCTAATGCAGTCCTTGGGGAAAAACAGAATGAACAAAAAAGGAGGTCTTTGTGCATTGTGTACAGCTTGAGGGTCTCGGAGGGTTTTAATTTCTGAAAAAATAGGGGGGAATTTGTTGCAGCGGAACGGAATACCTGGCAGTCCCTCATTGGTGGGCCTCCTGTCAGCCAAGGCCTGATTGGCCAGCATAAGTAGGTTTTACAGCTCCTTCCCCCCAGCTGTGACATCCCAACTGCTTCAAGGAAAGAATGCAAGGCAGGAATGTCTCAAGAAGAATAGAATGTGCATGTTTTCATTGACTTTAATCTCAAGGCACTGAAACTGTGTTTGTGTGTGTGTAATATTGAAAGCTGGCAGTAAGAGAGTGTAGCAGTCAAGCCAAGAAAATGTTTTAAAAAGGTTTTGAAAAGATATATCTATCTCATTGCCAAATTTGTCCATGGATTTGTATGCCCCCAAAAAAGCATATTTAGCTAAGAGAAGGCTCCAAATATGTACAGCTTAATTAGCCCTTTTGTCATTGTTTCTGAGCTGAGCCATAAAAAGTCTTACAGAGAGGAAGTACCAAACATTTTACCTTTCTTATAGAGGAGACCAGAAGGGTGAAATGACTTGTCCACAGGCATTGAAAACAGCCAGAATTCAGCCTAAGTGCCCATGACGCCTGCCTATTTTTGAAGGACTAGGTCCTCATTACTCAGTATCCTGGTCCCAGATGCAGCCTGACATGCTGCCTTGCCTGTATGTTCAGATAATCTCTATTGACTTCAGTTATACACCACTTGAAAAGTATTCCAAGTTAAAGAAGGTCGTCCTCTTTCTCCTCAAACCCTCCTCCTCCGATGCAGTGAGGTCAGAACTCAGAACTATTTTTATTTCCTTTTTTCTCTTTTTCTTTTTTTTTTAAGAGACAGGATCTTGCTATATTGCCCAGGCTGGTCTCAAACTCCTGGCCTCAAGGAATCGTCTCGCCTTGGCCTCCCAAAGTGCTGGGATAACAGGCGTGAGCCACCGCATCCAGCCATAACTGTTTAGAACTGTGCTGTTCAATGCCGATAGCTACTAGCTGCAGTGGCTATTGAGCACTTGAAACGTGGCTAGTCCAATTTAGATGTACTGTAAGTGTAAAAGACATACCAGATTCCAAAGACTTAGTATGAAAAAAGTCTAAAATATCTCCATATTATTGATTACATGTTGAGATGGTAATATTTTGGATATATTTTCTTAAAATAAGTGATTACACTTAATTTCACCTTATTTCTTTTGAGTTTTTAAAAGGTACCTTCCAGAGGCCGGGTGCGGTGGCTCACAACTATAATCCCAGCACTTTGGGAGACCGAGGTGGTGGATCACTTGAGGTCCGGAGTTCAAGAACAGCCTGGCCAACATGGTGAAACCCTGTCTCTACTAAAAACACAAAAATTGTCCGGGCATGGTGGCAGGCACCTATAATCCCAGGTACTCAGCAGATTGAGGAAGGAGAATTGCTTGAACCCAGGAGGCGGAGTTTGCAGTGAGCTGAGATCATGCCACTGCACTCCAGCATGGGCAATAGATTGAGACTTCGTCTCAAAAAAAAATGTACCTACTAGAAAATTTTAAATTCTGTATGAGATGGGTATTCTATTTCTGTTGGACAGCACTGCTCTAGACAGTTGTCACTTAACCATAGCCACACATTGTCTTGAGTTATCTCTTATTAGATTGTGTTGTTCTGTTATTTAAAATTGCATATATTCATTCCCCTAGCTTCTCACCTAAGCTACAAGCTCCTTAGAGACACAGAGTGTGCTTTACTCCTCCTTGAGCCCCTGGCACTTGGCATGATGTTTGGTATGTTTTTGATTGTCCTGTATATTACTTATAGATTTCATCTATTTCCATGTTAGATATTGATAAGGAAATGCAGATTAATTTGTGTTTGGATTGTTGCTTTTCTTTTCAAAGGAACTGATTTTATGTAGTTCTTAGTTTGTTCCACAAAGATTAACATTCCTCTAAACTGGACTATTAAAATCCAGGGGACCTGTAGAGGGTGCCAGAACTTCCTGACACCCATGCCTAGTAGAGAACAATGGTGTTAAAATTGATGCTTACAGGTTTTAAGGAGCCCCTCCTGACCACCCCAGAAATCTTGAGAAGTTCCAAACTCAGCTCAGAAACTTGTGCTCTACTTTTCAGGACCTGTCTGAGTAATAGGTGCAATAAATTAGGCATGTTGGCCCAGGGACTCCCAGCCTTAAACCAGGGTTGAGAAGAGGGTCACCACCAGCCTGAGTCAATGAGTAACTGTCAGGAACTCCTACCAGATGGCTGTGATTCCCAAAGTCTCTGAGAAAATTCTAGGAGACGCACTCTGGGTGGGCCTTACCCTTTAAACATCCTGCAATTTTGTAACTGAGCCTGTGGCTGAACCACATGCTCATAATATCTAGGCTGGCTAGCTTATGCCTAAAACATAGTCATTTCTGCTGGTGCTCTGGGAGAGCCTGATCTTTCCCTGATTTCATGACTACAGGATCCCTGTGCCACTGTTTTCAGTTCAGATGTTAAAGAATGTGTAAGAATGCACTCCTGGAAACCACTCCCCTTCAGGGGCAGATATATTAGGTCTCACTGCTGTGGAATGATCCCACTCCACTGACCACTTTATTGCTGTAAACAGTGAATAGGGAACTATCTCCCTTAGGTGACAAAGTGTGAAATGAATGATTGTCTCTTTAGAGGAGTAGTTGGAAGGATTTGTAATGATCAAGACTTAGAAGCAAAGATGGTCCCATCTGCTGAGGCTCCCCAGCTTCCCAGCAGCAGAACCCTAGAAAATCCTCCTGTGGCTGTTGAATCAAGGGAGATTAAGGCTACAAAAGGCAGTTCATGCCCAGAGCAGTAAATTAGGGTTTGTCTTTCCTAGGTTATTGGGTTTGGGTTTGGGTCTTTTGAGTATTGAAAAATTCATGCCCCCTTGAAAATCCAGTCCCAAAATTTATGGATGGGTTTCTGGGGGCCCATAGATACCAGGTTAGCATCCTCACTCTCTAAAATAAAAACCACAAATTTTCCCATCCCATAGGCAGCCTAGTAATTAAGGTGACCATGTGTCACAGTTTAGGCCTGTTGTCCAAGTGTGTCTGTTTAAAAGGTTTCCTTTAACTCTCAAATGTCCCCATTTGGATGATAAAATATATGGCTGAAGGCCACACTCATGGGTGCTCCAGAGTGATGCATAAATTAAACTTGCAGCCTCCCTCACTGATCCTCACTCAGCTCCAGAAAGCCCCAGAGACCAGAGATTACTCTTCAGCACAAACTCTCCTCTGAGAGTTCCTCATTCCTTCCTTTGGATGCCCTCTGAAGGGAGCCCTTGATGTGCATTTGAAATTGCTCCAGGGGTGGGAATGGGGATTAGGAGGAATTTGAGGGAGAGGGCCTTCTAGAGCCTGGGCGTGGGCAAGCTGGAGGAGCCAGCCATGAAGCCCAAGCATGATGAACACCACTGGCATTTCCTTGGAAGACTGTATTCCTCGGACTCCAGGTTTTCCCCACTTTCTTCCTGGCCAGCAGTTGCTGTGGCAACACAATGTCTGAGAACTTCTAATTACATCTGTCTGCTTCTCCTAGAACCCTACTGAGCCACACATATGGAGACTTCATTTAGCTTTGAGTTTCTTGCTGGGTTTTAACCCTGTCTGCATCCTTAGGCTAGAGAATAATTGCCAGGATGCTGGAACCTTAACTGCTTTGCAGCCACACTACCCCCAGAGATTCCCAGGACTTTGTCCCTGTTTTTTGTTGTTGTTGTTGTTGTTGTTGCTGTTTGTTTTTTGTCTGAGACAGAGTCTCACTCCGTTACCCAGGCTGGAGGACAGTGGTGCAATCTAGGCTCATTGCAACCTCTGCCTTCCAGGTTCAAGCGATTCTCGTGCCTCAGCCTCCAGAGTAGCTGGATTTACAGGTGCAAGTCACCACACCCAGCTAATTTTTGTATTTTTAATGGAGAGGGGGGTTTCACCATGTTGGCCAGGCTGGTCTCAAACTTCTGTCCTCAAGTGATCCACCTGCCTAGGCCTCCCAGAGGGCTGGGATTACAGGTATGAGCCACTGTGCCCGGCCTGTCCTTGTTTTTAAAGTGGAGACTGGTGCTACTTTGCTATGCTGGGTCTCCCAGATCCATTTTGTTTCAGTCAACCCTGACATCCCTACTATCCCCCCAGCCTCCACCATTGTATCAGATGGTCTCACCTCTTGGTTGGGCATCACAGTTCTTACTAATGTGCCCAATCCAAGGGGAGATAAACCACGTGGGCACACCTAAGGCTTTGCTGTCCCGGCAACTCGTGTTTCAGTGTATTCCAGCCCACTGCAAGGTCAGCCTAGTGGATGAGACAGAGGGGAGTAGTTAGAGATCCCCAGAATATTTTGGGAGTGGAGGAGGGGTAGAGCAAGGCAAGAAGCTTTTTTCCTGGTCTAGAAATGTTGGCCAGCCTGTCTCCCTCTACCTCAGAAGACAGTGTAAGGGCGGGGTTCCTCAGAAGAGTTCACGCAAAGCACTGGCCTCAGATAATAAGCCCATTTCCACAGTTTCTCCTGCCTTCTCACTTGCTTCTCTTCATCTCTACTTCCCCCTAGTATAGGCCCCCAAGGTATCAGGCAGCTCTTTGGCTGCCCCTACCCTATACTCAGAAATCTCACCCAATTTTGCTTTGCTCTGAGATACCCCACATTCCCACATTACCTTATCTTCCTCTTCACCAAATTCTCATTCTCTCAGCATGTCTCAGTTAGGTTAAATATTTAAACTGTGGACAAAGGAAATGACTGAAAGCCATTTTCGTCCTCCGTTGCTCTTCTACCTCATTAACACACATATGCATGCACACACATGCACAAACACACTCTTCAATGTCTTTCTGTGGGCCTAAGACAATCTCTAATTAGTGAAATTCCAGGCTGAATATATATGGCCTGGTGGTGGAGGGCAGGGTCTTTAGGGTATTTCCTCAAAGAAGACCAGTTCTGGGAGGGAGCAGCCCCAGGAAAGGAGTTGGCACAGGTGTTGTTCCTCTCTGTCCCTATCCCAAGTCCCCAGGGCAGTGTGGTTCAATCCACCTTTTTTTGCTTTCAACAAAGGTTAATGGAGTGGCACAAGGTATACTAGGTCCTACAAAAGGATGGACAAACAGAATCTTTGTCCTCTAGGAGCTTGTAGTTCAGCCAGAAAGACAAAATCCACACAGTCAGTTCTGTTTTTAAAAAAATAAATGATCAAAATGAGTTCATACAAAGAGGAATCAAAGTTCAGAGAAGGAAGGGGGAATTCATACCAGTAGAAAGTAAAAGGTCACTGAGGATGGAGTGGTGTAACTTGACCCAAGCCTTGAAGGACAGGGAGAATTTGGGCAAGCCAGACAACAAATCAGACTTCCCAGATGGTGACATTATTTTTTTAGGTGGTCTTGTGGGACATTCTCTGCCTATCTGAAGGTTAAAGAAGCATCTGACAATTCCTCATCATGCTGACATTTTCAAAGGCTAATGAGTTCTCATTTCAAAACATAGAGCCTTGGGAGCCCTAGACCCTTTTTTTAAATTTTAGTCCACTTACAGCTTAAATCTGCTGTGGCTACCTGCTCTGCTTACAGACACTTCCCAAAGCTTTCAGTATCCAGGGTCCCTAAGAAGTGGAGGGTTGCTCGAAGTGAGGAGCCCACAGATCTCGAGGCTACATGAACAATGAAGTCACCCAGGAGAGAGGAAAAACGCCCTGTGCCATATGCCAAAGACTTTGTTAACAGTGCCCAGGTAGAAGGCAGTAGGTGACAGTGTCGGGCATCCAACTCAGTGCCAGGGCATGTGGACCACCGTCGAGAATAGTGGCTTGGCTTGCAGGTTTAGGGGGAATCATGTGCAAATTGGGGTAATGGAAAGCAGCCACAGAAGTGATGGGGGTACTGTTCCAGCTCAGGGAAGCAAGCAAGCTCTCTGCCACAGTGGATTCTATTCCCAGCAGGTCTGTGGTATCAGGAACCACCCAGGGACTACTTAAATTCAGTGGCACCCAAGGCAAAAATGGGTGGAGTGGAGAACTAGATACCTCTTAGGCGATATCCATCTCATCTGCCTTCCACCATATCAGGGGAATAAATCCTACATTCCACTTGGAACTCCAAAGAATGCAAATCCTAATGGGTTCAGGGCTTGGGAAGCTGGGGGTGGGTGGAGGGTGGGCTTGCATGGGATGGAGGGATGGGAATGTGTAGGGATGTTGGCCCAGATGTGGCAGGCACTGCAGGGGATGCTTCTAAAACTGCCTGTCTTGAGAATTTTCCCACAGCTGCCCTAGAGCTTTCTCCCTTCTTTGATTTGAAGGTACTGGGATTTAGGTGTGTGGGAATTTTTTTTTTAAACTTTTGATCAACCATTTTCCTTGAACTACATGTGGAAATAATTAGAGCATGAATGCTGAGTAAATGTGAGCCCTGGCAGCCCCAGACATACTTCAGTGACAGGTTCTTGGCAGGAATGAAGAATTGTGAATCGCATGTGAATTTCCTTTAGCCTTTCTCTCCTTTCTTTTCTTCCCTTTTCTCCTTGCAAGGCAAATGCAAGTAGAATAAAAAATTTATTAATAGTATTCTAGGGGAGTAGAGGGTTCCACCCAGTTCACTAGAAACAAAATCAGGACACTCAATTGGGGTTCCATTACTGCTTCCCTGATTCCCTCTGCCATGATCTGGGAGGGAATGAAAAGGCATTGCTTATGAGAATCCTTTGACTATGAGAGCCAACTTTAATCCCCCCTTCAGAACCTAGCAACACCCTCATGTGACTGTATACATAACCACTTTCTTTAGTTTGGCCATTTAGGTTAGCTTCCTTGGGAGAGTGAAGTTTGATATTCAGGAACATCTGAAGTGGTAAATTCCTGAGCTTTCTAATTAATAGAATTCTTACAGCTTAAGGGACTTAGGCATCATCTATAACCTCTGCATTTTATAGCTGAGGAAACTGAGGCCCAGAGAGGTCAAGCACCTTGCCCCATGTCACACCATATGTTAGAGGCAGAGATATATCCAGGGCCCATTTCAGTCCTCCTGCATTAATTCTTCTTACACAGGACATCACTGCCTCTGCCTGGCTTACACTCCAGGTTACTAGTTCAGGTTTCAGCAGAAGTTTAAAAGCTTTTTTTTTTTTTTGGCTGTTTTATCCCGACATTTGCCAAATGATTTCTCTTACATGGCATTCATCATCCATTTCTGGGAGCTCTCTAGGCTTCCTGGTTTTCCTCCCAATTCTCTGAATGTTCCTACTCTACTCTCGGCTGCTTTGCTGTCAGAGTTCTCATACCATTGTGCAGGCTGTTGACTGCATGAGGAGGTGACAGGGGCTGAAATCCAAACTACACTCTGCTAGCCAAGCCCCATACCCTGGCCATGTGCTGCATCTCCTGGAGAGAAAGGTGCCTTTTCTGATTTGCACAGAGACCCCTTGTGGGCTGCTCTTCCTGCTGTCTGTGCTCCCCCTTTTCCTTCCACGCCCTAGCCGCCCTCGGCCTTCCATGCCCACCTTTTTCTCCTGAGCTCATTTGTTCCTCTGCCTCAATTTCTCACCCCTACACAGGTGACGCCCAGATATGCATCTTTAGCCAATATTGGCAGCTGTCGGTGGGATGTTTCACTGTCCTTGAGACGCGTCCATAACTGACTCATCATTGCCCACCCCACCCTCACGGGACACCTTTCCCAGACTTCATTTCTGATAGAGACACACAACCAACCCTCCAGGCCCTAGAAGCCAAAGATCTGGCAGCCCCCCAGACTCTCTCCTTCCTCTCTCTATTCAGGATGTTGCCAGACCTCGTTATTCTGTAGAGATCTCTCTTGGATCCCTTCCTTCTATAACCATGCCACCACTAGTGTAGATGCAACTGTCATCACCCCAGGCCTGTTCCAACTGATATCCTTCTGCCTGCCCCCAATTCCGCCTTACCCATTTCTTGCCATGTGCCACTGTTCAAATGTTTTTCTTAACACTCTCCTGCTCAAAAACCTATAGATTTTCCATCCACATCCTACCTTTCTTAAGAGCTCGGCTCAAGTCCCATCTCTTCTATGAAGTCCCATCTCCTGGAGTCGGCCCCATTACTTAGGACTGCATTGGCCTGTATTCTTGTTTCATCAGCTCAACTAGGTTAGACACTCCTGTGGTGGGGGCAGCCACATCCTCTGCTCCTTTTTGGGTTTTTTGTTGTTATTTTTAGAGACAGGGTCTCACTCTGTCACCCAGGCTGGAGTGCAGTGGCATGATCCTAGCTCACTGCAGCCTCAAACTCCTGGGCTCAAGCAATCTTCCCACCTCAGCCTCCCAAAGTGCTGGAATGACAGGCTTGAGCCACTGCACCCAGGCCTCCCTTTTGGGTTTATGCCACGGAGCTTGCGCCATGCTCATTACAGACCGTTCTCTTTTTTTGTTTTGCTGTTACAGGCATTCATCAAATAGCATTTTGATGGGTTTAAATCATTTTCCTTGGCCATTACTGAAGAAGACTGGAGGATTTATACTCTCTACATTGGCCTTCAAAGTGGACAAGTCTTAGGTAGACAATTGGAGAGGAGAAAATAAGAACCATATTCAAACCTAACAAGCTAATTCAGGGCAGATAAATGGTCTGTATTAGAAACTTCCACTTGGACTTTCCTAAGAAACCGAAGGGTGAAATTATGAAACTAGTGGCAGCCTTACAAAAACATTTTTTAGGAAGAGTGACAAGATATCTTGGGAACTCCTAAGAATCACTCTGAGGAGTGTTGCTTTCATAATGGGGAGCCCGAAAGACCCTGTCAGTAGCAGTGGAGTCACTGGGTGTTCCTGTGTTGAGAAGGCGGTGTGGTATGTCACAGGGGAGACTCTCCAACTCGTCACTGTGGACCATGAGAACAGAAGCACCTCTCTCAAGTACCGGAGTTGGAGCCACCTGGGTCTGACTCTTACCTCAGTCATGGCCCAGCTCTTGAAGTCACAGTCTCCTCAGTGCAAACAGGGATGAATCCCTGAGCCTCACAGATCTTTGTGAGATGATTTTCAGCCCTATATGAACAGGCCTAACATGTTTCTAACTCTGTAAGTGCTTACTATACTGCTATACTTCTGCTATGACTAGACAAGACCATTGCAGAACACAGGAACCGATCATTCTATAGAAACCAAGCATCTAGTGTGCTATGCTGTGTCTGGGCCACCTCAAGAAAGCTCTAAGCATAGGCAGCATGAGGCATTCCAGAGATGACATGTGAGCAGCAGTGAAGGAGAGAGGCTTCCGTGTGAAGGTGGCCTGAGCCAACCTAGATTCTTCAGTCTGAAAAGACACATAGAGAATGTGACAGAATCTGTAAAATAATAAAGAAAATGGTGGAGGTAAACATCACTGTCCCATTTGAAATTTGAATATAGTAATTTCCAGGCACACAATACGCAATGAGTAGTAAAAGGAACATGTTATATCCCATAAGCTGTGATAGAGGCTAAACATAGAAATTAATCAAAGGGTAATTAAATAATTCTTGATTGACCGGGCACAGTGGCTTAGGCTTGTAATCCCAGCACTTCGGAAGGCCGAGGCAGGTGGATCACTTGCAATCAGGAATTCGAGACCAGCCTGGCCAACATGGTGAAACCCCATCTCTACTAAAAATACAAAAATTGGCCAGGCATGGGGGCGTGTGCCTGTAATCTCAGCTACTGGGAAGGCTGAGGCAGGAGAATCGCTTGAACCCGGGAGGTGGAAGTTACAGTGAGCTGAGATTGTGCCACTGCACTCCAGCCTTGGCACCAGAGCGAGACTCCATCTCAAAAAAAAAAAAAATTATTGATTGACAGCTTCATAATAGATTTTTTTAAATCTTAAAGCTAATCTTCGTCAGGCGATATATCTCTTATCTGGATGTCATGGAGCCTGGCCATACTGACCCAAAAACATCCGAAGTGCCACTGTTGGCTGCTGCACTAACCTGAAGAGACTGTAAATGACATTTTAAAATAATTTTTGTTTATTTTTAAGCAGCTTTATTGAGATATCACTGACATATAAAAATTGCATATATTTAAGGTGTACAAATGTTTTAATGTTTTAATATTCATATATATGGTGAAATGTTCACCATAATCAAGCTAATTAACATATTCACTACCTCTACATAGTTACCATTTTGTGTGTGTGCATGTTGAGAAAATTTAATTTATGATCTATCCTCTTAGCAAATTAAAAGTATACAAACAGTATTATTAACTATCATCGCCATGCTGTACATTAGATCTCCAAAAATTACTCATCTTGCATAACCGAAACTTTGTACCCCCAAATGACATTTAATATACAAACCATTTGTTGAGCATTTTCTCAGGCAGTACACTGTGGTGGGTCTGGGGGAAGCTGAAGTGTGCAAGGCTCTTAGAGTCTACTTGAGATAAGCCATATGTGCATCAGATATTGAATAGGACTCTCTCTAATAGACTAAGGACCCAAAAGCCATTATTGGAAAGATTTTGTTTATGAAGAAAATAATAGGGCAAATGGGGAGTTGGATTACCATGAAGCTAATTAAGCTTTGATTTCAGACCTTTTATTTGCAAGGGTCTTGCAAGGCCATTTACCCAATTTGCATTTATAATTGTATATTTTTTTAGCCCTCCCTAAACCATTTAAGCTTGAGGCCCCACAAAACCAGGGTTTGGCCCTAGTGCATTAACCTTGAGATGAGGGACTGATTGTGAGCACATATAAGGAAGGGAAACTTATAGCAGGGACTGCACACATGCAGTGCCCCCTGCCACACACATCAGAACCACTGCTAGAAATCACCAGTCCCTCCTCCTCTGTCCATAGCATATGCAGGATGTACCAACACATTTCTTTCCAGAAAAAAAGAGAGACTTGAACAAGGTCATGAGATACTCCAGCAAGGTTTCAAGGTCCTGAAGCGGTTTTGCTCTTTCTCTCTGCTTTTCTCAGGCCTGTGCTACTGGGTTCCAGAAGAGCTGCCTGGGAGCAACCAGCATCTCACCCCATACGCCCCACTGCAGACCTCCCCCTGCTCTCCCCAGTTCTGTGAATTCCTTTGTCCCCAGCTCCATGGTATTCTGTGTATATCTGAGGGGCCCTGGTGTTCCTGTGAAGTTTCCATGACTAATTCTGGCAAAGCAAAGAGAGCCTTTCTCACGTCAACAAAGCCACTCTGTCGCAGAATAGTGGCAAGTAGAGCCAAAATTCCACCTTGGCATAAGTAGAGCTGTTCTTTTTTAAAAGAGTTGGAAGGAGGAAAAGAATGGAGGGGACAGAGCCGGCCCACTTCATGTTAGTGAAATGATGGTATATTAAACTGACAGTTTTATGGCTTTGCTTATAAGCTTCCTTTCCTGCCAAAGCACACTGTTCTTCCAGAAATTATTTTACTTCAGAAGACTTTTTTTTAAACATTCAACGTGTATTTTATGTTCAGACTTAATTCTGGTTGGCCCAGAGACTCAGATGCACGATCACCTCTACTGGTAGTTTTGCAAATAACTTGCTTCTCCATTTGCTTGCAAAGATCTTTTTTGATTGCAAAAATCATTTCCATTTTTTAAGACCTTGGATTCAAGACATTTCCTGGCTTTGATTTGTAAAGAGGTAGAGTGGTTTAGTGGAAAGAGGCTGGGATTAAAGTCTGGAGACCTAGGGCCAGGCCTCAATTCTACAACTGTGAGATCTTGGACCAGTCACATGTAGCTGTGAGCCTCAGTTTTATTTTCACCATAGGATCTTAAATCTAGAAGGGCCTCAGAGGTATCCCCTGCCTGCCTATCTAAAAAGAATCAAAAATGACAGTAAAATTACAGATCAACCAGAATTGCTGTGCAAGTATGAATATTGCCATTCAATGGCTGACCGTTGCTCAGATACTTTCTACCTAGTAAAAAGTCAGGAATGTTCCCAGTCTGTCTTCTACCAAAGGGAGTTTGCAATGTGAAAATTAATGAGACCAAATCTCCAGAGCTTGGCTTGCAACACACGAAATGAAAACAACACGGAGACTGGTCAGGAAGATGATGCAGAAGGATAAAGCTAGAAATCTGATGTTTCTCCATTGCAGGCAGATATTTTGCTGATTTTTATCAATATATCTGAGTGTCCACACTTCCAAAACACACCCTCTACCCCCACTCAAATCAATTACATTCTCACAGGTACATTTAGACTTATAGGTTCATACTTTTGTGATATTGGACCTGCCTGTGACCTCATACTCCTAGAAAACATCCATGTGCCAATGTGGTTATCTACGCATACATGAAGTCCTCATACTGCTTTGGGACCTCATTCCTAAAATCATTACAGTGGTAGAACAAACACTTCTATTTGCAAGAACTGCATTGTACCTTGTGACCTCACCCTGTGCCAGCCCTTGGAACTGTCCCCACTCCCCAAAGCTCACTGCCTTGATTGTACCCCAAGAGGGAACCTTGAGGCTCTGGAGTCAGACTGGCCTTTGTTCTATTCCTGAGTCAGCTCTCACTAGTTATGTGGCCTCCATGCGTCACAGAGCTTTCCTGACTCTCCGATGCCTCTGCATCTGTTACATGGGACTAAAAATACAGAGACCTGCACAGAGGTTGTGAGGACAGAGATATCTGCAGAGCCTCACTCAGCTGAAGGTGCTAAAATTAACATTGGCCCTGGGTCCTAGGCCCTTGTCATCCCCGACTAGATTACAGTCTTAAACCTGGCCGGTTTTCCTGCTTGCAGCCTCTCTCCATCCAGGCTGCCTTGCACTTTGAATCAGAATTTCAGAAAGGACCCAACACAAATTAACATTCCAAAGCACCATATCCATCATGTTACCTACCCAATCCCAAACCTTCCAAGGTTCTCACTTCTCATAGTCGCTGTGGAGAGCCCCTCAGGTCAGCCATCGAGCGCCACCCCTCTCCCCATCATCACCTGCCACCCTGCTTCATCTCCCTCTTCCTCACCACGAGAAGGGTTGAACCCATGAGCATGTTCAACCCCTCTCAAGGTGTTCTTTTCCCCCACTCAGAATCAGTTTCTCAGTAGATGGGTAAGACTACCCACCACCCTAAGCAACTTTCTAGGCACCTCGGGGATGCACCTGACACTCCCACTCCCAGAGAAGATGAGGCTTGGAGAAGAGCTTTCAATGGCACAAAGCCTATCTCTCTGGAGAAAATTTTCTTCATTGTTGATTTCTGCATCAAAGCATGCCTGTGAATGGGGATCACTGGGGAGGGCTATGAGGCTGCAGGTGAGACCTCCCCCACATTGGTAGATCCCCCTACCCATGTTTTTGGAGCAGCCACCCTATTCTTCCACCTCCTGCACCACTTCTTGTTCCGAGGACAGAGCTGGGTGGAGCTGCAGGAGCCAACACTGCGCTTCTGCATTGCAGTGCTGGGCTGTGCAAGACAGAGAGAGATTGCCACCTATTGACAGACGTGTCACCTGCAAAGAGGAATGATTGTGTAACTAGTGGCTCCCCCCTTCTCTGTGTGCTCTTCAAACGGGCCTTTTGTTTTTTCCATTCAGTGAGTCCTTCTGTTCTCTATTATCACTGCAGTGCAAGGGAGGACAGGGAAAAACGGGGACATGACAGCCCAAGGTGGTAGTGACAGCATCTCAGTGGGAAAGTTGTCTGAAAATAAATTGCCCACTGTAGTAATAGCCACTTTCAGTTGTGTGGCAGGCACTGTGCTGCCTGCAGTACATCCCGTTTAATCCTCACAACAACCCTCTAAGAATCAGTACTCCCAGTTTTCACGAGGAAGCTGAGGTTTAAAGAGAGCACCTGGCCCACGACCAGCAAGTAAGGAATAGAGGTGGGATGTGGGTAATTTAAACCTAAATCTCTGACGCACTCTTAACGCACATTCTCCCGACACTTGCTAATTATGCAACTCACACCCCCATCATAATTTCCTTACGTCATCTGGATATGAAAATAAATCAAATATAAACTGCTTTCCCTTTGGGCAGAATTCTAGCTCTGCCACTTTCTAGTTATTTAAGCCTCTGCTCTCTCACCTGTGAAATGGGGCTAGTAATGATGTCTAACTTAAGGAGTTATTGAAGAGCTTAAATCACATATAATAAAAATAGTAGGATGCCGGATATTTATAAATGGGAGTTTAGTTATCAGTGGTTGAAGATACGAGTTGGAATCCTAGCTCCTCTCATTTCTAGCTTTGGAAACTTGGGCAAGTTATCTGACCTTTCTGGTCTTCAATTTCCTCATCTATGGAATAGGGTTAATAATAATATACCTATTCTTGCAGGGTTTCCCTATAAGACAAAATCATGTGTATGAAAACATTTTGTAAATTGTACTATTCAAATATTAGTTGTTATAACTCAAAAGTTATCTGTTTCTTCAAATGGATTTTTGAGAACTATTCCTGAAAAATGACTTGGTTTAATTCAATCCGTTTTTAATACTTACTAAAAACAACAATGTAAGTTAAAAGGAGGTTCCATACATGCCACAGGCTTTTCTGCAAGTAGCTCTATAAGGCATTCCCATGAATAACAGGTTTCATATGCAGCTTGTTTTACAGTTGGTACTTCCACATGTATCTCACTGAATCTCCGCAGGGCAGGGTTGGCATTTACCCCTACTTTATAGATGAGGACATGTGAGCCTTAAAGAATGAAAATTACTAGTTAAGGACAGAGACTAGTGAGTGGAGGTTTGTGGGTGTTTGCCTGTGGAGCTGTGTGCGGGTGTCTTTGAGTGCAGGCATGTGTCTGAGCATGCTTTTTTATGCATTTGTGTGTCCATAACTCATGGGAACAACTCGTCAGCAAAAACCTTTTCCTCTTCCTTTTTCGTGTTGCCTTACATTGTCAGGCACAGTTTCCACAAGAGGGCCCTGCCTGGAGAATATCCTTGATTTTTATCTCCACTCTCTGTTTAGGAAAACAAAAGCTCTCCAATCCCCGCGGACTTCTGGGAATTACTTCCTCTTTCTTCCCCGCCTGCTAGCTTTCTTGAATTCGCCTTAGCAACATTCAAAAAAGAATTGGTTTATCAACAGCATGTGAACCAATGAAATGTGAGCTGAGAACGGCTTCTAGACCAATGGGAGCCCTGCATGACCAGCAAGCTGGCTTGGGACAGAAAATAATGACCTGGAGTTTGCAGAGCAGCCTCTGGGTGGCAGCAGACTAGCTGTATTGGATACAGCACCTCAGCTCGAAAGCCTCTTCTTTCTTTTTGCTTTTTTCCCCTAATCTTGAGTATAAAACATTCACCAACTATAAGAATTGTACTGTTACAAGACTTGTGGGTGTGAGTTCTCTGCATAATGTGGTAGACATGGCCTGGAGGGTGGACTGTCTGGTTCCATCCCTGCCTTACCCCAGCCAGCCCCATGACCCCATCGTGCCTCCTGCAGTCTTTGTTGGTTTTGTCACAGCATCTAGCCCAGTAGCCTTGAGTCTGGAGGTCTTTCGTGATTTTGCCTGCCCAGCCAGTCAGGATGAGAAGCTGGGGAAATCACATTCTCCTTCATGCAACCACCACTACCCCTGGGTTGAGTGGTGAATGAGGTGGGGCTGGCTTTCTGCCACCAGTGAATGGGAGGGAAGGGATGAGCCACCAACAGATCAGTGCCTGTCAATACCCCCACATTCTCAGGTGGCATACACTGAGACCATTCCCTGCCTTGTCAGTTCTGCTGCACACGTCTGAACAGGGGAATGCCTGACTAGCAAATGATTTGAGAATAGTTCTACTTTCAGGCAGCTTCGCCCTCTTAATCTTGAAGACAGTGGCAGACATGGGTAGGGGCTAAATGGGACCATAGCAAAAATAGCGAATCCACGTTTCCAATGGTTTAGCCATCCTTCTTTTGCCCTTTGAGATGATAATGCCTAGAACACCATTCAGTCAGGTTTGGGTCCTTCAGATAGTCATAGTTCTGTACAATGTTTCCATTTCTGCCTGACTTACTCCTCTCACCCTTTAAGAATCAGTTAAGACCTAGTATCTTCAGAAAGTATCCTTTGAAAAATTCTCACCCTCTTCCTCCCCTCCAGCTCCCTGGTGATCCTGTTCTTGCACTTCCTGTGTTGTTTTCCAAATGTCTCTTTCTTTGTGAGTTTCCTCTGAGAGTCATGGAGCTTCCTGAGGACAGGGTCTGTCCTTTGTATCTCCATCTCAGCGTAGTGTTGGCATAAAATTGGTGCTCAACAAGCATTTTTAGAAGAAAGGAAGCATGCAAGAAAGGAACTCTTGCTCTTTGAGAAACATATTAGGGACTCAGAAGTACCTGAACCTGGGCTGAAGCAGTATCTGGGAGTAGGGCACTAGCTGTTGGAGGCAACGTCTCCAACAGCTGTTTAAGACCCAACATCTAGCTGTTTAAGACCATGAGCCATGACTCCAGAGCAAAGCCCAAGCCTGAAAGATAATCTCATTATGGGCTCATTCCATAATGGGTTCATCTCAGTCACACGGTTTCCTTTATGATTGTATGTTTTAGGAAGAGCTAAGGAGCAAATCCAAGATCTGTGCCAATGTGTTTTGTGGAGCCGGCCGGGAATGTGCAGTCACAGAGAAAGGGGAACCCACCTGTCTCTGCATTGAGGTAAGTCCTGATGTCGGGAGCCAGAGGACAGTGGCCAAGGCCAATGTGGTACCTTGCGGAGCCACCCATCAGCAGGCAGTGCCAATGATTTCATTCTCTTTATAAAAGCATTCTTCATCCCCCTGAAAAACGTGGAATTCTTATTCCAGATTCCTGATTTTTAAAGCATGGATATTTTTTCTTTTAAAAAAATTTAGCTTTATAAGATTTTTTAATTAAAAAATAAGAATTGTTTTATATAAGTCAAATAGTACAGACATTTACACAAGCATAAAATTATAATCTTCCCCCATAACCCTTCAATCCCTTAGTCTGAAGTAACCAGCGTTAACAATTTGATACATGTTCCACATGTTTTTCTTTTCTATGTTACTATAAGCATAGGGTTTATATGCTACTGTAGACATAATGGTTCCCCCTATTTTATGCAAAAATGGGATCATGATATGGATATAGATATATACAGTTTGTATTCTTTACTCATTAATTTATCAGGGACAACCCTCTAGATCAGCACATATACTTTTAACTCATTTAACTCATTGTAGTGGCATAATGTTTAGTAATATAAAAGAACTAGATTTATTCAATCATTTTCCCATAGATGGACATTCAGTTGGTTCTTTGGGTTGTTTACCACTATAACCAATAACATCCTTGTGCAAATACCCTTATATGCCCCTGCCTTTATTTCTGTAGCATTGATTGACACCAGGGCTTGCTAGGTCAGAGGATATGCAAATTTTTAAAAACAGTAGATGAGATGCAGGGTTTTTTTTTTTTAATGTTTTTTTTTTTTTGAAAAACAAACATGAATATGTATTTATTCCATTGTATAAAAGCAATAATTTAGAAATTAAAAGAACGTTGCAGAGATCTCTAAATAGAGCTAAAGATTTTTTTTCTTTCTTTTTTTTTTAATTTATTTATTTTTTATTGATAATTCTTGGGTGTTTCTCACAGAGGGGGATTTGGCAGGGTCATAGGACAATAGTGGAGGGAAGGTCAGCAGATAAACAAGTGAACAAAGGTCTCTGGTTTTCCTAGGCAGAGGACCCTGCGGCCTTCCGCAGTGTTTGTGTCCCTGGGTACTTGAGATTAGGGAGTGGTGATGACTCTTAATGAGCATGCTGCCTTCAAGCGTCTGTTTAACAAAGCACATCTTGCACCGCCCTTAATCCATTTAACCCTGAGTGGACACAGCATATGTTTCAGAGAGCACAGGGTTGGGGGTAAGGTCACAGATCAACAGGATCCCAAGGCAGAAGAAGTTTTCTTAGTACAGAACAAAATGAAAAGTCTCCCATGTCTACTTCTTTCTACACAGACATGGCAACCATCCGATTTCTCAATCTTTTCCCCACCTTTCCCGCCTTTCTATTCCACAAAGCCGCCATTGTCATCCTGGCCCGTTCTCAATGAGCTGTTGGGCACACCTCCCAGACGGGGTGGTGGCCGGGCAGAGGGGCTCCTCACTTCCCAGTAGGGGCGGCCGGGCAGAGGCGCTCCCCACATCTCAGACGATGGGCGGCCGGGCAGAGACGCTCCTCACTTCCTAGATGTGATGGCGGCCGGGAAGAGGTGCTCCTCACTTCCTAGGTGGGATGGCGGCCGGGCAGAGACGCTTCTCACGTTCCAGACTGGGCAGCCAGGCAGAGGGGCTCCTCACATCCCAGACGATAGGCGGCCAGGCAGAGACGCTCCTCACTTCCCAGACGGGGTGGCAGCCAGGCAGAGGCTGCAATCTCGGCACTTTGGGAGGCCAAGGCAGGCGGCTGGGAGGTGGAGGTTGTAGCGAGCCGAGATCACGCCACTGCACTCCAGCCTGGGCACCATTGAGCACTGAGTGAACGAGACTCCGTCTGCAATCCCGGCACCTCGGGAGGCCGAGGCTGGCGGATCACTTGCGGTTAGGGGCTGGAGACCGGCCTGGCCAACACAGCGAAACCCCGTCTCCACCAAAACCAGTCAGGCATGGCGGCGCAAGCCTGCAATCGCAGGCACTGGGCAGGCTGAGTCAGGAGAATCAGGCAGGGAGGTTGCAGTGAGCCGAGATGGCAGCAGTACAGTCCAGCTTCGGCTCAACATGAGAGGGAGACCGTGGAAAGAGAGGGAGAGGGAGGGGGAGGGGGAGAGGGAGAGGGAGTTTTTTTTTTAATGTTTAAAAAACAAAGAGAGCCTTTGATAAATACTTCTTTTGTAGGCTGGATTCTGACAAGTTCTGCCACTAAAGTGAACATAAATACCTTGGACATTCTGTTTTCTGTCAAAACAACCCATAGCCTGGAAACACGTCTTTCTGCAAATTAAATACAACCAATTTAGTCCCCAGGTTAAGGATCCTGATTTGTTGCCCCAGAAAGGAAGTTTTCTAACTCAGAAACCTAAAAGCCAGATCCTACTGGGGATCCATTAGCTCTGGGAGGTCCTCACTGGCAGTGTACCTGGCCACAGTGTGGTGGCATAAGCCTGGACTTAGGATCTAGAAACCTGATCCTAAAAATTGTACAACTAGATGTGGGTGAGCTGAGACCAAACCTGAGGTCTCAGGAGATGCTGTGAAGACAGTGCCCACATTTGGTTTTGCCCGTTGCCCAGCACATAGTGAGCACTCCATAATAAATATTGGTTCACTGAAATTTGTGTTTTTGGTATCCTCAACTAAAACTGGAAAGGTTGGGCTGCCATCCACTTCCAGTGCTCTGTGCTTCTTTTTACCATCTGCTCTTTCTTGTTTCAGTTCCTTTCTTTATTGGATCTGAGCTAAATTTACTTCCTGCTTCTCCCCTTTAAAAACCATAGAAGTCCAAAGAAACTGAACTTGCCTGTGATCTTGGCACCTTCAGCAGCCAAAGCATAACCTAGTTGCCATATGAACTTTGTTCCATTTCCCTGTCCATAATGATTCTCTGTAGTACTTCACAAAGACCCAGGCAACCCTACTCCTAGCTTCACAACAAAGGCTTGAGATCAGGAGGAAAACAAAGTGTTCCCCCAATAGTATATACAGCAAGAGATCCTTACAGTTAGGCTGCAGAAGAATTGGAGTGTGTGTGTGTGTGTGTGTGTGTGTGTGTGTGTGTGCGCGCGCGCGCGCGCGCGCACATGTGTGTGTGTTTGCCTGCCTGCCTATCAGCCTCTCCACATTCCCAGCTCTCAGCTCTGGCTGTTTTGTGTCATTGAATGTTGGAATATTAAGGGATCTTAGATCTTCTGAGACATTAAATTACTTTTTCCAAAGTGACAGAGAATTCAAATTTCTGGCTTTTAATAAAACGCCCTTTCTGCTCATTTGATGTGGGGGGTGTCTTTGTTTGTTTGGGCTGCTATAACAAAATATCTGAGATTGGGTAATTAATAAATAATAAGAATTTAATTCTCACAGTTCTGGAGGCTGGGAAGTACAAGATTGAGGTGCAAGCAGATTTGATGTCTGGTGAGGGCCTGGTCTCTAACTTCCAAGATGGCACCTTGCATGTGGCATCCTCACATGGCAGAAGGCAGAAGGGCCAAAGGGCCAAATGCTGTAGGAAGACTGTTTTATTCACTTCTTAACCTCATCCACAAGGGAGGAGTCCTCATGACCTAATCACCTCCTAAAGGCCTCACCTCTTAATACTTTTGCATTGTGGATTAAGTATCAACATGAATTTTGGAGGGATCACAAACATTGAAACTATAGAGGGTGTCTCTTTCTTCACTGAATAGAAGAGATGACCCTGGACCAGGATAGGCATGAAGGGCCATAGGCAACTGAGACAGGGTCAGTTGGCCAGAACTGTGACTGCCTGTGCCCTGATGGGGTAGAAGCACCATCTCTGGTGGTGGAGAGTCCCCTTACAAAATGGCTCTGTGTGTGTGTGTGCATGTATGTGTGTGTGTGTGTCTGTGTGTCGATATCCATAACTGCACAAACATTCTCTTTTGGGTCTGTTTCAGCAATGCAAACCTCACAAGAGGCCTGTGTGTGGCAGTAATGGCAAGACCTACCTCAACCACTGTGAACTGCATCGAGATGCCTGCCTCACTGGATCCAAAATCCAGGTTGATTACGATGGACACTGCAAAGGTAAGGTGTGCTCTCACCACTGCAAGGCAGCTTTAGCCACGGGGAGCCAAGGAACAGAGCAGTGTGGCCTGGCTGACCACATGGTCTTTCCTCCACGACCACAGCCTCTCAAAGCTGTGGAAAGCGCCCAGTTGGTTGGAGTTGCATCCTCTTGTCACTTATGAGCCTGCTGGGTTTGCCCTGGATGGCCCAGGCCTCTGCCCAGGGTTTGCTATATCAGATCCCCATGGGGGTTTTCAGCACTGTCTGCAGCTGGATAGTAGATAGGGTGGACCCCATCAGTAAATCAGTAACAATAAGAAAGTTCCTTAAATGAATTATGTACCTTTTTAGAAAGTAGGTAAGTTTCACTTTTCCCATGCTTTTTAATTTGGGCACCTCTCAGTATTGTTTCCTCTATTTTGCACTGAAACCACTGCCATTAGAATAAGAAGGAAGAAGTCCCACACTTGTTGCTAATTAGATACCAGCCCCCTGCCAAGCCATAGCCCTGCCCAGCCCCTCTCAGCCTTGCCCTTCCTTGAAGAAACAAGAAGCTGTTTCCCAGGTGATTGTCTCCACTCCATTCCCTGTCCAGAATGATTCTCCATTTGAATTCTCAAAATCCCAGTGACCCCTCAATGCAACAGGAGGAGGTATGAGGCCAGAAGGGTAACTCAGTGGCCCTAAATTGTCAGACAAAGCAGGAGACAGAAGATCCTCATACCTGGGCCCTAGAAGAAGGAAAGGAAGGGAAAGGATTCAAGACAAAATGATGAAAAGGTTACAAACATTCCCCTACATGTAGAGCAGCTGTAATCCTAGAAATACAGAAA
Source organism: Homo sapiens (assembly GCF_000001405.40). Classification (NCBI taxonomy): domain Eukaryota; kingdom Metazoa; phylum Chordata; class Mammalia; order Primates; family Hominidae; genus Homo; species Homo sapiens. Next base: position 120,411,038 of record NC_000003.12, on the reverse strand, counting down.
AATTTTCTTTTTTCCTTCACTTCGCATTACACGTTTTCTCTTTTTGTCTTGCAGAGAAGAAATCCGTAAGTCCATCTGCCAGCCCAGGTGAGTGCCTATTTTTTCTACTGTGTGCATCTCAGGGAGGACATTCTTTTCATGATAGAAATTTTGTGTTCCACAATCCCTGCCAAGCTCATAAGATCTTCTATGCATCAGAATTGTGTCCCAGAACTGGCCACTCCTCAACACAGCTCAGAAAAGCTGCAAAACTACATTTGTGTATGTGTTTGCCAATTGAAGCAGCTGGTTGGGTCAGAATGTTGGCTGTGTTTTCCCATTTTTCCTGAGTAGTGATTGAACTGCATAAACAGGAAAGCCACTGAGTTCATTTTTCAACATCCTATAAGACATGCTCGTGTCATGGGACCAGCAAATAGAAGGCACAACTCTTTTTGAAAGGGGATAACTGGAAATGCCAGTAAGACTTCTGTGGTTTTCTATTAGTGATCACTAAAATTTTATCATGATTTATAGTTACAGAGCTTTTTTGCACATACTTTCCTTAGATTCTCACGGTAGCCTTTGTGAAGTAGATCTTATTGTAATTACCATATAGATGAGGAAATTGAGGCTCAAAGAGGCTAAGTGAGTTTTCTATATCACACAGCTAGTAATTGGCAGACTGGGGAAGAACTCCCAGATTTTCATTCCCCTGGCCCAGTGCCCTTTTCACCCACAGCATGTGTTGTCTTCCAGGAATTCTCTTTTGCCAAAGCTTTCTCTCCTCTGCTTCCCCATCCACTCAACTCTCAGCACCCCCTGTTATTTCCAGTGGACAACAGCTGTCCAGAGCAGGGCTTCGACGTAGCCCTCACTGGCCTTCACATTCTGTTGTTCATAATAAAGGATGATGCAGGTGGTATACAGTTGTAAGTGGGGGGAAGTTTGGATGGACCTAGTTGGTGAGAAAGGGAGAAACTGGAGAAAATCAGAAATCTAGTAGCATAAAAACTGTAATATTCTCATTTATTCATGTATTATTTCAGCTCATCTTTGAGTCAAGAGAGCTGCTTTATTGATTTTTTCCCCTTCAGCTTCCTAAAGTTAATGAAAGTATCCTTTATTATTTTTCTGCTCTAGTTATTTCTCACATAAGCAGCAAAATCTCTCTGTTTCAATATTCTCAATCTTTACAAATATTTTAGAGATGGGTGCTTGAATCCTGGGCTAGACTTTTTCCAGTTGTGTACCCTGGATGTGCTAATCCTATCTCCCTGTGTTGCTGGGATGACATATGCAGAACCATGGGCACGGATGCTCCCACACAGTGGGTGCCAGATATCACTGGGGTCCTCCCCTGACTGCTCCAGCTGACATCCTCCACTTTCCTGCAGTTGTTTGCTATCAGTCCAACCGTGATGAGCTCCGACGTCGCATCATCCAGTGGCTGGAAGCTGAGATCATTCCAGATGGCTGGTTCTCTAAAGGCAGCAACTACAGTGAAATCCTAGACAAGTATTTTAAGGTAATCCAGAGGTAGGAGGAAGACTATTCAGGCCCATAGAAAGGGAAGCTTCCTCCTCCCATTGCCCGATCACACCTTCCCAGACCACAGGAAATGTAAACCTGCACAGACACCCTGAGTTTCCTCATCATAGATCATTCATGAAGCTGTGAAAGTTGCCTTCTGACCAGCTTGATCAGTGGGAGTAAGCAGTGGAGTCTTTGGGATCTAACACACATGTGCTGCTGCCTTCAGGCAGTGAAAGCCACAAAGGTCTTGGAGAACCTGTCAGTTAGGGCCAAGCTCTGTCCCCTACTCGCCATGACACCTTATGGATCTGGCTGTTAATACAAAATTCCCTCTGATTGCACCCAGACCTGGACCACTTTGGCCTCTTTCCTGCCTAGTTTGACATTTCTCTAAGTCATTAACTTGACTGCCAATGGCTTGGAGAGAGTCTTCATATGAGAAGAATCAATGGACTGGCATTTCATGGGTCCAGAGATTGTTCCTGAACTTAGATATTGCTGTTCCCAATCATAATTAGTTGAAGAGACAGAGTGTTCCACTTGGGAGCAGGAGAGATGCTATTTTCACAAAGAGAAATGAAGGAAGCTATAATATTTAGTGATGGCTCGGGTTATCATGCCATGCAGATCTTTCACAGAACTTGAGAGTTAGAAGAAGCAATTAAGGGCATTCTTACAGCTGATTGACAAGAACAGACACACACACAGGTACATCACACTCAGAATATCACACTCAGAAGCACAGAGAAGGACACACTTAAACTCAAAACATGCCAGACACGCACACACACACCACATACAGAGACTCACATGCCACACAGAGACACATCCTACATGCAGACACATTCAGATACCCACATTTCCATGCAAGCACCAAAGCCCTCTTCACTAGGTAGATGCCCCAGCCATCTACTCCCTCACATGCTTCCAGGGCCCAACCCAGCCAGGACTCAGGAGCAACTTCAGACACATGAAGGACTTTTCTTGGCAGCTCTGAGGCCACCTAATGTGGCCAATGCCAGTCTAGTCTGTGGATTTCTCTTTCTGACACTATAGAACCCGCAGATGAAGAAATACTGGGTTGGCTTCAAATGGATATTTGGTCATTTAAGACTTCACTTGTGTCATTTTTACATAGAGATTTCTCTCCTCTATGGCAGATACTAAATCTCTGGATTCCAAGTTTTTGAGATCATACCCAGATGAAAAAGCACAGCCTTTCTTGCTCTGTCCTCTCTCTCAATCACTCCCACATTACAGAGCCCTTAGAGGAAGAATGGTTCCTCTTCTACAGAAAAACACATCATAGTGCTGAGCCAGGAGACTTGGACAGGAACAGAAAGTAATGTAAAGAAAGTGACTGTTCAAAAGCTGAGCGAATGGTAAAGGTACCTGCAGGGCCTGCTGTGTGTGAGCAGTGACTTTGCCCTGCAATTACAGCATAGGAGGTGTGGGGCCCAGGACACTCCTTCCCAGGGGCCACTTAGGACGTTGTAACCATTTTTTAGTGGCCCTTTGATGGCACTCTGCCTCAGGCATCACTGACACCTGCTATTAGATTTGATTCCCAAGAACCTATGCCACATTCCCCTCAACACATCTCCATCTCCTCCAGCAGTAACTCACTTTTACAGGCTCCCTTCTGAAAGCTATAAGGCCCTTTGGGAAAGTAGCTCTTCTCTAGGACATTCTCACAACCAGGCATCTAAGAAAGCTTGATCATGACTGACAGACACAAAATCCCCTCTTCCCAGACACTCTGGCAGTGTCTAACAGGAGAAAACAGGTTTCATTTTCTACTTTTTGATGATTATCAGAGTCTTACATGCTGCTGTCTTCAAAGGGAGACTGCCTCCTCCTAGGTCAGCAGCTGCCTGTTGGTGAGAGGTCTGATATCTCAAAGAGACTGTTATGAACCAATGAAATGCTCCCCAGCCCAGCTGGCATTTCTTACATCAAAATTGTTCAAAAACCAAATTGAATTAGAATTTGAATAAGGCCAAAATCTGACTTTCACCATAACCAGTGATGTAGTCACTGTTTCTTAGGTGAAAGCGTAACAGAATGAAGAAAGAAAGACCCAGGTAGAAAGAGCCTTCCATGCTCTTGGAATTTGGAATCTAATCCATTCCTAATTTCATCTGGGTGTGATCTCAATCCCTGTGGCTCCTGATGGCCAGGGCTGACACTTGAGCCAGCCTTCTTATCTCCTTTACCCTGGCACCACAGCCCACACAGCCCCAGCTGCTGTGCACAAGCAAGTGCCTGTCTCAGCCCATCTCCTCTGAAGAGTCTCCAAACTTACATTGATAAGCCCCAAGAACAGATCTCATGACATACATCTTTTCTGCCTTTCCACAACCCTACAGTTAGATAGAGGAAAAGTTTTGTTACCTCAAATGCTGAAATCTGAAACTTTTTGAGCACCAACATGATGCCATAAGTGGAAAATTTCACACCTGAATTCATGTGATGGGTAGCATTCAAAACACAGTCAAAACTTTGTTTCATGCACAAAATGATTTAAACTATTGTATAAAATTACCTTCAGGCTATATGTGTAAGGTATATAGGAAACAGGGATGAATTTCATGTTTACATTTGGATCCCATCCCCAAGATATCTCATTATACATATTTAAACTTTCCAAAATCTGAAATCTGAAACACTTCTGGTCCCAAGCATTTCAGATAAGGGATAATCAACCTGTATAGAGCTGGGGAAAGAGGCACAGAGAGATATTATGTCTTTGTAACTGACTGGCTGAAGAGAGGCTCAATAAATTAGGTTGGTTCATGGTCCATGATTAGGACCTCACAGGCAGACCCCCCAGGCATTCCAGGCTATTTCTGGGGCAGGCACCAGAATTCTGTGTTCCTGTGGATTCTACATACAACTCTGGCCTGGGGAGGCCCAACTGGACCCTCATGAGTTGAGAAAGCACATGGGCTGGACCTTCCCCCAGCTGCAGGCCTTATTCTAGTCCTACTGAAGTGTGTGTACACAGCACTGCCTTTTGAGAGCTGCCTGGACTGTGGTTGCCAGGTTCATGGTGCCCACTTGGGCCATGTGGCACTGGGTCTGTAGCTAGTGCTGGACGTTTCCCCTCCCTACACTCATTCCATCATCAGGCCCTGATGACACTGGAGTCTTTGAGGGTTGCTGTCATTTACCCAGCACATGCAATATTTGAACTCAAGAAAGCCCTGTGCTACTAACAATGGCCCCCAGCCAAACTTATTTAATTATTTTCCATTAATTAATCAAGACTTCACAAGGTAAACAGGGAAGTTTCGTCAGGGAAAATTGTATAGTGAATAAAGGACATCAGAGACCTGTTCCTAGGAATTAGGACAAGAATGATAAGTACGTACTAAGCAAAGGCCTAATAGTTGTTTCATGCACACCTTCATTATACAACATTAGAGTGGAACACCTGTGACACATGGCAAGCAGGAGAGGAGAGTTGTTAGCTACATCTTCCCCTTCTATCTAGAAATTTGGATAGATGTTTCTTCCAGAATCCCTTGCACCATCTGGGGAGCCATCTTGAAAGTAACATGGGGAAGCTGATCCTTTCCCAGGGCAGCAGCATGAGGGAGCCTAGGGAAAGGATTTGGGAGGAAGGGGGAAAATGTTATTGAAATTTGTTAGGAGAGCAGCCATATGCAACTTGGAATTTGATCAGTCTTGATTTGACACCCTCCTCCTGCAGCTAGTGCCTGGGTGTCTTGAATGGTCCCAGATGGCTGAGGTCTCAGTTTAGCATCTTGCCATAGAGAACAGTGTGTGAGCTTACTGCACTCCTCACTTTGTGCTTGTGGGATGCCAGCTGGGTCATGAGGGCAGCCTGAGCTGGATGATCTGAGGACCTGTGCACACATCTGCAGTGGGGCCCACAGGGCAGAGGAGCGGGAACTTTGCATGATGACCCCTGTCTGTAGCTTATTGCTTTGAGGCCTTTGCCTGAGTTCTCACTGATGTGATCAGTTACGGGCACCAAAGTGAAAGTTAAGCACTGAGAACAGGACAAGGAGGCTGGAATCAAGCAACAAGATTTGGAATCCTATAATTCCAAAGTGAGCTCAGAGGGTCATCTGCATTGCTGCTGTTCCTGAGCAGCTCATTAGAAACATATTCTGGGACCTGCTACAGAGATTCTGATTCACAGCGTGCAACTTTAAACTCTTGTTACATGTTCATCAGGGCTTGAGAACATGATGTGCAGGTTGGTCTGAACCCAAAGGTATAGTCAAAAGTGTCTACAGGGCAGTGTCAGAGATGGGGCCACACAGCATGCTTAGGGACCCCAGAGGCCTCAGTTCAGGTTGCCTCCTCTGCCCAGGCACTTTTCCTCTCTCATTGTGGGCACAGGTACCTTCTCTGCATGTCCCAGGGATTAGAGCATTTGTTGCCAAGGCCCTCTGAGGTCAGGGCAGGGTTGGAATGTATCAAGAACAAGATGAATCAGAGGCAGGTCAGCTGAGTGGAGTAATGATGGAACAGGGGTTCTGCAAAACATCCCTGAACGATCTTGTCATGCCCTTTCTAGAACTTTGATAATGGTGATTCTCGCCTGGACTCCAGTGAATTCCTGAAGTTTGTGGAACAGAATGAAACTGCCATCAATATTACAACGTATCCAGACCAGGAGAACAACAAGTTGCTTAGGTGAGAGGAACCGAGAGGTCAGAGAATGATCCACAAGGGAAGACTAACTGAGAGAGGGGACTTAAACCCTTTCCCACCTGCAAAAGAGCCACCAGTGAGAGAATGTCACGTAAAAAGCAAAATGGGAATTCTGTCCTGTTCTATTCTATGAAAGTATGAATTAATATATTGAGTACCACTGATATCTAATCAAATAGTTATTGTTTTTGGTCAGAACTTGCAAGGACTAGAAGAATATAATTTTAAAATAAATTGCCAAGGGCACGTCAGAGCAAGTTATTTCTGAATGTTGTGGGTGATGTTTTACTGATTAATTTTCTGAAGGAATTACAGTAATGTATTATTTAACTATAGGTCTAAAATAGCTTTGTTCTGATTTTTAGATAATTAGTGCTATTTCATGTCAATTGCCCTAACTGTTACAGATATATGCCCGTCTACTTTTATGGCATTATTCCAGAATCAATATTAATAAAAACTAATCGCTAAGAAACTTTTGATGTGGTTTCAGCACATCGGTAAGAATTAAAAATAGGAAAAGCATGTCTTTTTTTCAAAAGAAGTGCATTGCACAGTTTCTAGAAGGATTCTTCTTTAATAATAGTCTATGACCTTAAAGTATAGGTTCTGTAAATCCTTCATATTTTGATAATCTGAAATTATATGTTTTATAATTTCAACGTTTGAGCCTCATGATATCCCAGTGAAGGAGGGCTTCTTGTCCTCCTTTTACGGATGGGAAGACAGGCTCAGAAAAGTTGAATAACTAACTCAAGTCCATTTGAGTAGTAAGTGATTGAGCCAGGGCTCAAATACAGCCCAAGAAAGAAGTGATGGAGCTGAGTTTTTTTTTGTTTGTTTTGTTTTTTGTTTTTTTTTGTTTTTGTTTTTGTTTTGTTTTGTTTTTGTTTTTTTTTTTTTTTTTTTTTTTTGAGACGGAGTCTCGCTCTGTCGCCCAGGCTGGAGTGCAGTGGCGGGATCTCGGCTCACTGCAAGCTGATGGAGCTGAGTTCTAAAAGCTTTTCTGAAAATCTCTTTCTAGAAGGATGATAATGGTGATTCTTGCTTGAACTTCATATTCTTTCAAATCCTATATTCCTTTCATGTCATCTGTCATATCTCTTCTGTTTTGATTTTCCTAGTTTGGTTGACTTGACGTGTATATACCATGGGGAAAAGCAATTGCTAGTGGAAGGTATGCAGGCAGTGAAAACATTAGACAAAACCATTCACGAAACTTTAGTCATCTTAAGGGGGGGAACATTTGGACAGCCTGGGTGATCTGACATTCATATAACAAACTAAAGGTTAGATGCCTGCATTGGTCAGGATGGATAATAGTTGTGTTGGGTCAGTGTAGAGAGAGGCTGTTTTAGTTAGCAGTCATCTTCTTGGCCTCCTGTGGAGGCCCTGGGTGTATGTGGTCCTGATGCTTACTTCCTTTCTTCTGAGCGAAGCTGAGGTCTTGCTAACACATTTCTCCTGTGTTTTGTTTCAGGGGACTCTGTGTTGATGCTCTCATTGAACTGTCTGATGAAAATGCTGATTGGAAACTCAGCTTCCAAGAGTTTCTCAAGTGCCTCAACCCATCTTTCAACCCTCCTGAGAAGAGTATGCCTAACCTAAGAAATAGAGAGCTGTAGTGAATGGAGGCATTTTGTAGGAGCCAAGATAGAGAGGATTGGTGGAACTCTCCAGAGCTAGCTGAGAAAATCCCCTTCCATGATTCTAAACTGGGCCCCAGCCCATTCTCCCCATGGTGAAGTTAGGGCCCCACATTCTTTAGGTTGATGGTAGTGTTTGCTCAGATATAGTGCTTCTGAGGGACAGGCAGGTCTTGTCTGGGAAAAAAGGGTAAGGTGCACAGACTGTAGCAAAGATGCCCTGTTCCACCCTCACAGCTAAACTGTTGCCCCGTATTTCTGGCCCAACAGAGTGTGCCCTGGAGGATGAAACGTATGCAGATGGAGCTGAGACCGAGGTGGACTGTAACCGCTGTGTCTGTGCCTGTGGAAATTGGGTCTGTACAGCCATGACCTGTGACGGTGAGCTGTGCTTCAAGCAGAAAGAAAAAACAGCAAGGAGAGAGCTTCATGAAATCAGCATGAGAGAAGTTGGGGTGGGGATGATGGAGAAGAGGGCGGTGGCTGGGAGCAAGGAACCCAGGCAGACCCACACCTGTAAGGTTGGAGCCCCAAGTGGGGAGCTTTGAGGGCAGAACATTTATCCCATAGGCATTCAGTTTGAAAATCACTCCAGAGGCTTGGAATAAGAGAGGACCAAGACCCTGGGCAAAAGTAAATGATAATGGAATAGTAACATTATGGAAATAGTAACAGTGAAAGTAGTAATAATGGAATAATAATTAAAAATAGTAATTATTTAATAATTAAAACATTAAAATAAAAACAATAATTATTATTTAATAATAATCAAAAATAATAATGGAATAGTAACAGTGAAAGCAAATACTCAGCAAAAACCATGTGCCAGGCTCTCTTCTAAGCACTTTACATATTAACCCATTGATCCTTATAACACCTTAGGAAATGGTAAAAGACTAGTGGTTGGAAGACAAAATGACTTCTCCTTGCCATACCCAGCAGAAAAAGAAAATATGTTTGTAGACCCTCTTTCAACTAACAGAGATGGGTAATCTTTTTTAAAAAGAGAAAGTTGAGCTAGTTGAGATATGTGCAGGGTGGTCTGGGGAGACAGAGAAATCTGAGAGTTTGTGGGGCAGTGTGAGGCTACAGGGTATGTTGGAACCACTGGAGTCCCATCTGGGTCCTGGGCTACAATGATGCCAAAGATCAAGAGGGACTCTTAAAGCCGAGCCCTAGCAAAGAACCAGGGATATTCAGAGTGGAGGCAAGACAGAGAAGGGTGTTGAAGCCAGGTCTGCAACGGAGAATTGCCTTAAGGTCATTTGGAACCAGGCCGAAAAGTTTCACCAGCTAGGGTGAACCTAAAGTTATATCAGCCAGGCGCAGTGGCTTATGCCTATAATCCCAACACTTGGGGAGGCCAAAGTGGGAAGCCCAGGAGTTCAAGACCAGCCTTGCCAACATAGCGAGACCATGTCCCTACAAAAATGTGAAAATTAGGCAGGCGTGATGGCACGTGCCTGTAGTCCCAGCTACTTGGGAGGCTGAAGTGGGAGGATCACCTGAGCCTGGGAGGTTGAGGCTGCCATGAGCCATAGTCACGCCACTGCATTCTAGCCTGGACAACAGAGCAAGACCTTGTCTTAAAAAAAAAAAAAAAGTTTATTTTAAGAAGTTAACTGTGTCAAGGAAGAGCTGGCTGGAACCTAAGATAATGTTCAGGAAGATCAGGTTAAATGGTAACTAGGAGACAGAGGTCAGAAACCCAGGATGAGGCTCTTCTAGACAAGGATCCTAGAGAACAGCAACAGTATAAATGGCCCAGTACTATCTAAGGTATCACTGGTCTACCGCTGCCCAGGACCAAGTCTGTTTTCAGTGTGGAACGACAGCAAACCAATGTAACTACAGGGACAGGTGAAGGAACAGGAAGAGGCTGTTTAGAGACTAGAAATTCCTACAAGTTCCTAGAAGTCAAGACCAAGCCAGGATCTCCAGACCAAACACAGAGTTGCTACTGAAACCAACAAAACACATCTCAAAACAGTCAGTGGCCTAGCCTGCCTCAACCATGAAGCATCCTATACTTGTCTTCCCTAAACTCCCTTCAGTACCTCTCCGCTTCTAACTGCTGCTGTTCTGGCTTTGTAAAGGTAGCCCTCCATTTCTAAGGTGCAGGCAGTTGGTATGCAGTTGGCTTATAGAATAAGCATGGTCATTTGGATAATAATCTCTATCACATGCATCAGACAAAATTCAAATGATCAGCTTCATGGGATGTTGCCCATTTCCACAGCCACTCAGCTATGGGCTGCTCATCCTCCCTGGATGACCAAGTCCAGAACTCTATGTGGGTATAACATGGAGCAACCCATGTTAGATGGTGGTGCCCCAGGGGCCTGAGCACGTATGGATGTGTAGGCCGTGGATCTAAGAGGAGTTTGTGGAGCCAGCATTCTGGGGCATTTTCAGGTTAATACCTGAGAGTTAGCAGTCTGATCTTAGATCACAAATCAAAATGGGACAAGCAAGAAGGGGCATCAAAATTTGAAGCCAGGAGGAGGCAGAGCCAAGGGAAACTGCTGTGAAGGGAAGGTTGATAGCAATGTTTGGAAGATATGTCCTAGAAGTGTTTCCTAATGGTCAGCATTCTACTTGATAAGCCTAGAGATTTCATCCTAAACCTAGTAAATCAGAATTTGCAAAAGAGCAGCTTGGGAACCTGTGTAGTTTTTGTTTTTGTTTATCACTGTGCAAGTTTCAGAAACATTGCTAGATGAAATGGTTGTCAACCCTGGCTGCACATTAGAACCAACTAGAAAGACTTGTAAAAAAATACTGGTGTCCAGATCTCACCTCACATCAATTAAATCAGAATCTCTGAAGGTGGAACTAGACAGCTATCTTTTCAAATGTTCTCCAGGACATTTTGATGGTATATGAATGACTTGAGAGTCATTGTCTCAGAGAAATCTCCAGTGTCAGGATCCAAGTTTTCACCATAACTTTTTTTGTAGGGCCAGCTTCTGGCTGGGATGTGCTAAGCAGTTAAAGGAACAAAGGCCAGAGAGGAGTTGGGGTAGATTGCTTTGTTACAATGTGTTACCTTGGAGGTATCAATTACACAGGGCCCCTTCATGCCTTCATACTCAGAAAATGTGGGTAATTCACCTCTCCTTCCACAAGTTAAATGGGAGATGAATTGAGAGCCTCTAGGTAGATCTTGGCGGATTCCTCACTGGCTTACCACAGCTGCTACTGCTCTGAGCTTTGGTTCTTCTTGCAGGAAAGAATCAGAAGGGGGCCCAGACCCAGACAGAGGAGGAGATGACCAGATATGTCCAGGAGCTCCAAAAGCATCAGGTGAGTGGCAGCCTCCGTGCTGGTTCAGGTGTTGCTGTTGCCATCAGGCCCTATACCATTCAAACACTGCCCAGTGCCCCAGGAGACCAAGGAGGCTCTCTCTGCTCAATACAGTACATCTTGAGTGATACCCCATCACCTGTACTATCAAACTGTGATACAGACAGTTCCCTGATAAAGTCCTCACAGGGCCCAGTAGGTCTCAACACATATAGGTTACAGCTCGGTGAGTGGCTGCATAAGGCAAAATCAGGCAGGTGGTGATTTGCAAATGAGGTGGAAGTGGTTTGCAAATGAGCGTGGTTTAAGGAAGTGTGTATCCTGTCATGACCAGTGTCCAGACCCAAAGACTGTGAGCTCCTGAAAGCAGGCTCTGTAACTTGCTCATCATTGTACCCTTGCAGTCTCACAGGGCCTGGTATGTAGTCAGCACTCAGTGAGCATGAAAGCAGTGGATTTGGGCCACAGCAGAAAGGATTTAAGTTCAACATCAGTCTGGCTAGAAAATAGCCTGGGGTTAACAAAGAGTCTCCTTCCCAGAGACTCAAGAAGATAATAAGAATTTTGTTCAGGTTCTATGTCATTAAGTTAAAGGCTTCCTTGGGGAAAGGGTTCTTAGCAGAATAGTGATGCTCTGACATATTGTGGAACTGTTGAACTCCTGGCCCATCCTCCTACTGGCTTATTATGTAGTCTTAATACAGGATATTGCACCTTCCATTACCTGTCCGTAGACCGAATGTAGTAGTATTAGCCTTCTCTCTGACATAGAAGTTTTTAAGGAATATAATGGTCACAAGAACTGCTAAACTATTGATATGAAATATTTGACATGAGTAAACAGAACTATTACTATTAATAGTAATTGCCCATTTATTGATCATTCTTAATGTGCATTTTGTCATCATTGTCACTGATAGTATAGAAATCTCATGTCGGTTGTTTAAGCAGAAGCAAAAGCTTCTAGTCTTTTGCTTTTCAAATTTCACCAGTCTTGAGTCTCCAAATGAGTTCAATCCCATGAAAGAGAAAAAAACTTCATAGGAATTACTTTCGTCTAGAATATCAGACAGTACAGTTATCAGACAGTACAGAGTGAATTATAGTAGCTAATATGTTTAAGTTTCTGTGTTTGATGTGAGTCCCCTCAGAGCAGATGCTGAGGCAAGGATGCAAGTACACATAGTTTATTTGGGAAGCAATGCCAGGAAACACCAGAGGGAGATTTGGGAAATGAGTCCAGAAAGAGAAGGAAGTAATGAAGAGTGTGTATTCAGGCATGTTACCACTGTTAACAAGTGACTCTTAATCCTATTGGGGATCTCTGGGAATGGAATAACAGTGCCTGAGTGGGGATGAAGCTGGGCTGTTTCTACAAGAACTCCCATTAGCCATTGGCTGAGGGCTGCTACTGGGAAATGTTAATTCCCTGGCATTTGTGGCCTATCAGTGTGTGTGGACAGAGTGGGCTCCAGCAGCCAGAGAAAGGCCTCAGGCAGAGATGCAGGTGCTGGCAGTAGGTAGGAAGTCATGCCAGTGTACACCAAGACATTAAACACAAAGGGGCGATGGATGGAACACCAGTGTCTGCTAGATATCAGGCAATGTTGTCAGGTTTTAAAAATTTATTTCTTTAATTGAGATATGATTCATATACCATAAAATTCACCCCTTTAAAGTGTATATTCCTAAGATTGTCAATCATCTCACTACTATCTTAATTCCAGAACATTTTCATTATCCCAGAAAGAAATCCCATACCCATTAGAAGTAACCCTCCATTCTCATCTTCCTCCAGCCCTTTGCAGCCACTAATCTACTTTCTAACTATAAATTTGCCTGTTCTGGACATATTACAGTGGTATCATACAACAGTATAGCCTTTTCTGTCTTTGACTTAGCATAATGTTTTCAAGGTTCATTCTTACAGCATGAATCAGTACTTCTTTCCTATTTATGGCTGAGTAATATTCCATGATACGAATATACCACATGTTGTGTTATCCATTCATCATTTAATGGATATTTAGGTTGTTTCAATTTGGGGGCTCTGATAAATAAAGCTGTTAGGAACATTTTCGCACAAGTTTTTGTGTGGACACATGTTGTCAGCTCTCTTGGGTATTTACCTAGAAGTGGAATTGCTGGGTCATACGGTGACTCCATGTTTAACCTTTGGAGAAATGGCCAAACTGGTTTCCAAAGCTACTGCACCACTGTACATCTTCACCATAGAGTTCCAATTTCTTCACATACTCACCAACGGTTTTGTTATTGCTATTTTTTATTTTAGCTGTCCTAGCGGGTGTCAAGTGGTTTTGATTTGCATTTCCCGTGTGATTAATGATGTTGAGCATCTTCTTATGTCCTTATTGGCCATTTTGTGCCAGGCACTGTTGTAAGAGATGGTACTTTATTACTGTGGTTTTGCAGTTGAAGACATTGAGACACAGAAGATTTCATAATATGCCCAAGGTCACCCAAAAAGTAGCACAGCCATGGTTGAAGCTCAGGCAGTCTGCCTCCAGAACCTGTTGTACTTAACACTTCTTTGGACTTGTTGGATTAAGAACATCTTGTAGCATTTCCATTTAACATCATTTTCTTCATCCTTAAAATGGGAACCATAATGTCTGATCTGCTTGTTTCATAGGAGTCCAAATGGAGTCAGCTTAATTCAGTAAACAGCCCCTGCATGACCATGTCATGAATAGGCCATAGTTCTTGTTCTCAAATTGTTCATTGTCCGTGGAGGAGCCCGACAAGTAAACAACTAAAATTCAGCATAAGCTTGTAAATGCCAATGCTATATAGTCTTGAGGAACAGATAAATTCCAACAGTTGTTTAATATTTCCATGACGCCTATTTTCTCTTGCATCTCAAAGGAAACAGCTGAAAAGACCAAGAGAGTGAGCACCAAAGAGATCTAATGAGGAGGCACAGACCAGTGTCTGGATCCCAGCATCTTCTCCACTTCAGCGCTGAGTTCAGTATACACAAGTGTCTGCTACAGTCGCCAAATCACCAGTATTTGCTTATATAGCAATGAGTTTTATTTTGTTTATTTGTTTTGCAATAAAGGATATGAAGGTGGCTGGCTAGGAAGGGAAGGGCCACAGCCTTCATTTCTAGGAGTGCTTTAAGAGAAACTGTAAATGGTGCTCTGGGGCTGGAGGCTAGTAAGGAAACTGCATCACGATTGAAAGAGGAACAGACCCAAATCTGAACCTCTTTTGAGTTTACTGCATCTGTCAGCAGGCTGCAGGGAGTGCACACGATGCCAGAGAGAACTTAGCAGGGTGTCCCCGGAGGAGAGGTTTGGGAAGCTCCACGGAGAGGAACGCTCTCTGCTTCCAGCCTCTTTCCATTGCCGTCAGCATGACAGACCTCCAGCATCCACGCATCTCTTGGTCCCAATAACTGCCTCTAGATACATAGCCATACTGCTAGTTAACCCAGTGTCCCTCAGACTTGGATGGAGTTTCTGGGAGGGTACACCCAAATGATGCAGATACTTGTATACTTTGAGCCCCTTAGCGACCTAACCAAATTTTAAAAATACTTTTTACCAAAGGTGCTATTTCTCTGTAAAACACTTTTTTTTGGCAAGTTGACTTTATTCTTCAATTATTATCATTATATTATTGTTTTTTAATATTTTATTTTCTTGACTAGGTATTAAGCTTTTGTAATTATTTTTCAGTAGTCCCACCACTTCATAGGTGGAAGGAGTTTGGGGTTCTTCCTGGTGCAGGGGCTGAAATAACCCAGATGCCCCCACCCTGCCACATACTAGATGCAGCCCATAGTTGGCCCCCCTAGCTTCCAGCAGTCCACTATCTGCCAGAGGAGCAAGGGTGCCTTAGACCGAAGCCAGGGGAAGAAGCATCTTCATAAAAAACTTTCAAGATCCAAACATTAATTTGTTTTTATTTATTCTGAGAAGTTGAGGCAAATCAGTATTCCCAAGGATGGCGACAAGGGCAGCCAAGCAGGGCTTAGGATATCCCAGCCTACCAATATGCTCATTCGACTAACTAGGAGGGTGAGTTGGCCCTGTCTCTTCTTTTTTCTGGACCTCAGTTTCCTCAGTGAGCTGGTAAGAATGCACTAACCTTTTGATTTGATAAGTTATAAATTCTGTGGTTCTGATCATTGGTCCAGAGGGGAGATAGGTTCCTGTGATTTTTCCTTCTTCTCTATAGAATAAATGAAATCTTGTTACTAGAACAAGAAATGTCAGATGGCCAAAAACAAGATGACCAGATTTGATCTCAGCCTGATGACCCTACAGGTCGTGCTATGATATGGAGTCCTCATGGGTAAAGCAGGAAGAGAGTGGGAAAGAGAACCACCCCACTCTGTCTTCATATTTGCATTTCATGTTTAACCTCCGGCTGGAAATAGAAAGCATTCCCTTAGAGATGAGGATAAAAGAAAGTTTCAGATTCAACAGGGGGAAGAAAATGGAGATTTAATCCTAAAACTGTGACTTGGGGAGGTCAGTCATTTACAGTTAGTCCTGTGTCTTTCGACTTCTGTGATTATTAACCCCACTCACTACCCTGTTTCAGATGCATTTGGAATACCAAAGATTAAATCCTTGACATAAGATCTCATTTGCAGAAAGCAGATTAAAGACCATCAGAAGGAAATTATTTAGGTTGTAATGCACAGGCAACTGTGAGAAACTGTTGTGCCAAAAATAGAATTCCTTCTAGTTTTTCTTGTTCTCATTTGAAAGGAGAAAATTCCACTTTGTTTAGCATTTCAAGCTTTTATGTATCCATCCCATCTAAAAACTCTTCAAACTCCACTTGTTCAGTCTGAAATGCAGCTCCCTGTCCAAGTGCCTTGGAGAACTCACAGCAGCACGCCTTAATCAAAGGTTTTACCAGCCCTTGGACACTATGGGAGGAGGGCAAGAGTACACCAATTTGTTAAAAGCAAGAAACCACAGTGTCTCTTCACTAGTCATTTAGAACATGGTTATCATCCAAGACTACTCTACCCTGCAACATTGAACTCCCAAGAGCAAATCCACATTCCTCTTGAGTTCTGCAGCTTCTGTGTAAATAGGGCAGCTGTCGTCTATGCCGTAGAATCACATGATCTGAGGACCATTCATGGAAGCTGCTAAATAGCCTAGTCTGGGGAGTCTTCCATAAAGTTTTGCATGGAGCAAACAAACAGGATTAAACTAGGTTTGGTTCCTTCAGCCCTCTAAAAGCATAGGGCTTAGCCTGCAGGCTTCCTTGGGCTTTCTCTGTGTGTGTAGTTTTGTAAACACTATAGCATCTGTTAAGATCCAGTGTCCATGGAAACATTCCCACATGCCGTGACTCTGGACTATATCAGTTTTTGGAAAGCAGGGTTCCTCTGCCTGCTAACAAGCCCACGTGGACCAGTCTGAATGTCTTTCCTTTACACCTATGTTTTTAAGTAGTCAAACTTCAAGAAACAATCTAAACAAGTTTCTGTTGCATATGTGTTTGTGAACTTGTATTTGTATTTAGTAGGCTTCTATATTGCATTTAACTTGTTTTTGTAACTCCTGATTCTTCCTTTTCGGATACTATTGATGAATAAAGAAATTAAAGTGATGGTTTTATTGGTTTCCTTTCCCCCAATTAAGGCCAAATAAAGTCGTGAGAACATTACCCATTTACTTCCTAAGAGTGGATTTGAGTTTCAGGAGCCTTAAAAAGGACTGAAGAGTTTCTCCTGGGACTACAGCTTGGATGGAAAGTTTACTCGGGGACTGGTAGAACAAGTTTCTTTGAAAGGATCATGGATAGTGGGTCTGGAGTAGAAGGTGATGACAAGTCAGAAAGTGTCTTAGTCCCTTCAAGTTGCTATAACAAAATGCCTCAGACTGGGTAATTATAGGCAACAGAAATGTATTGCTCACAGTTCTGAAGGCTGGGAAGCCTAAGATCAAGGTACCAGCAGATTCAGTGTCTGATGACGGCTTGTTGAAGCTTGCCTGCTTCAAAGAATGCACCTTTTTGATGCATCCCCACATGGTGAAAAGGGTGAACAAACTCCCTTAGGCCTCTTTTATAAGGGCACTTACCCATTCATGAGGGTTAAACTTTGATGACCTAATCATCTCCCAAGAGCCTCACCTCTCAATACCATTGCTTTGGGGATTCAATTTTAACATATGAATTTTGGGGGACATAAACATTCAAACCATAGCAGGTGCATTCCTGTATTGGGAAGACATTAAATTAAATGACTCGTAAATCCCCCATATGATTTAGGAGACTAAATGGCATCCAGTGAGGCTGACTGCAGTAGCCTGTGAGAAGGCAAATAAACATGGGAAGGTAGTACAGGGAACATGGAATCATTGCCAGGGACAGGCTAAATAACCTTAATGGCACTTCCTTGATACACACATTCCATGGGGGTAAACAGTTCCAAGTGGGCTGAACGTTAGCTGGTTAAAACCTCTTTTGCTTGGGGACACATGACTAACGCTTTCCAACCTGCCATTTTCATATGTATCATGCACTCTCCACCCACAATAATTCTGCCTCCCAAAAGAGCATATTATAGTCAATGAGGTTTAAGGTTTCTTCGGTTCAGTCATGTGGAAGTTTTGCTTTCCTAAAATTATAGCTGGATCACTTTGATTGGATTTGGGATATTACCCAAATGCTAATCAAATATTAAAAGGCAATCTTTTTTGTTATGTGATTGCTACAGATTACTGCTCTTACAGTTTGATTCTTCAAATTTTCATTCTCAGAAGGGAATCTTAAACCCAGTTTGAAGGGTACCTTGTCCACAACCACTTTTAAATTTTGGCTAACTTCCCAACCTTCCACCATGTTCTGGGAAAACTTTTTCTGCTGTTATAGTATGTATGTATTCAGGAAGTGCAACATTATTAAACTAAGCATAATTCAGAAGCTAAGTTTCCTTTCATCAAAATTTAATATTACGAATTGTGCAAAGAAGTATGTTACTTTGATCAGCTTTATTTTAGAGCTTCTTTATCAAGTTATCATCAGTCCTCTTGAATTATTTCTGAAATAAGGGGAAGGAAGGAAGGGAAAAAATATGAATGCATAGATAGATCTAAGCAGATGCCTTCAGAGCCCTGGAATAATCCTAGCTGGGATATGGGACATGAAAACAACTCTGGCCTACTGCTGCTGGGGGCTGTTGCATGGTGTGACATAGGAAGTAAAATGTTGCTGTATGAATAGGAAGGAGGGTCTTCCTGTCAATGAGAATTAATGTTTTCCTAATGATTTAACTTTTTTACTGAAAAAATAATATGTGTACATGGTAAAAATCCAAATTGTATCACAGAAAATACAGTGAATAAAACCATCCTCTTAAGAGGGTGTGTACATTTATAAATTTGCCTATGATTGCCTATAAAGTCAAAGAAGTTGCACCAGTATGCATGACTGCCAAAAGTACATAAACTGAGCATATCCATTTCCCTACATTCTTGCAAACATTGTGCCTTCGAACTTTTTGGCCTCTGATAGAGGAAAAATGGTAACTCCTTGTTTTATTTTTTATATTCATTATTCCTTTTGTAAGATTAAATATCATCTCATGAATAATTGGTTCTTGTCATTTTCTTCATTTTCTTTGTTTTTCTAATGGTTGCTGGTCTTTTTCTTACTGGTTTGTCATAGTTCTCCATAAGTATATCGTTAGCCCTTTGTTGTGAATGTGGCAAATACTTTCTCAGTTTGTTTTTCTTCTTTTGACTTTATGAGATGCTTTGCCTTGTAGAAAACTCGACTCTTTATATAACCCGATTTATACATCTTTTCCTTTCTGTCTTTAAGACAAAAGAACTTTAAAATCTGTGTCATTGTTGAAACTTAAGGACAGAAAACGGCCAGAGTAGAACTCTGATGCCCTCAAAAAGCATTCAGAAATGTCCACTTGGGGAGGACAGAACATGGCATAATGTAGTCATTGCCAGAGTCATGGAATATATAAGCTAAATCTAAGGTTGTAATTAAGGGAATAAGAACAATATAGTAGGGGATCCAAACTGTACCTCAACTATCCTTTGATCCATTCTACTCTATGATTGTTTAAGGGTGATTTTCAACTCTTTTGTAAGGAAAAAGTAGAGATGGAGATCAATATCATTTATTGTTCATTTACCAAATATTTGTTGTGTCTATTACTACGTTACAGACATTTTCTAAGTGTTTGTTCTAAGTGCTCGGACTTACCTGTGACCAGTGAAAAGACATAATGATCTCTGGCTTTGTGGAGCTTAAATTCTAGCAGGGAGAGCTAGATAATAGATGCAATAAATAAGTAAAGCTTATGGTATGTTAGAAGGTGATAAGGACTATGTATAGCAAGAGGAGGGGGACTAGGAGAGTGTAGGGTAAGGGAGTGTCTCAGTTTGTCTCAGTTTCCCATTTTAAATATAGTGGTCAGGATAGGCCTCATTGAGAAAGTGAAAAAGACTAAGCCAAGGGAATTCGATGTGTGATGTCTGAACAAGAGCATTCTAGACAAAAGAGAGAGCCAGTGCAAGAGTGTCAGCTTGGCAGGGCTGAAGTGAATGAGGGAGAGAGTAGCAGAATACGAGGCAAAGAAGTGACAAGGCAGGGTAAGGGACTGAGGGGTGAGGAAGGTATATCTTGTGGTCCTAATAGGCCATGTAAGGAATCTGGCTTTTACTCAGTGAGATAGGAAGCTTTATAAATTGTTATTTGAAAATAAGTAGGATAAACTACAGGTGATCTTGTTTCTGCATGTGTGCCCAATTATTCTCAAAAACTCATTTGATTAGGAGTTTGAGACCAGCCTGGCCAACATGGTGAAACCCCATTTCTACTAAAAATAAAAAAAATTAGCTGGGCGTGGTGGCACACACCCGTAATCCCAGCCACTTGGGAGGCCGAGGCAGGAGAATTGCTTGAGCAATCAGCAGTGAGCTGAGATCACACCACTGCACTCCAGCCTGGACAACAGAGCGAGACTCCGTCTCAAAACAAACAAACAAACACCTCATTTGATACCTTTATGAAAACCTGAATTATGCCATCACTTATGCATTGGTGTATATAGCTACCCATCAAGTAGGTCCTTTCAAGATTCTGGTAGAGAATGAGCAAAACCAGGAGTTGTTTACTATAATCCATGTTATAGAAGAGCTTTAGATGTGTAAACACCATTTGAATCTGTGAAAAAGAAATAATGAGTATGTACTCTATGAATAGGTGAGACCTAGGAAGTACAAACAGATGATGTGAACAAGTAGAATTGAACAAACTTTTACTGGGTATTATGTGTCAGGCACTGGGAAGGCACTCAGATTGGATATATAATCAGACTCAGTCTCCTGTCTCAGGAAGACAGGCAGGTCAGCAGTCTGTTTGATATCTTGCAACCATATTATGACAAAGATGAGAAACGAGTACACATTATGGAAACAAGAAGATCAATAGTGTGGCGTCAGCAATCGTGGAAGGTTTTTCTAGGCTGAAATCTGAACAAGTAGAATTAGCCTAGTCAAAGTCCATTCAAGAGTGGCATATGCAGAGATTCAGGGATGTGGTAGAGTCAATAAAAGCTTTAGATTCAGACCTGGGTCTGAATCCCAATCTGTTATTGACATGCAACCTTAGGCAAATCAGATTCTCTATGCTTAAATTTCTTCTTCTGTAAAATGGAAATAGTAATTTGTATTTCATAGCATTGTTATAAGGATTAAATAACATAAAATATGCAAAAAGTTAGAAAGTGCCTGACATGCTTTGTTATTATTTTCTACAGAATGAAGGTATAACACTACTTCATAACGTTGCTGTGCTGATTAAATGAAATAAACATGTAAAGGCCCTGGCATATAGTGACTGCTCAATAAAACACAGCTGTTGTTGGCCTTGTAACATGTTGATTATATTTATAAATGCTATTTGTAAAGACTGTATCCTGAGAACAAGAGAGAGCTAATGAAGTTATAATGGCAGGAGAAAGGCATGATCAGATTCAGTTTAAGAAAGAACCCAGACCATGCGTGGTGGCTCACGCCTGTAATCCCAGCACTTTGGGAGGCTGAGGCGGGTGGATCATGAGCTCAGGAGATCGAGACCATCCTGGCTAACACAATGAAACTGCATCTCTACTAAAAATACAAAAAATTAGCTGGGCATGGCGGCACACACCTGTAGTCCCAGCTACTCGAGCCCCAGTTAGTCAATAGCCAGCTGTTATCAATGCTACCTCCTTTCCCTGTTAATCCCCACTGCCATTGTTCTAGTTCAAATCACCATTATTTCTTGCCTCATCCCTGAAATAGCCTCCTAACTTATCTACTACTGCTAGGTCATTCTCCTTCCCATCTATGCTGCATCTGAGGGAAAGGGTTCTTTCTTTCTTTTTTTTTTTTTTGGAGATGGAGTCTCGCCCTGTTGCCCAGGCTGGAGTGCAGTGGTGCAATCTTGGCTTACTGCAACCTCTGCCTCCCGAGTTCAAGCGATTCTCCTGCCTCAGCCTCCCGAGTAGCTGGGGCTCGTGGTGCCTGCACAGGCCCAGATGGGCACTGATTTTGTTGGGGTGGCTGCCAGGCTGCTTCCTGGTGACTCTCTGAACCAGGCCAGAGGTGGTCATGCTGGAGGCCTGAGGGGAATCCAAGTGCTCTGGGGACTCCAACACCATGGCATGAACAGGACAGTGGACTTCCCGAAAAAGCAGCTCACCCACCAGTGACCTGCTGTCACAAGGACATAACTCATGCTTTCTTGAGGATTTTATGGTGCAGAAAATGACAAGAATCAATGACTCAAGTTAAATGTTTGAATCACACGGTTTATTGATTGTATGTAATAATGGTCATTTCTCTACACATGTAAAAACACACTCAAAAGAGATCATCAAGGGGCAGCCTTACCAAGGCAATTAAAACCTTTCAGTCGGCCGGGGATGGTGGTTCACACCTGTAATCCCAGCACTTTGGGAGGTCAAGGTGGGTGCATCACGAGGTCAGGAGTTCGAGACCAGCCTGACCATTATGGTGAAACCCCATCTCTACTAAAAATACAAAAATTAGCCGAGCATGGTGGCACATGCCTGTAATCCCAGCTACTCAGGAGGCTGAGGCAGGAGAATTGCTTGAACCCGGGAGGCGGAGGTTGCAGTTAGCTGAGATCGCTCCACTGCACTCCAGCCTGAGTGACAGAGTGAGACTCCGTCTCAAAAACACAAAACAAAAACAAAAAAAACCTTTCAGTTTGCATTCTATTCATAGTCCAGGCATAGTCTCTTGTCTGCCTGTGGTGGTCTTGTCCAATGTGAGAGTGAATGGGCATATGGGCACAATGCAGCAAGGGGCTCGGAGACTGACTGGGGGGATACGTCGCGCCTAAGTGGTCAATGAAGTCGTTCTTTTCTGTGTTCCATCCCAGTGTAGTGGTGAACACCTTTGTCTGATTGGTCATGCCCTGGTGAACTCCATTGTTGTTTTGGTCCACTTGTTTACCATATTTTGTAGCATCCATTAAAGTTGTTTACCAAAGTCCAAATATGTTTGGCAAAGTCCACATAAACATGTTTTTCTATTTTATCTTGTTTTACATGTCCTGACTCTTTGACTCTTTGGTCAATACGTTCACAACTTAAACTTTTTTTCAACAATGTCTTGTCCTATGGTCAAAACATGTTTACAGCTTTATTTTACCTTACACTCCTATCACCTGGATCAGCCTTCCAGAGACCAGGGGGTGGGGGATGGCTTCTCTAGGGTACTCAGCAAGGCCCATCATCAGGTGCTGCTGCTGCGAGTGGAACCCTGGAGGCGCCGGTAGTAGTCATGGGTGGCCACGGGCAAACCACGGAGGGGATGGCTGCCAGGCTCTTGCTTGCCAGTGGGTAGGAACCTCAACGTGACCCTCCTAGGCCTTGGTGCAACCTCGAGTGGTGGGAAGGGGGGTGCTAGGCCACAGAGGCCATTTGCATTGGACACCAGGGAAGCAGCTCCAGGATCAAGATGCACGCACGTGGGGTCTCCTGGCCTAGCTTTAAATTACACAAGTTAGCGGAATTTGACATTTTCCAGGGAGCTGGGACAACTCGAAGTAAAATAAGTTTGCTCCAAAATTCTTCTGCAGGACTTCATAGTCAAATCTGGCAGCCAGTAATTTTTATATCATCACATATTACATGTTTTAACTCCTTCCTAATTGACCTATATCAGAACGTGGTTCTTATTATGGCTGATATTCCACTGAGACAATACAATGTAGTGTTTAACAGCCAGGTTTCCTGGGTTTAAATCCTGGCTCTGCTCCTACGTTTTATGCTTCTGGAAGTTATTTAACCTCTCTGTGCCTCAGTTTTCTCTTTAAGGTAGCTTAATAATAATACCTACCTCATTCTTTTTTTTTCCTTTGAGGATTAAATGAGTTAATGTAATTTTTTTTTTTTTTTTTGAGACAGGGCACTCTTTTGCCCAGGCTGGAGTGCATTGGCACGATCACAGCTCACTGCAGCCTCGACCTCCCCAGACTCGCATCTCAGCTGGGACTATAGGTGCCCACCATCACGCCTGGCTGATGTTTGTACCTTTTTTAGAGATGGAGTTTTGCCATGTTGCCCATGCTGTGTAACTTTTTTTTCAAATAGTTTCTGGCACATAGAAAGTGTTATGTAGGTGTCAGGTATCATTATTACCAGTTATCAATACCTATAACATATTCTCATAATTCTCAGACTGACCCTGTGAAAAATATATTTTACAAATGAGGAACATGTAGTTTAAGTTTCAGGAACTTGTTCAACACTAACACAGCTAACAGGGAACACATTCAGGATTCAGACCCAGGTCCCTGTCATGCTCATTTTGCCTTGCCACAATGTTTCCCTTTATTTTAAAGATCATCACATCATTGTGAACCATTAATTCCTAATTTGTGTTTTCTATAATGTAATTGCTGAGCACATATAACTAACCATATATTCCTTCATGTGGTTCTAATAACTGTCTGCATGTCCTTTCATTTTGGTTTCTTTTAAGTACATATGTGAATGCAGTTCAACCCATGCCTCTGAAGTTTCCTAAAAAGTGATCCCCAGTCCAAGCTGGTCTCCCAAAGGATGCTATATCCAGGAGTCATGCCAGCGAGTGTGAGTATCCCAGCAGCCCTCAGCACATACCTCAAAGGTTTGGCCTGGCAAAAACTTACCTTAGAAATGCAGATGTCTGTACAATTGCACAAATCTCCCTGATGATCCTCCTTTTTGCTGTGACATACTATGTGGAGGACTTAGAGGCAGACATAGGTCTTATCCCCATTGAAATTATTTAATATTAATCTGATCATTCAAAAAAATTGGGTTTTGAGCCCATTAAAATCTCTAGTTCCTGGACAGTTTTCTTTTCTCTTTCCTTAATGTTCCACAACTTTTTCTCTTTTCTCTTTCCTTACTGTTCCACATCTTTTTCTCTTCACTTCTATAACCTAAGCTTGATTCCTTCATGGCCCAACCTCCCAGGGAAGATACTGCCATCCTTCTCCTGAACCCCCCAAAAAAACAAAGGAAGATGTCTTAGTCTATTCTGGCTTCTATAACAAAATACCTTAGACTGCATGGCTTATATATAACAGAAATTTATTGCTTACAGTTTTGGAAATTGAGAAGTCCAACATCAAGGTGCTAATAGATTTTGTGTCTGGTGAGGACCTCTTTCTGGTTCATAGACGGCATCTCCTCACTGTGTCTTCGCTTGGTGGAAGGGACAAGGAACCTCTCATAGGCCTCTTTTATAAGGGCACTAATCCCATTCATGAGGGCTCCACCCTTATGACCTAACTACCTCCCAAAGGCCCCACCTCCTAATACTATAACTTTGGGAGTTAGGATTTCAATATTTGAATTCTGGGGAGATACAAACATTCAGACTATAGCAGAGGAGAATCTATGTACAATGCATAGAACTAGGAGAGATTTGGAAGGTGGGTTATAGGAATAATAAAGACTGAAATCAATTGGGCAAATCAGAAAAGTTCAAGGGTTAGTCTCACCTTTGAATTTCCAAGATTTTAATTGCCTTTGTGCAGTAATAGCCAGAGACTTTAATAACTATAAGAACTGTTATCCATAATTATTTTTTAAAAGATATCTCTTTCTCAGGTTCTTCCTTGTGCCAACAAAGTGCCCATGTAACATCATGCTATGGTTTGAATGTGTCCCCCAAATTTCATGTGTCAGAAATGTAATCCCCAATTTCATATTGTATTTGGAGGTGGGGCCTTTGAGATGTAATTAGAATTAGATAATGTCACAAGGGTGGGGCTCCCAGGATGGGACTGGTGGCTTTATAAAAAAGGAAGAGAGACCTGAGCTGACATACACACTCTTACCCTCTCACCATGTGATACACTCTGCCATGTTAATTTGCAGCAAGCAGGCCCTCACTAGATGCCGGTGCCATAGTCTTGGACTTCCCAGCCTCCAGAACTGTAAGGAATAAATTTCTTGGCCAGGCACAGTGGCTCACGCCTGTAATCCTAACACTTTGGGAGGCCGAGGCAGGCAGATCACCTGAGGTCAGGAGTTCGAGACCAGCCTGGCCAACATGGCAAAACCCCATCTCCACTAAAAATACAAATATTAGCTGGATGTGGTGGCACATACCTGTAATCCCAGCTACTCGGGAGGCAGAGACAGGAGAATCGCTTGAACCCAGGAGGCGGAGGTGGCAGTGAGCTGAGATTGCACCACTGCACTCCAGCCTAGGTGGCAAAGCAAGACTCTGTCTCAAAAAAAAAAAAATTATTTCTTTATAGATTATCCAGTTTCAGGTATTCAGTTATAGCAACAGGAAACAGACTGAGACACATTTTACCAAAAAATAAAAAAAAAATCTTGCTTAGAGGAAACCTAGGGCAGGTTTTCTCTGCTCTGAACTCCCTTACAAGTCATCCATCGCTGAAGCATCACACCAATGAAATATACACAAAATGGACAGTTCATTAGACTTTTAATCTTCTTTCATTTTTGCAATTAAAATTTTTGAATTTCACTCAGAATTTAACATGGGAGATACATAAGAGAAAATAAAAGTAAATCTTATAAATAAAAGACAGAAATAGAGATAAAGAAACAAGATCTGACATACAAACCTAAGGGAGGCAAAATGTGGAAGCTTCTATAGTTTTTGTCAACATGCAACATACTCGACCTATTACTACCTTACTTTTTTCTGTTTATGATAGGTAGGGGTCTAGGACAAAATATCCACAAGAGAAAACCAGGAGCACCTGTGGCTAAAGGCAAGATGATTAGACTCTTGGGCAGATGTTATTCAAATCTCTTAATAG
Source organism: Homo sapiens (assembly GCF_000001405.40). NCBI lineage: Eukaryota > Metazoa > Chordata > Mammalia > Primates > Hominidae > Homo > Homo sapiens. Next base: position 120,384,558 of record NC_000003.12, on the reverse strand, counting down.
GTATGGGGATACTTTCTCCCTGCAAAGAAAGAAAGAAAGAAAACAGGATAGGCCTGAGTTTTGTGTTAGAGGCAGATCCTACATTTATCTACAGTGCATTTCTTGAAGTCACACAGGAAAGAATAGCTGTACAAAGTAAATTCTTTCTTCTCCCTAAGAGTGGTAGCCCTCAACTCATTCACTGTTACGCAGTTCTCCTTCATTTGTAAGATGAAATTCTAATTTACCCATTCATTAATTCAACAAGTATTGGTTGGGGAAGAATTAGAGAAAAGAGAAAAGGGGAGTGAATGGGATGAAATTTTTACTAACTTTCAGAGAGAGAGAAGAGAAACAGAAGCAAACTAGGCCCTGGGCTGTAGCCTAGCACTCACTCTTGTGTCTGTTAGGCTTATGGGACTGAGACACATGGAAGAGGAGCTGATGTCATTAGGTCAGCAAATGCTACCACATTCTAGTATGCTCTGCAAGGAAGTTATCCCAGGCCAATGAAAGACTGTAGACTTTGCTTGTTAGTTTGTGAGCCCACAGGAGTAGAAGGGAGGAAGATGCTCCTGATGTACCCTAAGAAAAGGAATCAAGGGGTTGCACATTTCCATTTCAAGGTTCTAAGTTATTTTGTATCTCTGGAGCCATGATAATAAGACTTGGGAATTAAGAGCTAATGCATATTCCAAGAGCCTATTATATATGCCAGGAGCCAGAAAAGAGAGAATTTCATCCCTGCTTATGAGAGACTCACAATCTTGTGAAAAGATAAATAATAATGAATTTCAGCAATGCAATAAGTTTGCAAATATACTCTGAGGCACTATAGAGTGTGTTTTTCCAGGGGAGTCCCACTGCACTCCTCCAGGGGTGCCCATCACATTAGAGTCTATGTGAATAGAGCACCCTTGAGTTGTAATATGTTGTCGTGCTTCTCATTCTCCAGCTTCCACACCATAATCCATATGAATCCAAAGGGACTTCCAGAGTTTTCCTTATTCTAGATAAGTCTGCTCCACCCTGGCCTCTACACCTCTATAACTGAGAGTGAATAATGGTACCTCAGAACTCTAATCTTGGCAATATCCTTGCCTCTCCTCCCTGCCCCTTCTCTCTGCCTCCCACACACAACATCAACAGCTTTACCATCATGGTTTGTATTGAGACCTCCAAATCTAATCTCATCACATTTTTCCCCAATTCGTACTTAACCACAAGAAGCCCAAGACCCCCAGTTCATCCTTCATCTCAGGGACTCTGAGCCATATGGCTCTGTACTTTCCCTTTTCTGACCCCAAAACCCACACCTAACATTTGAAACCCTTCTATTGTGCCTTCTAGAACTTGCTATTAATCACCAACAAATCCCTTCTACTCTGAGCTTCTGTTAACATTTCCCTCACCTTCTGGTTTTCTAACTGAAACTTGGCTCCCCTCTGAGGACACTTCCTCCATAGCCCTTTCAAGTGGTGCTGGTTTTCTTTACAACATCTTTCATAAACTGGATCCTTCTTGCTCTTTCCTCTACAAACCTTCAGTTTAAAACATCATGTCATTAGACTTTGCTATCCACTACACTTTCATTACAGTTTTCTATTGTTCCTCTCCCCACCCCTACCATTCCTCGATTTTAGCTGCTGACTTTGTCAAGCTCTACATCGCTGCTTCTGTCATAACTCTTGATGTCACTGTCTCATAAATGATCTATCCCATGACCTCCTTTGGATCTTGACTTCCTCTCCTCCAAGGATTTTTTTTTCTCTATTTTATTTTAGCCACTTTCCTCATGGTTAGAACTTAGATCTTATCACTGGCAATAATCACGACTTCTCCATTATCTCAATTTCAAGCATCCTACTCTTCAGCAACTACCTTCTATCCTTTCAACTCACTTTCTCTGATACTCCAATTCTAACAATGTTTTGGTTGCCATCAGGGCCTAAAATCCAATGATCCTACCACTTTTTCACTGTGCTTCTCTCATTTTGCATCCTTCATCCTCCCCAACCCAGCTTAGATTCCATGGTTGATCATTATAATCACTTTCTAGCATGCAGGTCTTCCTCTGTCATGCTTGTACGGCAAAACCTCAATATTCAATTAACCCAACTCTCCTCCCATTCTGTGTTTGCACTCAAGCAGCTAAATTAGGCTGGATAAAAATATACAACCACACTGAGTTTTCTCACTTTATTTTTTAATTTGTGTTTTTATTATTATTATTATTATTTTGATATAGAGTTTTGCTCTGGTTGCCCAGGCTGGAGTGCAATGGCACGATCTTGGCTCACTGCAACCTCTGCCTCCCGGGTTCAAGTGATTCTTCTGCCTCAGCCTCCTGAGTAGCTGGATTACAGGCATGTGCCACCACGCCCAGCTAATTTTGTATTTTTAGTAGAGACAGGGTTTCTTCATGTTGGTCAGGCTGGTCTCGAACTCCCGACCTCAGGTGATCCACCTGCCTTGGCCTCCCAAAATGTTGGGATTACAGGTGTAAGCCACTGCACCCAGCCTTTCTCACTTAAAATTCATGACTTTGAACCTCAAAAGTGCCTTTAGCACTACCCGGGATGCCTGGTATATTTCTTTAGTTAGCATCTCCTACTCTCCTAGTTGACTGTTTTCATTCTTTTTCCTTAATACTGCCATCCCCAGCCTCACACTCAGCTGATGAATTGCCTCTGGTTTCACTAAGAAAATTAGAAGCAATCAGAAGAGAATTTCCAGAAGCTTTCCCTACCACAGTCTCCACCTTTCTGCATCTATGTCCATATACTTTATCTTACCTCCTTGTACATAATCTTACCTAAGGCAAACCTTGTACTTGTGCATTAGACCCTATCCTTCTGCCTCCTGAAAGTCATTGCTCAGCAATTCTTCCCCTTCTTGTGTAGCATCAAGTTTACCCTCTCCGTCTGTCCATTATCATACTATTTATCCCATCTAAAAGAAAATGAAAAATGACACACTATAACTTCTCCAGTTAATACACATTTCTGTGCTGCCCCTCTTTGAAGCAAACTGTCCTCGGTGTTAGCATTCCAGTGATCTGTTCTCAGTGCCCAAAAGTTGCCTACATTCCTTCAATCAAATGATCTATTCTCAGTCTTCATCTTACTTGGCCCATCAGTAGTCTTCAACACAGTCAAACACTCCTTCCTCCCTGAAATGCTTTCTTCATTTGCTTTCAGGTCATGACACTTCTCCTAGTTTTTCTTCTACTTTACTGTCAACTCCTTATTCTTCTTCACTGGTTTCTGTTTGCCTCTCTGACTATAAATGTTGGAGGGTTCCAGGGCTCAGTTCCTGAACCTCTACTCTTCTTCGTCTGTGTCTACTTTCTTGATGAGCCCATCTGGTCTCGTAATTTGAAAAACCACCTATAGGTTGACATCTCCCAGGTTTATGTTTCAAGCTTAGACCTCTCTCCTAAACTCCAGTTTTATATCCAACCACCCATTCAGCATTTCCCCTCAAATGTTTCAAATGGGCATCTCTAATGTAATATGTCCCAAACCAAATTCCAGGACTTCTTAATCAGAATAAATGGTGGTTCTGTTCTTCCAGTGGCTCAGGGCAAAAGCTTTAGTCATCACTTGACTTCTCTCCCTTATACCCCTCATCTAATTTGTCAGCAAATCATATTTGCTCTACCTTCAAAAATATATACATAATCCAATCTCTTCTCACTAATTCCACTACTAACACATTGAACCAAGACACCATCTTCTCAAAAGTACCCATTAAGATCCTTATAAAATATAAGTCACATCATTTCACTCCTCTGTTCAAAACCCTCCAATGGCTTTCTTCCATCTCTTCCCACAGTATGAGCAAAAGTCAAAACCCTTACAATGGACTTTATGACGCCACGCAATCTAGCCTCCTGTTATCTTTCTGATCTGAACTCCTACACTGTCTCATGAACTCTCTTCATTGCAGCCACTGGCCTCCTGGCTGTTCCTCAAATCCACCAGCCCTTGCCCAAAATCCACCAGCCCTTGCCCACTTCAAGGCCCAGTTCCCTCACCTCCTTCAAATCTTTGTTAAAATTTAACCTCAATGAGCTTTCTCTGGACAGTCTATTTAAAATTACAACTCTCATCCCAGGCACAGTGGCTCATGCCTGTAATCCCAGCACTTTGGGAGGCCAAGGCAGTGGATCATTTAAGGTCAGGAGTTCGAGAACAGCCCGTCCAGCATGGTGAAACCACGTCTCTACTGAAAATACAAAAATTAGCCAGGCATGGTGGCAGATGCCTGTAATCCTAGCTACTCGGGAGGCTGAGGCACGAGAATCATTTGAACCCAGGAGGTGGACATTGCAGTAAGCCAAGATCGTGCCACTGCACTCCAGCCTGGGTGGCAGAGCAAGACTCTGTCTCAAAAATAAAATAAAATAAAATAAAACAAAATAAAATAAAATAAATTACAACCCTCCCTACGCCACTCCCCTCTTTCTATTCTGCTTTCTCTGCTTTATCTTCCTCTGTATGACTATTCATCATCTGATATATGAAATATGTTTTACTTTATAATATACATACAGAAAAGTACATTTAAGTGTCCAGCCCAATTAATTTTCACAAACTGAATACAACCATGTAACTAGCATCCAGATCAAGAAACAGAATATTACCATCACCCCAGGAGTCTCTTCGTGCTGTCTTCCAGTTTCTGTCCTCCTCCCAAACTCCAAGGGTAACCACCATCCTGACTTCTAACAGCATAGATTAATTTTTTCTGTTTTTGTATTTCATGTGAATGGATGTAAACAGTGACATACTGTATATTTTAATTATCTTTTCATTGGTTGCCTATTTCTCCCCATTACTAGGATGTAAGTTTCTTGAGGGCAGAAATTTGTTTTGTTCACTGTTGCATCTCCAGTGCCTAAAAGAGTATCTAGCACAGTTTGAGTATCATAAAACAAGTATTTGATGAGTGAATGAATGAAATATTGAATAAATGGAAATGTGACAGAGACAGAGTTAAGACACAACCTACCAAATAAATAGAAAGATATCACATGTTCATAGGTCAAAAGACTTAATATTGTTAGGATGACTAATATAGTTTGGATGTTTGTCCTCTCCAAATTTCATGTTGAAATGTGACCCCCAATGTTGAAAGTGGGGCCTAATGGAAGGTGTTGGATCATGGAGGCAGATGTTTCATGAATGGCTTGGTGCCCTCATGGCTATCATGAATGAGTTCTTGCTCTATTCATTAATGTGAGAGCTTGTTGTTTAAAAGAGCATGGCAACCCTCCCTTTCTCTCTTGCTCCTTCTCTCACCATGTGACATGCCTGCTCCCCCTTTGCCTTCTGCCACAAATAAAAGCTTCCTGAGGCCTCACCAGAAGCTGAGCAAATGCTGGTGCCATGCTTGTACAGTCTGCAAAACCTTAAGCCAAATAAACCTCTTTTCTTTATAAATTATCCAGCCTCAGGTATTCCTTTATAACAATGTAAAACAGACTAACCCAATGGCAGTACTATCTAAATTGTTCTGCAATTCCACATGATACCTGTTAAAATCCCAGCTTGCTTTTGACCAGAAGTTGAAAAACCTGACCATAAAATTCATATGAAAATGCAAAAGATATAGAATATTCAGAAAATTTTTGAGAAATAACAAAGATGAAGAATTCACACTTCCAATTTTCAAAACATATTATAATGAGATGAAATTTGAAATTAATAACAGAATGAAATTTAGGAAATACACAAATATGTGGAAATTAAATAATACACTCCTAAGTAACCAATGAGTCAAAGAAGAAATCTCAAAAGAAATTAGAAAATATTTTGCAATGATTGAAAATGAAAACACAACATACCAACATACTAAAATTTATGGATACCACTAAATTAGTGCTCAGGGGGAAATTTACAGCTGGAAATGCCTATATTAAAAAAAAGAAAGGTGGGAGGAGCCAAGATGGCCGAATAGGAACAGCTCTGGTCTACAGCTCCCAGCGTGAGCGACGCAGAAGACGGGTGATTTCTGCATTTCCATCTGAGGTACCGGGTTCATCTCACTAGGGAGTGCCAGACAGTGGGCGCAGGTCAGTGGGTGCGTGCACCGTGCGCGAGCCGAAGCAGGGCGAGGCATTGCCTCACTTGGGAAGTGCAAGGGGTCAGGGAGTTCCCTTCCCGAGTCAAAGAAAGGGGTGACGGGCGCACCTGGAAAATCGGGTCACTCCCACCCGAATATTGCACTTTTCAGACCGGCTTAAAAAACGGTGCACCACGAGATTATATCCCGCACCTGGCTCAGAGGGTCCTGCGCCCACAGAGTCTCGCTGATTGCTAGCACAGCAGTCTGAGATCAAACTGCAAGGCGGCAGCAAGGCTGGGGGAGGGGCGCCCGCCATTGCCCAGGCTTGCTTAGGTAAACAAAGCAGCCTGGAAGCTCGAACTGGGTGGAGCCCACCACAGCTGAAGGAGGCCTGCCTGCCTCTGTAGGCTCCACCTCTGGGGGCAGGGCACAGACAAACAAAAAGACAGCAGTAACCTCTGCAGACTTAAATGTCCCTGTCTGATAGCTTTGAAGAGAGCAGTGGTTCTACCAGCACGCAGCTGGAGATCTGAGAACCGGCAGACTGCCTCCTCAAGTGGGTCCCTGACCCCTGATCCCTGAGCAGCCTAACTGGGAGGCACCCCTAGCAGGGGCACACTGACACCTCACACGGCAGGGTATTCCAACAGACTTGCAGCTGAGGGTCCTGTCTGTTAGAAGGAAAACTAACAAACAGAAAGGACATCCATGCCAAAAACCCATCTGTACATCACCATCATCAAAGACCAAAAGTAGATAAAACCACAAAGATGGGGAAAAAACAGAACAGAAAAACTGGAAACTCTAAAACGCAGAGCGACTCTCCTCCTCCAAAGGAACGCAGTTCCTCACCAGCAACGGAACAAAGCTGGATGGAGAATGACTTTGACGAGCTGAGAGAAGAAGGCTTCAGACGATCAAATTACTCTGAGCTACGGGAGGACATTCAAACCAAAGGCAAAGAAGTTGAAAACTTTGAAAAAAATTTAGAAGAATGTATAACTAGAATAACCAATACAGAGAAGTGCTTAAAGGAGCTGATGGAACTGAAAACCAAGGCTCGAGAACTACGTGAAGAATGCAGAAGCCTCAGGAGCCGATGCGATCAACTGGAAGAAAGGGTATCAGCGATGGAAGATGAAATGAATGAAATGAAGTGAGAAGGGAAGTTTAGAGAAAAAAGAATAAAAAGAAATGAGCAAAGCCTCCAAGAAATATGGGACTATGTGAAAAGACCAAATCTACGTCTGACTGGTGTACCTGAAAGTGATGGGGAGAATGGAACCAAGTTGGAAAACACTCTGCAGGATATTATCCAGGAGAACTTCCCCAATCTAGCAAGGCAGGCCAACGTTCAGATTCAGGAAATACAGAGAACGCCACAAAGATACTCCTCGAGAAGAGCAACTCCAAGACACATAATTGTCAGATTCACCAAAGTTGAAATGAAGGAAAAAATGTTAAGGATAGCCAGAGAGAATGGTCGGGTTACCCTCAAAGGGAAGCCCATCAGACTAACAGCGGATCTCTCGGCAGAAACCCTACAAGCCAGAAGAGAGTGGGGGCCAATATTCAACATTCTTAAAGAAAAGAATTTTCAACCCAGAATTTCATATCCAGCCAAACTAAGCTTCATAAGTGAAGGAGAAATAAAATCCTTTACAGACAAGCAAATGCTGAGAGATTTTGTCACCACCAGGCCTGCCCTAAAAGAGCTCCTGAAGGAAGCGCTAAACATGGAAAGGAACAACCGGTACCAGCCGCTGCAAAATCAAGCCAAAATGTAAAGACCATCGAGACTAGGAAGAAACTGCATCAACTAACGAGCAAAATAACCAGCTAACATCATAATGACAGGATCAAATTCACACATAACAATATTAACTTTAAATGTAAATGGACTAAATGCTCCAATTAAAAGACACAGACTGGCAAATTGGATAAAGAGTCAAGACCCATCAGTGTGCTGTATTCAGAAACCCATCTCACGTGCAGAGACACACATAGGCTCAAAATAAAAGGATGGAGGAAGATCTACCAAGCAAATGGAAAACAAAAAAACGCAGGGGTTGCCATCCTAGTCTCTGATAAAACAGACTTTAAACCAACAAAGATCAAAAGAGACAAAGAAGGCCATTACATAATGGTAAAGGGATCAATTCAACAAGAAGAGCTAACTATCCTAAATATATATGCACCCAATACAGGAGCACCCAGATTCATAAAGCAAGTCCTGAGTGACCTACAAAGAGACTTAGACTCCCACACATTAATAATGGGAGACTTTAACACCCCACTGTCAACATTAGACAGATCAACGAGACAGAAAGTCAACAAGGATACCCAGGAATTGGACTCAGCTCTGCACCAAGTGGACCTAATAGACATCTACAGAACTCTCCACCCCAAATCAACAGAATATACATTTTTTTCAGCACCACACCACACCTATTCCAAACTTGACCACATACTTGGAAGTAAAGCTCTCCTCAGCAAATGTAAAAGAACAGAGATTATAACAAACTATCTCTCAGACCACAGTGCAATCAAACTAGAACTCAGGATTAAGAATCTCACTCAAAACCGCTCAACTACATGGAAACTGAACAACCTGCTCCTGAATGACTACTGGATACATAACGAAATGAAGGCAGAAATAAAGATGTTCTTTGAAACCAATGAGAACAAAGACACAACATACCAGAATCTCTGGGACACATTCAAAGCAGTGTGTAGAGGGAAATTTATAGCACTAAATGCCCACAAGAGAAAGCAGGAAAGATCCAAAATTGACACCCTAACATCACAATTAAAAGAACTAGAAAAGCAAGAGCAAACACATTCAAAAGCTAGCAGAAGGCAAGAAATAACTAAAATCAGAGCAGAACTGAAGGAAATAGAGACACAAAAAACCCTTCAAAAAATTAATGAATCCAGGAGCTGGTTTTTTGAAAGGATCAACAAAATTGATAGACCACTAGCAAGACTAATAAAGAAAAAAAGAGAAAAGAATCAAATAGATGCAATAAAAAATGATAAAGGGGATATCACCACCGATCCCACAGAAATACAAACTACCATCAGAGAATACTACAAACACCTCTATGCAAATAAGCTAGAAAATCTAGAAGAAATGGATAAATTCCTCGACACATACACTCTCCCAAGACTAAACCAGGAAGATGTTGAATCTCTGAGTAGACCAATAACAGGAGCTGAAATTGTGGCAATAATCAATAGTTTACCAACCAAAAAGAGTCCAGGACCAGATGGATTCACAGCCGAATTCTACCAGAGGTACAAGGAGGAACTGGTACCATTCCTTCTGAAACTATTCCAATCAATAGAAAAAGAGGGAGTCCTCCCTAACTCATTTTATGAGGCCAGCATCATTCTGATACCAAAGCCAGGCAGAGACACAACCAAAAAAGAGAATTTTAGACCAATATCCTTGATGAACATTGATGCAAAAATCCTCAATAAAATACTGGCAAAACGAATCCAGCAGCACATCAAAAAGCTTATCCACCATGATCAAGTGGGCTTCATCCCTGGGATGCAAGGCTGGTTCAATATACGCAAATCAATAAATGTAATCCAGCATATAAACAGAGCCAAAGACAAAAACCACATGATTATCTCAATAGATGCAGAAAAAGCCTTTGACAAAATTCAACAACCCTTCATGCTAAAAACTCTCAATAAATTAGGCATTGATGGGACGTATTTCAAAATAATAAGAGCTATCTATGACAAACCCACAGCCAATATCATACTGAATGGGCAAAAACTGGAAGCATTCCCTTTGAAAACTGGCACAAGACAGGGATGCCCTCTCTCACCACTCCTATTCAACATAGTGTTGGAAGTTCTGGCCAGGGCAATTAGGCAGGAGAAGGAAATAAAAGGTATTCAATTAGGAAAAGAGGAAGTCAAATTGTCCCTGTTTGCAGATGACATGATTGTATATCTAGAAAACCCCATTGTCTCAGCCCAAAATCTCCTTAAGCTGATAAGCAACTTCAGCAAAGTCTCAGGATACAAAATCAATGTACAAAAATCACAAGCATTCTTATACACCAATAACAGACAAACAGACAGCCAAATCATGAGTGAACTCCCATTCACAATTGCTTCAAAGAGAATAAAATACCTAGGAATCCAACTTACAAGGGATGTGAAGGACCTCTTCAAGGAAAACTACAAACCACTGCTCAATGAAATAAAAGAGGATACAAATATATGGAAGAACATTCCATGATCATGTGTAGGAAGAATCAACATCATGAAAATGGCCATACTGCCCAAGGTAATTTATAGATTCAATGCCATCCCCATCAAGCTACCAATGACTTTCTTCAAAGAATTGGAAAAAACTACTTTAAAGTTCATATGGAACCAAAAAAGAGCCCCCATCGCCAAGTCAATCCTAAGTCAAAAGAACAAAGCTGGAGGCATCACGCTACCTGACTTCAAACTATACTACAAGGCTACAGTAACCAAAACAGCATGGTACTGGTACCAAAACAGAGATATAGATCAATGGAACAGAACAGAGCCCTTAGAAATAATGCCGCATATCTACAACTATCTGATCTTTGACAAACCTGAGAAAAACAAGCAATGGGGAAAGGATTCCCTATTTAATAAATGGTGCTGGGAAAATTGGTTAGCCATATGTAGAAAGCTGAAACTGGATCCCTTCCTTACACCTTATACAAAAATCAATTCAAGATGGATTAAAGACTTAAACGTTAGACCTAAAACCATAAAAACCCTAGAAGAAAACCTAGGCATTACCATTCAGGACATAGGCATGGGCAAGGACTTCATGTCCAAAACACCAAAAGCAATGGCAACAAAAGACAAAATTGACAAATGGGATCTAATTAAATTAAAGAGATTCTGCACAGCAAAAGAAACTACCATCAGAGTGAACAGGCAACCTACAAAATGGGAGAAAATTTTCACAACCTACTCATCTGACAAAGGGCTAATATCCAGAATCTACAATGAACTCAGACAAATTTACAAGAAAAAAACAAACAACCCCATCAAAAAGTGGGCGAAGGACATGAACAGACACTTCTCAAAAGAAGACATTTATGCAGCAAAAAAACACATGAAAAAATGCTCACCATCACTGGCCATCAGAGAAATGCAAATCAAAACCACTATGAGATACCATCTCATACCAGTTAGAATGGCAATCATTAAAAAGTCAGGAAACAACAGGTGCTAGAGAGGATGTGGAGAAATAGGAACACTTCTACACTGTTGGTGGGACTGTAAACTAGTTCAACCATTGTGGAAGTCAGTGTGGCGATTCCTCAGGGATCTAGAACTAGAAATACCGTTTGACCCAGCCATCCCATTACTGGTTATATACCCAAAGGACTACAAATCATGCTGCTATAAAGACACATGCACACGTATGTTTATTGCGGCATTATTCACAATAGCAAAGACTTGGAACCAACCCAAATGTCCAACAATGATAGACTGGATTAAGAAAACGTGGCACATATACACCATGGAATACTATGCAGCCATAAAAAATGATGAGTTCATGTCCTTTGTAGGGACATGGATGAAATTGGAAATCATCATTCTCAGTAAACTATCGGAAGAACAAAAAACCAAACACCGCATATTCTCACTCATAGGTGGGAATTGAACAAAGAGATCACATGGACACAGGAAGGGGAATATCACACTCTGGGGACTGTGGTGGGGTGGGGGGAGGGGGGAGGGATAGCATTGGGAGATATACCTAATGCTAGATGACGATTTAGTGGGTGCAGCGCACCAGCAAGGCACATGTATACATATGTAACTAACCTGCACAATGTGCACATGTACCCTAAAACTTAAAAGTATAATAAACAAAAACACGTTAAAAAAAAAGAAAGATCTCAAAGCAATAACCTAATCTTTTAAATGAAATTACTAGAAAAAGAAATTAAAACTAAACCCAAGGCAAGTAGAAGGAAGGAAATAACAAAGGCTAGAATGGAAGTAAATGAAATAGAGAATAGAAAAATAGGGAAAATAAACAAAACCAAAAGTTAAAGAATTAAAAGAAAAATTAACACCAATCCTGCACAACCTTTTCCAAAAAACAGAAGATAAGGGACACATTTCAACTTATCCTATGAGGCCAATATTATCCTCATAACAAAACCAGACCAAGACATCACAAGAAAACTACAGACCAATATCTCTTACAAATGAATACAGATGCAAAAAGCCTCAACAAAATACCAC